>NC_000010.11:96961277-97264307 GCF_000001405.40 Homo sapiens | reverse complement strand
CTACTTTTTGTAGTTTTTTGTAGAGATGGGATTTTGCCATATTGCCTAGGCTTGTCTTGAACTACTGTGCTCAAGTGATTCATCCGCCTAGGCCTCCCAAAGTGCTGAGATTATAGGCGTGAGCCATTGAGCCTGGCCTAGGGACGAATAGTTTAGTTGGGATGACCCTAAAGCTTCTGGGAATCTCTTAGGAATTTGACACATTAGAGTTCTAATTCCTGGAGCAATGCAGAGACTCTGGATTCATTCTGGGCTGGGAAAACAGTTTACAAGAGCCACAAACATCCACAGATGTATGTAGCCCCTCCAAACGAAGTCTGGGATAAACAAGAAGAGGTCTTTAGGGAGATTTGGCTTTTTTAAAGTTTATTTTTCAAGCTATTCCTGACCATTGATTGGGTTAAATTCAGATTGTCTATCCATACCTCAGGAGGTTGAATGACTCCCAGGAGGACTACCTTTTAGTTTGGAAGATCTCCAAATGCTCAGGGACATTCAGATATGTCTCCTCAGGAGGTCAATAGGTTCTAAACTACCCTGGTGAAAAAAGGCAAAAACTTACTTGAAAGGCTTTGTGAAGGGTCTTTTAAGTGTAAAGTAGTCTTTAGACCATTTATTTTAATAATAATCTTTCTGCTTCCTTTTTGCCTGTCCTCTGCTTTGTTTTATGCTAAACAGACTTGCGAGTAGAGGGTTTGTTTAGAGTACCGGGTAATAGTGTCCGACAGCAGATTTTAAGGGATGCTCTCAATAATGGAACTGACATTGACTTGGAATCAGGGGAATTTCACTCAAATGATGTTGCCACTTTGCTGAAGATGTTTCTAGGAGAGTTGCCGGAGCCTCTGCTGACACATAAACACTTCAATGCACACCTCAAAATCGCTGGTGAGTATAGGAAGTAAGAAGGAGATGTAAATACATTTCTTTCAATTTAGTAAAGTTCCTAGGAAATTTCTGTTGCTTGTGACCCACAGAAATACTTCTATTAATATTGGTTAAGATTTCGTGATGTTGCTGGACTTCTCTGGGTACTCATAGGTATTGGCTAGTTAAGTTTAATTTTAATTGAATGGCTTTCTTGATAAATAAGCTTTGTATTGAGATAAGGAGCTGGTAGTAAGATGTCGTCTGAGTTTTATTTATTTTTGAATCTCTGATAGATCCTCGAGTAGTGTGTAGAACATTTTAGTTGGAGACATGATCTCACTCTGTCACTTAGGCTGGAGTGCAGTGGTGCAACCTTGGCTCACTGCAGCCTTGCTCTCCCGGGCTCAGGTGAGCCTCCCACCTCAGCCTCCCAAGTAGCTGGGACTATAGGTGTGCGGCACCACGCCTGGCAAATTTTTTTGTAATTTTTGTAGACATGGGGTTTCGCCGTGTTGCCCAGACTCAAACTCCTGGGCCAAAGCCATCTGCCCACCTTGGCCTCCTGAAGTGCTGGGATTATAGGCATGAGCCACTGTGCCCAACGTGTTTTAGTTGCTTAATAAATGTATGCTTTTCATTGGATTGATTCATATATTTCAGATGTTTATAGGTTCGGTATTTTTGCCTTGGTTTGGGGTTTTTGCTCAGTATTTCTATGCCTCGGTTGAGGGCATCTCTACTCTTGGAAATTTTATTTGTTTGTTTGTTTGTTTTGAGACTGAGTCTCGCTCTGTCACTAGGCTGGAGCGCAATGGTGCAATCTCGGCTCACTGCAACCTCCGCCTCCCGGGTTCAAGTGATTCTCCTGCCTCAGCCTCCCGAGTAGCTGGGACTACAGGCACGCGCTACCACGCCTAGCTAATTTTTGTATTTTTAGTAGAGACGGGATTTCACCATGTTGGCCAGGCTGGTCTCGAACTTCTGATCTTGTGATCGGCCTACCTTGGCCTCCCAAAGTGCTGGGATTACAGATGTGAGCCACTGTGCCCAGCCAAGGAAATTTATTTTTTTTAAAAATTATTATTTGTTTTCTGAATAGAAACACATAGTTCAAAATTCAGATGATTCAAATAATATACAGTAAAAACCTTCTCTCCTACACTTGTTCCCCAACACCCAGTTCACCCAGTCCCCAACACCAGTAACACTGGTTAGTGTTACTGATTTAAAAAAAAAAAAATTTTTTTTTTTTTTTTTTAAAAGAAAGCCTGTTCCCCAGGCTGGTCTCAAACTCCTGGCTTCAAGTGATCCTCCCTCCTCAGTCTCCCAAAGTGCTAGGATTGCAGGCATGAGCCGCAGCCCCCAGACCAGTGTTACTGATTTCTAAAGTATCCTTCCAGAGATATTTTGTGTACTTCCAAACAAATACATATATTCCTTTTCTCTGATTTTTATGTAATAGGTTACACACATGGTTCTGTGGTTTGCTTTTTTCACTTACTGTATCTTGGAGAGTGTTCCATTTTCAGCTCATAAATAGTTTCTTCATACTGCTTTATACCCATGTGGTAGGGAATTCATTCTTAAATTGCACGTCTGTTATGCTGCTATGGGCTCTAAGTGTTCACAGCATCAATATCCATTACTGCAGTTGCTTAGTTTCCTGCCCCTGAGTATTTTTCCTGTTTCTTCTAATTATATGGAAAAGAAATAGAAGATTTTTTCCTTTTGAATAATTTTTACTACTTAAAGAAACAAGTGTTGAATTTTAAAAATCTAATACGATTAGTTTTTTTTTTTAGCTCTTTTAGTAGCAATCCAAATGATGCAATGAGTAAATACTACTAGAATGTTATACAATTTTACAGTTATTTTGGGGAGAAATAAAGATGTTAGACCTTTGAAAAAGATTTGGAAAATATTCTTTTTACAAGTGTTAACATGAAGGATGCTTGTTTTGTTTGCTTTCCAGTTCAGTTCATTCGTTTAGTGCAATATTTGAAATCCTCCCTTCCACTACCCTGTGATTGACTGTTCTTTGAGAACATACTGAGGCGTGGCACAGTTGTAGCCTTTCATATGCCTTGCTGATAACTGGAAATAATTTTTGTTTTCAGTTTCATATTAACAGAGAACATTTTCTAGAAATGTTACCTGCCCTTCCTAAACCTGGAATTATTGAGGTTAAACAGCTTAAATAACACACTGTAATCATTTTTACATCTATGTGAGTTGTACTCAAATGGTTATTAGTGTCCTTTGAAATTCTCATTATCCAGGGGACTGTTTTCATTGATAACCTTTTTAGTCTGTTAGGGAAGAACCAATAATTCTGACCCTATTGGGAGCTGCCTGTTATAAGGAGCAGCTTGTGAATAAGGACATTCATTCTCATTTTTCATTCTCATTTTTCTTTTAGCTGTAAAATATCTGAGTGGGGAAAAGTGGAGTGAGTAGCATTATCAAAGGCATGTGTGGATCTTTTTTTTTTTTTTTTTTTTTTAAATATAGAGATGGGGTTTCACCATGTTGCCCAGGCTGGTCTCGAACTCCTGGGCTCAAGTGATCTGCCCACCTTGCCCTCCCAAAGTGCTGGGGTTACAGGCATGTGCCACTGTGCCTGACTTGGATATGTGTTTATTTCTCTTGGGTATATACCGAGGAATGGAATTTCTTGGTCAAATGATAACTCTCATTTTTTGAGGAACTGCCAAAATGTTTTCTAAGTGGTTATATCATTTTATATGCCCACCAGCAATATAGGAGGGTTTAATTTTCTCTGCATCTTTGCCAACATTTTTTATTGTCAATCTGTTTGTAGTTATAGCCATTGTAGTGGATATGAAGTGGTATGTCATTGTGGTTTTGATTTATAGTTTTTTGTTTTGTTTTGTTTTTTCTTTTTTTTGAGATGGAGTCTTGCTCTGTCGCCCAGGCTGGAGTGCAGGGGCATGATCTCGGCTCACTGCAAGCTCCGCCTCCCAGGTTCACGCCATACTCCTGCCTCTGCCTCCTGAGTAGCTGGGACTACAGGCGCCCACCACCATGCTGGGCAAATTTTTTTGTATTTTTAGTAGAGACAGGTTTCACTGTGTTAGCTGGGATGGTCTCGATCTCCTGACCTTGTGATCCGCCCGCCTCGGCCTCTCAAAGTGCTGGGATTACAGGTGTGAGCCACTGTGCCCGGCCTGATTTATAGTTTCTTGATGGCTAATGATACTGAGCATACAAAGCCTTCTTGGCCACTTGTATACCTTCTGAAGGAATGTCTATTCAAATCCTGTACACATTAAAAAAAATTTTGGCCGGGTGTTGTGGCTCACGCCTGTAATCCCAGCACTTTGGGAGGCTGAGGCAGGCGGATCACAAGGTCAGGAGATCGAGACCATCCTGACTAACACGGTGAAACCCCGCCTCTACTAAAAATACAAAAAATTAGCCGGGCGTGGTGGCGGGTGCCTATAGTCCCAGCTACTCGGGAGGCTGAGGCAGGAGAATCGCTTGAACCCGGGAGGCGGAGGTTGCAATGAGCTGAGATTGTGTAACTGCACTCCAGCCTGGGTGACAGAGCAAGACTTTGTCTCAAAAAAAACAAAACAAAACAAAACAGGTTTTTTAATCTTTTTATTGTTGAATTGCATTGACATTATTTTGTTATTATGTTTTGCTGTAGTCTTTGAATTGTGTTTCTGCCTGAATCTTTTTTCCCTCTTTCTTTGATGGGAGTTGAGGGGAGGATAATGGTGATAGCACTGATTTTTCTTGCTGATATTTTCTCCCCACTTTGCAAATTCTCTTTTGTCCTCAAGATTTGATGCAGTTTGATGATAAAGGAAACAAGACCAATATACCAGACAAGGACCGGCAAATTGAGGCTCTCCAGTTGCTCTTCCTCATTCTCCCTCCTCCTAATCGTAATTTGCTGAAGTTATTGCTTGATCTCCTATACCAGACAGCAAAGAAACAAGACAAGAACAAGATGTCAGCCTATAACCTTGCCCTTATGTTTGCACCCCATGTCCTGTGGCCAAAAAATGTGAGTGTTGACGGGAAGAGTAAAGATTGCTTGGTTTTCTTGGGCTGGGCCTCATTCTATGGCTGTACATTGGTGAGATTATCAAGGGTCCAAGGTCTAGCCTTCAGCTTTATGAGGTTGGGAACTTACTTTATTAGTTCATTGAAGAGTCATCAGACCTGAGAGGGCCAATTCCTGCTAACCTCACTTATAAATCAATCTCTGGTAAACCTACATGGCATTGTATTAGTAGAAACTCTTAGTGGGAAATTATAACTACTGAATAAACTAGAATACTCATTTTGGCTGTTCATTGTGGAATCCTTAACAGGAAAGGCTTCTTGGGAAATCAAATTAGTTTCTGAAGATCAAATGTTATAAAATTAGAATAGAGCTGTGTGATCTTATGGGATAATGTCACCAAGCTTATGGATTTATAGATGAGATGACACTTGGAGCAATCCTGCCTTGTCCTGACTTTTGTATTTCCTGTAGATATGTAGTCTCCTTGGATAAAGCTGAACTTGCTTCTTCTTATGGAGACCATGGTCTTCTCAGTGACTTACAAGAGAAATAAACTCACTCTCTTTTTTTTTTTAAATGCCTGAGGGATAAAAACACAGAGAAATAAATTCTCTGAAGTCTTTTTTTCTGTTTTTTTGAGACAGGGTCTCGTTTTGTTGCCCACGCTGGAGGAGAGTAACACAATCACTACTCACTGTAGCCTCATCTAAAGTCTTTTAAACAACTTGTTGACCTGGAGGTACATAGCTCATATTCCTGCCCACTTATAATATGGTTTTACTATGTGATGGAGTTGTGAGCCAGGATAGGTGGGTTGGAAGCCACACACCAGCGATGTTACCTATGTCTTTTACCTTTTTTTTTTGAGACAGAGTCTTCCTCTGTTGCCTAGGCTGGAGAGCAGTGGTGCAATCTCAGCTCAGTGCAATCTCTGCCTCCCAGGTTCAAGCAATTCTCCTGCTTCAGCCTCCTGAGCAGCTGGGACTACAGGCGTGAGCCACTATTCCTGGCTAATATTTGTATTTTTGTATTTTTAGTAGAGATGGGGTTTTGCCATGTTGGTCAGGCGGGTCTCGAACTGCTGACCTCAGGTGATCCACCCGCTGCTGCCTCTCGAAGTGCTGGGATTACAGGTGTGAGCCACCGCGCCTGGCCTTTTACCTTTCATGTTTTAAACAGCTGTCTACAAGCCATTTTTTGTTTGTTTAGTCTTTTGCCTTTTCTATGCATAGGCTTTTCCTCTGTAAACTGGGCATAATACAGTAAGTCCTCAACCTATTAACATCGTTGATAGGTTCTTGGAAACTGAAACTTTAATCAAAATAATCTATAACAAAACAAATTATTTTTCTCATCAATGTTATAATGAAAAGATGTTGAAGAAAATGATGTTATTCGAGGACCTGCTGTATGTCGGTTCACTTAACGTCATAGTTTCCAAGAACCTATTGATGCCTTAAGTGAGGACTTACTGTAATAGCTTTACTACATACCCCACAAGGCTGTTGGGAAGATAATAGAAATAGGTTATAGTAATTTATAAAAAATTTTTGAGATTATAAGTAATGAGAAAAGGAAGGTAAAGGAGAGAGATTGTGTGAAACATTTTACTTAAAAAATAACTAGTGAAAAAATAATAAAGTTCTGGGTCAGGAAGAGCCTCTGGGGGTGAGTAGGGGGAGCAGAAGACACATCAACATTTGTCCATATTAAGGAGATCAAGCCTTATAATGAAGGAATTTTAGAACCAGCTAACCAAGACTATAGAAAAGCAGTGAGCAAACTGTGGTTATAAAAAGAAGTAGTGACTTACGCCTGTAATCACAGCACTTTGGGAGGCTGAGGTAGGAGGACTGCTTGAGGACAGGAGGTTGAGACCAGCCTGGGCAACACAGTGAGACCTTGAGACCTTGAGACCTTGTCTCTACAAAAGGAAAAGAAAAATAAGCTGGACGTGGTGGCACATGCCTATACTCCTAGCTACTTGGGAGGCTGAGGTGGGAGGATCGCTTGAGCCAAGGAGTTTGCAGCTGCAGTGAGTTATGATTGCACCACTGTACTCCAATCTGGGTAACAAAGCGAGACCCTATCTCTAAAAAAAAAAAAAAAAAAAAAAGTATTTAAAAGCAAACAGATAAAGTAACAAAGATACATGTTGAAAATGAGGGCTTTGGGATAGTAGAGTTACTGAATTACTTAAAAAAGACAGGAGAAACAAGGGAAGGGAATCAATGACAATTTTGCTGTGTTTTTTGTTTGTTTGTTTGTTTGTTTTTTTGAGACAGAGTCTTGCTTTGTCGCCCAGGCTGGAGTGCAGTGGTGCGGTCTCGGCTCACTGCAAGCTCTGCCTCCCGGGTTCATGCCATTCTCCTGCCTCAGCCTCCCGAGTAGCTGGGACTACAGGCGCCCGCCACCACGCCCGGCTAATTTTTTGTATTTTTGGTAGAGACGGTGTTTCACTGTGTTAGCCAGGATGGTCTCAATCTCCTGACCTCGTGATCTGCCCGCCTTGGCCTCCCAAAGTGCTGGGATTACAGGCATGAGCCACCACGCCCGGTAATTTTACTGTGTTTTTAAGAAACAGATGTCACCTTTGGTATCAGTAGTGACCATTCTTTTTTGTCTTTGGAGAAACTCTAGTTTTCTAAAGAGGCAGTGGTGTCCTTGATAGCTGGAACAGATTCTGTTTTTTTCTGCCCATTTTGAATCCTAGACTAGATTTTCCTTGCCAATTTTGTTTACATGTCTAATTTTCAAGCAGAATTAGGAAATGAAAATGGTTTTCAAGGATTTCCTCGTCACTTCAGGGACACATTGTTTTTCTAGATTATGTCATATCCTGATGAACCAAAAAGTCTTCCCAGAATTAAACATTGTATTAGAGGCACCTAGGCTAGGGATAGAAACTTCATACATTTGAAAGAACAGGCTTATTGGTAAGTACTACTTTCTAGCTCTTAATGTCCATTGTTTGGTTTCTTTTCCTCTGAATAGGTCACTGCAAATGACCTTCAGGAGAATATCACAAAGTTAAACAGTGGGATGGCTTTTATGATTAAACACTCCCAGAAACTTTTTAAGGTAGGTAAGGGATAGCATTTGGCTGGTAACAGGACAAAGAAAATGGAGCAAGGTGGGATCCTAAGTGGGGCTATAAAGATAACTAAACGAGAAAAAGGTCCTGAATGGGATTGCAAACCAGAATGGACAGTGGCAAAACCCAGGGGGTAACAACCACTATGGTGGAAAGGAGTAGGAATAGGAGGCTGAGTAGGGCTGGGTCCTCTGGGTAACTGACTCCACCCTCTGAGCCATTCTTCCTTTTTCACAAAGGCAGCACACGTGGCAGCTAGGTAGTTTTATCCTGCCTGCTTACTGCCAGTAGAGTTTTGGGGGTCTGCCAGTAGAATTTTGGGGGTCATTTTGTACTCTTTGGCCCTTTCAATCCAAACAGGCTGTATTTCTGCTGACATAATTTTCTAAGAACTTTGTAGGTCTTCTGTGGATTTCATTGAGATTCATTCTATTAGACAAAGGCCACATATACAAATCTTTTGAAGATAAATCTTTCCCTACCTTGGTCACCTGCTGAGAAACCTAAGGGACAGTACCTTTAAGCTTCCTAAAGGCTTTCTGGTTTAATTGAGAGGATCTGTGAGGTACGCTCTTACTCTCTTGAAAGGGCCCTTTGTATGATTGAATACTCTGACCTTTTGATGTTTCTAAGGTTTTAGCAAAACGTAGCACAGTCACATCCTTGACCTTTTCTTTAGTGTATACTTCCTTGATAGTGAATCTCTTAATTTTAGCATCTTTTTTTTTCAGACAAGGTCTCACTCTGTCGCCCAGGCTGGAGTGCATTGGTACAGTCTTGGCTCACTGCAGCCTCAACCTTCTGGGA
Organism: Homo sapiens; assembly: GCF_000001405.40. Taxonomy (NCBI): domain Eukaryota; kingdom Metazoa; phylum Chordata; class Mammalia; order Primates; family Hominidae; genus Homo; species Homo sapiens. Next base: position 97,255,497 of record NC_000010.11, on the reverse strand, counting down.
TCAAGTGATGCTCCCGCCTCAGCCTCCCCAGTAGCTGGGACCACAGGCATACACTGCCACGCCTGGCTGATTTTTTGTATTTTTTTGTAGAGACAGGGTTTCAACGTGTTGCCCAGGCTGGTCTTGAACTCCTGGGTTCAATCCTTCTGCCACAGCCTCCCAAAGTGCTGGGATTACAGGCGTGTGCCAATTTTAGCATCTTTTGCCATCTGGAGAGGCTGAAAGTTTCCAAGATCATCCAGTTCTGGTTTCTTTTTTTCTTGCAGTAAAATGCTTATAAAATTTGCCATCTTAACCATTTTTAAGCGTACAGTTCTGTGGCATTAAGTACATTCACGTTGTTGTGTAGCCATCATCGCCATCCATTTCCAGAACTCTTCATCTTGCAAAATTGAAACTCTGTACCCATTAAACAGTAACTCCGTAAAACCCTCCTCCCATCCTTGGCAACCACCATTCTACCTTCCATCTCTATGAATTTGACTACTCTGAGTACCTCATGTAAGTGGACTCATACGGTATTTGTCTTTCTGTGACTGCCTTATTTATACTTAGCATAGTGTGCTCAAGGTTCATCCACACAGTAGCATGTGACAGGATTTCCTTCCTTTTTAAGGGTGCGTAGTATTCCACTGTGTGTATATACCACATTTTGCTTATCTGTTCATCAGTTGATGGATATCCCTTTATATTCCAGATATCATCCTTTATCAGCTATATGGACAAATATTTTCTCCTATTCTGTGGGTTGCCTTTTTACTTTGTTGATAGTGTGTTTTGATGTGCAAATTTAAAAAAATTTTATGAAGTCTAATTTGTCAATTTTTTCTCTTGTTGCCTGTGCCTTTGGTGTCATATCCAAGAAATCACTGCCACATCCATTGTCATGAAGCTTTTGCCTTATGTTTTCTTCTAAAAGTTTTTATAGTTTTAGGTCTTATGTTTATGTCTTTGACCCATTTTGAGTTAAGTTTTGTTTCTGGTGTTAGGTAAGGGTCCAACCTCATTCTTTTGCATGTGGTTTCATGGTTTTCCCAGCACCATTTGTTGAAGAAACTGTCCTTTCTCCATTGGTCTTGGTCCTCTTATTGAAAAGCATTTGAATATATATGTAAGAGTTTATTTCTGGCTTTCTAGTCTATTCCATTGGTCTACTTATCTGACTTTATACCAGTACCATGGTGGTGTGATTAGTAAATGTTGTAAAGGTGTTGTGGTAAATTTTGAAATCAGGAAGCTCGAGTCCTCCAGGTTGGTTCTTCATTTTTAACATTGTTTTGGCTGTTGAAGATGCCTTGAGATTCCGTATGAATTTTAGGATGCATTTTCTATCTTTGCTGCAAAAAACCTCATTGGTATTTTGATGTTTCTAAGGTTGATAGGGATTGTATTGAATCTGTAGATTGCCTCGAGTAGTATTGACATCTTAGCAATCTTATCCAATAATATGAAAATGGGATACTTTTCCATTTATTTATGTTTTCTCTAATTCCTTTCAGTAGTATTTTATAGTTTTCATTATACAGTAGTTCCCTCTTATCCATGGGAGATATGTTCCAAAGCCCTGAGTACATGCCTGAAACTGTGGCTAGTACCAAACCCTATATGTATACTATGCACGAATTTCTTTTTTCTTCTTCACAGTTTCATAGATAGATTTATTCTTATAGTGGATCTTAGCAACCTCAGCATATGATTTTTTGGTAAACTTTTTATTGACACATAATATTTGTACATATTTATTGGGTACATATGATATTTTGTTACTTGGATTGAATGTGCAATGATCAAGTCAGGGTATGTAGAGTATCCATCACATTGAATAGTTGTCATTTCTATGTGTTGGGGACATTTCAAGTCCCCTCTTCTAGTTATTTTGAAATATACCATACGTTGTTGTTAACTATAGTCATGCTGCTTTGCTATTAAGTGTTAGAACATATTTCTTCTATCTCACTACATGTTTGTACCTATTGACCAACCGATCTTTACTCTCACCCCTAACACCTATCCCAGCATCTGGTAACTATTCTACTCCCTACCTCTATGAGATCAATCTTTTTTTCTTTTCTTTTCTTTTTCTCCCTCACCATGAGATGCACTTTTTTTTTTTTTTTTGAGATAGAGTTTTCACTCTGGTTACCTGTGCTGAAGTGCAGTGATGCAATCTCAGCTCACTGCAGCCTCCGTCTCCTGGGTTCAAGCGATTCTCCTGCCTCAGCCTCTCGAGTAGCTGGGATTACAGGCACGCACCACTACACTGGACTAATTTTTGTATTTTTGGTAGAGACAGGTTTTCACCATATTGGCCAGGGTGGTCTCTAACTCCTGACCGCCCGCCTCGGCCTCCCAAAGTGCTGGGATTACAGGTGTGAGCCACCGCAGCCAACCTGAGATCCACTTTTTAGGTCCTACATATGAGTGAGAACATGTGATATCTGTCTTTCTGTGCCTGGTTAATTTCACTTAATAGCCTCCGGTTCCATCCATGTTGCTGCAATTTGACAGGATTTCATTCTTTTTTTATGGCGGAATAGTATTCCATTGTGTATATACGCCACATTTTCTTTATCATTCATCCATTGATGGACACTTACGTTGATTACATATCTTTGCTATTGTGAATAGTGCTGCAATAAACATGGGGATGCAGATATTCCTTTGAAAACTGATTTTCTTCCCTTTGAATACATACCCAGTAGTGGGATTGATGTATTATATGGTAGTTCTATTTTTAGTTTTTTGAGAAGTCTTCATACTGCTTTCCATAATGGCTATACTAATTTGCATTCCCACCAACAGTGTATAAGAGTTCCCTTTTCTTCACATCCTCATCAGCATCTGTTATTTTTTATTTTTATTTATTTATTTTTTTGAGATGGAGTCTCACTCTGTCACCAGGCTGGAGTGCAGTGGCGCGATCTCAGCTCACTGCAAGCTCTGCCTCCCAGGTTCATGCCATTCTCCTGCCTCAGCCTCCCGAGTAGCTGGGACTACAGGCACCTGCCACCACGCCCGGCTAATTTTTTTTGTATTTTTAGTAGAGACGGGGTTTCACCATGTTAGCCAGGATGGTCTCGATCTCCTGACCTCATGATCCGCCCACCTCAGCCTCCCAAAATGCTGGGATTACAGGCGTGAGCCACCGCGCCCGGGCTATTTTTTTTTTTTTTGAGACAGTCTCATTCTGTCACCCAGGCTGGAGTGTGGTGGCATGATCACAGCTCACTGAGCTCAAGTGATCCTCCTACTTCAGCCTCCTGGTTAGCTGGGACCACAGGCGCATGCCACCACACCTGGCTAGTTTTTAATTTTTTGTAGAGATGAGGTCTTGCTATGTTCCTGCTTTATCATTTTTCCTAAAATTCTTCTTAACTATTACTAGTTCTGTCCTCTACTGTTATCAGTCCATCTCTTTCAGTCTGGTTTAACTCTTCCCAACACCACATCTTTTCCTAGAGATTTACAATGTATATACAGTTAAGGCCAATTTCTAATACTTGAGCAGTCCTTCTGTTGTTTCTCTATGAATTGTAAAATTCTTGTTTCTCTATAAATTTCTTGTTGTTTCTCTATGAATTGTAAAATACTTAAGAACTCAGACTTTCATGTAAGCCTATTTGTCTAAGCCTGGTGCCCTTTCTGGATATTTTTTCAGCTCATAGCATCTTTGGGGATGGTGGTTTTTGTTGTTTCTTTCCTTTTCTTCCCCTTTTCCCCTTCCCTTCCCCTTCCCTTCCCTTCTCCTTCCCTTCCCCTTCCCTTTCCTTCCCCTTCCCTTCCCCTTCCCTTCCCCTCCCCCTCCCTTCCTTTCCCCTTCCCCTTCCCTTCCCCTCCCTTTCCCCTCCTCTTCTTCCTTTTCCCTTCCCCTTCATCTTCCCCTTCCCTTCCCCTTCCCTTCCCCTTCCTTCCTTTCCCCTTCCCTTCCCCTCCCCTTCCCCTTCCCTTCCCCTCCCCTTCCCCTCCCCTTCCCCTCCCCTTCCCCTCCCCTTACCCTTCCTTTCCCCTCCCCTTCCCCTCCTCTTCTCCTTCCTTTTCCCTTCCCCTTCCCCGTCTCCTCCCCTTCCCCTTCCCTTCCCCTTCCTTTCCCTTCCCTTCCCCTTCCCTTCCCCTTCCCTTCCATTCCCCTTCCTTTCCCCTTTCCTTTCCCTCCCCCTTCCTTTCCCTTTCCCCTTCCCTTCCCCTTCCCTTCCTTTTCCCCTTCCCTTCCTTTTTCCCTTCCCTTCCCATTCCCTTCCCCTTCCCTCCCCCTTCCCTTCCCCTTCCCTTCCCCTTCCATTCCCCTTCCCCTTCCCTTTCCCCTTCCCTTCCTTTCCCTTTCCCTTCCCCTTCCCTTCCCCTTGGCTTTCCCCTTCTCTTCCCTTCCCTTCCCCTTTCTCTTCCCCTTCCCCTTCCTTTTCCCCTTCCCCTTTCCCTTCCTTCCTTATTTTCTTTCTTTTGACAGGGTCTCACTCTGCCCCCCAGGCTGGAGTGCAGTAGTGCTATCTGCTCACTGCAGCTTTGACTTCCCAGGCTCAAGCGATCCTCCCACCTCAGATTCCCAAGCAGCTGGGACAGGTGCGTGCCACCATGCCTGGCTAATTTTTCTATTATTTGTGGTGACAGGGTACTACCATGTTGCCCAGGCTGGTGTTGAACTCCTGGGCTCAAGCATTTCTCCTGCCTTGGCCTCCCAAAGTGTTGGGATTACAGGCATGAGCCACCGCTCTTGGCCTTCTTTCTTTTTTTTAAATGAAATAGAATAGATATATTCTTGTTTGGAGAAAATTTCTGTTGGTCTTAAGCTCCGTTTTATAGTTTTTCAATTTAGAAATTAAACTGGCTGGGCGTGGTGGCTCACTCCTGTAATCCCAGCACTTTGGGAGGCCAAGGCAGGTGGATCACCTGAGGTCAGGAGTTCAAGACCAGCCTAGTCAACACGGTGAAACCCCATCTCTACTACAAAAATTAGCCGGGCGTGGTGGTGGGCGCCTGTAGTCTCAGCTACTTGGAGGCTGAGGCAGGAGAATCACTTGAACCCGGGAGGCAAAGGTTGTGGTGAGCCAAGATTGCGCCATTGCACTCCAGCCTGGCGACAGAGCGAGACTCCATCTCAAAAAAAAAAAAAGAAAAAGAAATTAAACTATACATATCATGTTTTTGTCATGAGACTCTTTGAAGACCTTTATTTTGAAAAATTTCAAATATAGAGAAAAGTTAAAAGAGTAAAACAGTGAATACTCATATATAACTCTCCCCCAGTGTCAACAAATGTTATCATATTGCCATATTAGCTTTATCTCTCTCTATATATGTTCATACACTTTTTTGGCTGAATCACTAAAAGTAGTTGCAGACACCATGATACTTCATTCCTAAGTACTTATGTATGCATCTCCCAATAATAAACATATTCTCTTAAGAATCACACTACTGGCCGGGTGCGGTGGCTCACGCCTGTAATCCCAGCACTTTGGGAGGCTGAGGCGGGCGGATCATGAGGTCAGGAGATCGAGACCATCCTGGCTAACACGGTGAAACCCCGTCTCTACTAAAAATACAAAAAATTAGCCAGGCGCGGTGGCAGGCCCCTGGGAGAGGCTGAGGCAGGAGAATGGCGTGAACCCGGGAGGTGGAGCTTTCAGTGAGCTGAGATTATGCCACTGCACTCCAGCCTGGGCGACAGAGCCAGACTCCGTCTCAAAAAAAAAAAAAAAAAAAGAATCACACTACTATTATCACATCTAAGAAACTAAAAAGAATTTCTTATCAACTAGCTTTCAGTACATATTCAAATTCCCCAGCTGTCCTAAGAATGTATTTCATACTTTTTTTCAATATAGGCCAATCAAAGCTTCTGTACTGGTTTTAATTATTATGACACTTTTAATCTACACACTCATGCTTTTTCTTCATGTCATTTATTGAAGCATCAAGTTAACTGTGTTGTAGAATGTCTCACATTCTAAGTTTGTCTTATTGTTTTCTCAAGTTATTTAACTTGTTCCTCTATCACCTTCCATGTAGTTCCTGTAAAGTAGAAGCCAGGTCTACAGTCTTAATCAGATTCAGATTAAGCATTTTTGGCAAAGATACTTCACAGGTGATGTTTGTGTGCGTCACATTGCCTCACATGAGGAGACACAGATTGTTTGATTTTCTCTCTTCATGATGTTAATTTTGCTAACTGCCAGATCTTTCAGTTACAAAGGTAAATTTTTTTCCCCTTTGCGGTTAGTAAATAACCTGTAGAGTGATTACCTAATAATGGTTTTAGCATCCGTTGATAATCCTGCTGGAATCTATTGGGTATTAAAAATAAAGATTTTCTAATTTTGTCATTTAGCCTTTATAAGCTGAGTTTCTTCTTTGGAGAATAGCTTTTCTTTGTCTCATTCTCTCTCCCTTTAAAAATGAATATTAATATAAACTCATGGATTTTTATTTTTCCAAAGTGTTAGTCAATTTTACTTATAATGTTGATATTCTCCTGGGCAATGTGGCAAAACCCCATCTCTATGAAAAATACAAAAAATTAGCCGGGCGTGATGGCACACTCCTGTGGTCCCAGCTACTCAGAGGCTACGGTGGTAGGATGGCTTGAGCCCGGGAGGTGGAGGTTGCACTGAGCCGAGATTATGCCACTGCACTCCAGCCTGGGTGACAGAGTGAGACCCTGTCACAAACAAACAAACAAACAAAATTGATATTTAAATTATCCCAGATTTGGCCGGTGATAGCCCTTGTTAACCGGCTTCTACATCTTTTTGACAGGACTGTATTGTCTTTGAGTGTTTCCTTTCTGGTATAAAATGTTCCCAGCTCACTTTGTACTTGCGCTGGCCTAGATCGGAGTAATTATTTCTCCAGGGAACCTTGGCTTCTGAGTGATACTAGGTATATTCATTGTTTCTGGTGTGTCATTGCTTCTAGGCTGCTTGAGGGCAAAGAAATAGATTAAAACATTTTTTTAAAGCAATTGTAAGTTCATATTAATACCACCAATTCAGATTTAATACTACGCAACTTTTTCTTGGCTTCTTGTATTTTGTATTTGTATTTCTTTTTTTCTTATATTACAAATTTCAGATTTTTTTTTTCTTGTTTTGGAGATTTTCACTCTGTCACCCAGGCTGGAGTGCAGTAGCACGATCTGGGCTCACAGCAGCCTCTGCCTCCTGGGACCAGTCGATCCTCCCACCTCAGCCTCTCGAGTAGCTGGGTCTACAGGTGAGCGCCACCACACCCGGCTAATTTTTGTATTTTTTGTAGAGATGGGTCTCACCATGTTGCCCAGGCTGGTCTCAAACTCCTGGGCTCAAGTGATCTACCCGCTTTGGCCTCCCAAAGGCGGGGTGAAACCCCGTCTCTACAAAAGTACAAAAATTAGCCGGGCATGATGGTGGGTGCTTGTAATCCCAGCTACTTGGGAGGCTGAGGCGGAAGAATCACTTGAACCTGGGAGGCGGAGGTTGCAGTGAGCCGAGATCATGCCATTGCACTCCAACCTGGGCGAGAGAGTGAGACTCCGTCTCAAAAAAAAAAAAAAAAAGTCAAAACCACATTAAAAGATATACTTAGAGAAATCTCAATCCTTTCTAATTATTTTCATTGTTTTCTGGGTTATCCTGTTAGTGTTTCTTTTTATAAAAACAAGTAAATGTACATTTGTGTGTATATTCCTATTTCCTGGTTTTTTCTTACACAAATATACATTTACTTCACTTTTCTCACTCAACAGTAGATCCTAGAAATCCTTCCATATCAATTCATTAAGTGTTTCTTCCTTCTCTCCATCCTTTCTTTTTCTCTCCCTCCCTTCCTTTCCTTTCTTTCCCTCTGTTCCTTCCTTTCTTTCCCTCCCTGCCTCCTCTCCCTTCCTTTCTTCATAGTACTGTATTGTATGGATGTATGAAAGTTGATTCAACCAGTTCTCTATTAAAGAACATTTGGGTTGTATCCAATTTTTTGATTAATCTTATACGAGTGTGTTTTGCATTTCTGAAGTTACATACTCAGGATATGTTACCAGTAGTGAGGTTTCTGGGTAAAAGGGTAAGTGCAAATGTAATTTTATTAGATGTTACAAACCCAGTTTTCCTCTATGGTAGTTGTATTATTTTGCACATCTACTAAGACAGTATCAGGGTAGTTGTCACAGGATTCTAGTCCATAGTAATTCTAAATGGTATTTCTTTCTTTCTTTTTTGAGACAGGGTCTTGCTCTGTTGCCTAGGCTGGAGTGCAGTGGTATGAACATGGCTCACTGCAGCCTTGAACTTCTGGGCTCAAGTGATTCTCCCCCTTAGCCTTCTGAGTAGCTGGGACCACAGGCATGCACCACCATGCCCGGCTAATTTTTTTGTAATTTTTTTTTTTTTGAGATGGAGTTTCGCTCTTGTTGCCCAGGCTGGAGTGCAATGGTGTGATCTTGGCACACTGCAACCTCTGTCTCCTGGGTTCAAGCGATTCTCCTGCCTCAGTCTCCTGAGTACCTGGGATTACAGGCATACGCCACCACACCCGGCTAATTTTGTATTTTTAGTAGAGATGGGGTTTCACCATGTTGGTCAGGCTGGTCTCGAACTCCTGACTTCAGGTGATCCACCCACCTTGGCCTCCCATAGTGCTGGGATTACAGGCATGAGCCACCGTGCTGGCCATTTTTTAGTAATTTTTTGTAGAGTTGGGGGTCTCCCTGTGTTGCCCAGGCTGGTCTCAAACTCCTGGAGTGAAGCCATCCTCCTGCTTCTGCCTCCCAAAGTGCTGAGATTACAGACATTAAATGATATTTTCTACACTGTGATTTTAAAATGTGATCTGGAGACCACTTATAATTTGTAAGGATTTGAGGGGGTGGTTTTTGTTAGATAGAAACATTCCTACAAATGTCTATGTTTTTGTCTTTGGCTTATTTGAGTATATACATGCCATGTTTGATTTTTAAAGTGGCAACAACTACATTGGTGTCTTCTCACAGTTTTTCCATCAGATTTGTTGAGGTATCTATTTGGTGGCAAGAGAAAGGAAGCTATGGAGGGGCTATGAATTTTGAGGATCTTTGGCTTTTTAAAAGTAATCTGCTGGTCAAATGATTTTGAGAACCACTGTCCTTGCGGCCTGAAAGAATGTTATATTCTACTAATCACTGGGTTTTGGTTTTCTTTTATGTCCTGCCCAGGCTCCTGCTTACATTCGGGAGTGTGCGAGATTGCACTATTTGGGATCCAGAACTCAGGCATCAAAGGTAAGAATAGGAATCTGCTCTTAACCCAAACAAGGAGAGCATTAAGATTTGTGGAGTCTTAAAACAAAGTATGAAGTCAAAGTAAAAGCATGGAAAATAATAAGTTTTAGTATTATAGCTCAAAATTACTTAGTCATTTTGCCATAATGAAGAAGACTAAGAAGTAAGTTATGTATTAGAATACAAATGCTCCACATGTGAGGTATGGTAACTCAGGCCTGTAATCTCAGTGACTCTGGAGGCTGAGATGGGAGAATTCAAGTCTACAGTGAGCTGATTGTGCCACTGCACTCCAGCCTGGGTAACACAGCGAGACCCTGTCTCTTGAAAAAAAAAGTGCCTCCCCCCCACAATTTTTATTTGCTTTCAGAGGTTCTCCACTGATAGATGGTGTCCTCTGTGTAAGAGTGATGACACAGACCCTGTGTTTCAAGGTTTTTCATAAAGTCCTTCTGATAGAAATAATCTGTGAATAGCAAATGTGTTACATATTTTATAGGAACGAAAGGACAATTTTATGTAATTCATTCCTATTTTAGGTTCATTGGTATGGCAAAACTCTATCAAATGGCTAAAAGACTTGAGACCACATGAGCTTAGATAGATAGGGAAATGTATAATGCTTATTCACAAGATCAGATATGATAATGATGATTTTTTTTTTTTTTTTTTTTTTGAGATAGGGTTTCGCTCTGTTGGGTAGGCTGGAGTGCAGTGGCATGATCTTGGCTCCCTGGTTCTCTCACCTCAGCCTCCTGAGTAGCTGGGGACTACAGGCATGCACCACCATGCCCGCTAATTTTTGTATTTTTGGTAGAGATGGGGTTTCACCATGTTGCCCAGGTCTCAAACTCCTGGGCTCAAGTAGTCCGACTGCCTCAGCCTCCCAAAGTGCTGGGATTACAGGCGTGATCCACCACATCCAGCCTAGATATGAGTATTGAGTTTTAAAAGTAAGAAGTTATGGCCGAGTGTGGTGGCTCATGCCTGTAATCCTAGCACTTTCAGAGGCCAAGGTAGGCGGATCACTTGAGATCAGGAGTTTGAGACCAGCTTGGGCAACATGGCCAAACCCAGTCTCTACCAAAAATGCAAAAAATTAGCCAGATGTGGTGGCACGTACCTGTAGTCTCAGCTACTCGGGAGGCTGAGGTGGGCGGATCACTTGAGCTCAGGAGGCGGAGGTTGCAGTGAGCCAAGATGGTGACACTGTACTCCAGTCTGGGTGACAGAGTGAGACCCCATCTCAAAAAAATGAAAAAAGAAGTTAGGCACTTGACCTTTATGTGCCTGCTTGGGTCTCTTCCAAGCATACTTTCCTTTCTTTCCTGTTCTAAGCCTTTTTAAATAAACTTCCACTCCTGCTCTGAAAAAAAAAAAAAAAAAGTGAGAAGTTAAAAATTTTACAAGCACTTTTTGAGTGCTTAAAATTTTCAAGTTCTGTTCATCCTGTCTTGGTTAGAAACTTAAGCTGTCCGCTTGTGCAATTTTTTCTGCTCCTATTTGTTTCTCCCTCTTATTCAGCAAATATTCATTGTTACCAGGAAAACAGTATTTGGTTTCAACTAGTTTAACTGGAGTGTGGTTTTTGTTAGAGAGCTGTTTTTGTTCCTCTAGCACTGCTGTCTAGTTGTCGTATTAAGTTGCCATGTGTGGGAAGGAGTATTAGCCAAGAGTCAGAGCCCTTGGGCTCCCAGGTGGGTCTGTCACTTTAGTATCCAGATGACTTTAAACTTACAGTTTAACCTCAGTTTTTTTCCTCTGTCAGATGGGAATCATGATACTTTCCATGCTTACCTTGTTGAATTGTTGAATAAATTAATGAAATTAAAAGATGCTTTAAAAACTAAACTCTTACACAAATATAACTCTTGGTGGCAGTATTCCAAATGCACTTAGGTTCTCTGGGCAGGTCATGGGAGTGGGCTATTAATATAACCTATATTAATAGGTTCCTTGTTATCTGATAATAGTGTTAAGATTTTTCTTGTTCCTGAGTATAGGAGTATACCATGTCCCCACTCTCCCTTTTTTTGTTCCAGGTTTTTGTAAGAACCCCAAAACAAAGTTGGCAGGATATATTAATTTACTCTTCTTTTAAATTTTCCTTAGGATGACCTTGACCTCATAGCTTCATGTCATACTAAGTCCTTTCAGCTGGCAAAGTCTCAGAAACGGAACCGGGTAGATTCCTGCCCTCACCAGGAGGAGACCCAGCACCATACGGAAGAGGCACTGAGAGAGCTGTTTCAACACGTTCATGATATGCCAGAGTCAGCAAAGAAGAAACAACTTATTAGACAGGTGCCTAAAGGCAGGGAAGTTGTGATGGGGCTTTAGGAGTGTAATCGTGGTTGTAGAATCAGTAGGTCATATTGTTAAGAATCTCATTTAATTTTTGGTTCAGCTGAGAAATCAGGCTTGTCTATGGAATCTCCACAGTGATCTCTGTGCCATTGCTCCACTACAGAAGGGAGTGGAGTCTCTTGATTTCTAGTTAAGCAGGAGGATCCAAGTGTGGTTAGAGAGTCTCTCATTTTGGTCATGTCCCAAGTTTGCTGAGAGATAACCAGCAGTTAAAACATATTGTTCCGAAGTTTAAACCCTCCAGATTTTCTTAGCAAATAACTTTTCTGAATTTCAGTTTTGTTTGTAAAATGGTAATAGTAACAGCAATGTTTCAAAGTTGTAAAAATTAGAGATAATCTGTGTAGAGTGGCTGGCATAGCAAAGTCTAAGTGGTAACTTTTTACTAACAGAGTTGTTTGCAGTTAGAGAACACAATAAATCAGGACCCTAGTCTGATACTAGAAAGTAGGAATTCTGGTGGCTAAGTTTGTTTATGCTGGAGCTGTGGGAACAAATTTGCTATTTTGGGACTCAAAGTGTGGTTTAAGTTAGTTCTGTGACTTTGGGTAGTTTCTTTCTCAAGATTAATTTTGTCTCAATCCCTCTTGAATTTTACCTGAGCAGGCAGGGTCAGCCTCTTGACTTTTATTCAACTGGGACTTCCTTGGGGGAAGAGTCTGTTTTTACTTATTTTATACCTACTCTCAGCATAAGGCCAGGTATAAACAAGTACTCAGATAATGGTGAACTGAGCTGTTCTTAAGAATTAACAAAGTCATTTAAGAGAAGTTTCTGCCATCTCTTTGAAATTACTTTGAGATCTAGCAAATTGTGTTACAACTGGAATTTTACAGGGTGTTGGCTGAGTATTGCTGCAGATTCAAACCAGTCTAGTGATTTAATTCTTGATAGAAACTAAGTAGTTTCATGTAGGACAGGTATAATGACTTCTTTCAACAAGAACACTGATACCGGCTGGGCGCGGTGGCTCACACCTGTAATCCCAGCACTTTGGGAGGCCTAGGCGGGTGGATCACCTGAGATCGGGAGTTCGAGGCCAGCCTGACCAACATGGAGAAACCCCGTCTCTACTAAAAATACAAAATTAGGGCCGGGCATGGTGGCTCACGCCTGTAATCCCAGCACTTTGGGAGGATGAGGTAAGCAGATCACCTGAGGTCAGGAGTTTGAGACCAGCCTGACTAACATGGAGAAACCTAGTCTCTACTAAAAATGCAAAAAATCAGCTGAGTGTGGTGGCACATGCTTGTAATCCCAGCTACTCGGGAGGCTGAGGCAGGAGAATTGCTTGAACCCAGGAGGTAGAGGTTGTGGTGAGCCGAGATCATGCCATTGCACTCCAGCCTGGTCAACAAGAGTGAAACTCCGTCTCAAAAAACAAAACAAAACAAAACAAAAAAATTAGCCGGGTGTGGTGGCACATGCCTATAATCCCAGCTATTCCGGAGGCTGAGGCAGGAGAATTGCTTGAGCCCGGGAGGTGGAGGTTGCGGTGAGCTGAGATCGTGCTATTGCACTCCAGCCTGGGCAACAAGAGCGAAACCCCGTCTCAAAAAAAAAAAAAAAAAAAAAAAAAAGAACACTGATACTTAAAGATAAAAAAGAAAAAAACGTTTTGCACTTTTTAGAAAAACAGAAAATTATAGAGAAGGATAAGAAGAAAGCAAATCACTCTTCCTGCCAGTGTTTATGTTGTGGGCATTTCTTTTGGTCTTTTTCCTCTGGATATCTTTTTACATAGTTATGATCATATCATATACTTTAAAATTTTTTCCTTTTTTCACTAAACATGACAGTCTAAGCATTTCTTATGCATGCATGCAGACTCCTTCCATACATTTTATTTTTTATTTATTTATTAATTATTATTATTATTATTTTTTTTTTTTTTTGAGGCAGAGTCTCACTCTGTCGCCCAGGCTGGAATGCAGTGGCGCAATCTCCACTCACTGCAAGCTCCGCCTCCTGGGTTCACGCCATTCTCCTGCCTCAGCCTCCTGAGTAGCTGGGACTACAGGTGCCCGCCACCATGCCCGGCTAATTTTTTTGTATTTTTAGTAGAAACGGGGTTTCACCGTGTTAGCCAGGATGGTCTTGATCTCCTAACCTTGTGATCCGCCCACCTCGGCCTCCCAAAGTGCTGGGATTATAGGCTTGAGCCACTGCACCCGGCCTATTTTTATTTTTTTGAGACAGAGTCTCGCTCTGTTGCCCAGGCTGGAGTGCAGTGGTGCGATCTCGGCTCACTGCCACCTCTGCCTCCTGGGTTCAAGCAATCCTCCTGCCTCAGCCTGCTGAATAGCTAGGACTACATGCATGTGTCACAACGCCTGACTAATTTTGCATTTTTAGTAAAGATGGAGTTTCACCATGTTGGCCAGGCTGGTCTTGAACTCCTGACCTCAAGTGATCACCTGCCTCGGCCTCCCAAAGTTCTGGGATTACAGGTGTGAGCCACCGCACCTGGCCATCCTTCCATATGTTTTAAATACTCTATCTTTCTTTTTTTTAAAGATGGAGTCTCGCTCTGTTGCCCAGGCTGGAGTGTAGATGTAAGGGCTCAAATATGATCTTAAGTAAATATGATCTTAAGTAAAAGATCATATTTGAGTATAGTGGCTCAATCTCAGCTCACTGCAACCTCCGCCTCCTGGGTTCAAGCAATTCTCCTGCTTCAGCCTCCCCCGAGTAGCTGGGATTACAGGCATGCGCCACCATGCCCGGCTAATGTTTTTGTATTTTTAGTAGAGATGGGGTTTCACCATGTTTGTCAGGCTGTTCTTGAACTCCTGACCCCAAATGATCCACCTGCCTTGGCCTCCCAAAGTGCTGGTATTACAGGCGTGAGCCACCGCACCCAGCCTGCTGTATCTTTTTGAAGAAACTATAATTTTATTGTTTTCTAATTTTTTCTCCATGATTATAAAAATTATACATGCTCACTATAGAAACATTGAAACCCGCAGAAGTGTGTAAAGAAGAACATAAAAATCACCTACACACATCCAGAGGTAACCACTGATAACATTTTAGAGTATTTCCTCCTAGTGTTTCTCTCCATGAATATATGTTTCACATTGTTTTCGTTTACTTAAGATCATATTTGAGCCCTTACATCTGGGCCAAAAGAAAAAATCATAATGTATATTGTTTTATATTCTACCCTTTTCATTTAACTTTATATTACAAACATTTCTCATGTTATTAAAAGGCTACGAACATTTTAAATGTTTACATAATATTCTTTATTTGAGACAGAGTTCTGCTCTGTCGCCTAGGCTGGAGTGCAGTGGCGTGATCTCGCCTGACTGCAGCCTCCACCTCCTGGGCTCAAGCAATTCTCCTGCCTCAACCTCCCGAGTAACTGAGATTATAGTGGAGCACCACCATGCCTGGCTAATTTTGTATTTTTAGTAGAGACGGGATTATGCCATATTGGCCAGGCTGGTCTTGAACTCCTCGCCTCAGGTGATCTGCCTGCCTTGGGCTCCCAAAGTGTTGGGATTACAGGCATGAGTCACCATGCCCAACCTTAAATGTTTATATAATATTCTATTCTGTGTAACCAAATTTATACATAATTTGCCTACTACTGGGCATATTTGGGAATTAGGTTTTTAGTTTATAAATTTTTGTTCATAAGTATTTTCATTGTAGATTATTTTCTAGAAGTGGCATGATAAACGAATATGCATTATTTTTTTGGCTGCTACGTGTACTAGGTCCCTTTTAATAGATAAGTGCCTCTTTTTCTCCCTTTCTTCTTTTTTTTTTCCCCCTTAAAACATTGCCAGTTTGCTTAAATAAACTTTAAAATAAAAACTGGGTAAGTACCCTTTACCCAATTCCCCCTAATATTAACATTATAAAAACTAAGAAATTAACATTAGTACAGGGCCGAGCAGGGTGGCTCATGCCTGTAACCCCAGCACTTTAGGAGGCTGAGGCAGGCCGGTCACCTGAGGTCGGGAGTTCGAGACGAGCCTGACCAACATGGAGAAACCCCGTCTCTACTAAAAATACAAAATTAGCCAGGCATGGTGGCTCAGGCCTGTAATCCCAGCTACTCGGGAGGCTGAGGCAGGAGAATCACTTGAACCAGGGAGGCAGAGGTTGCTGTGAGCCGAGGTCATGCCATTGCACTCCAGCCTGGGCAACAAGAGTGAAACTCATGTCAAAAAAAAAAGAAAACAAAAAATTGGTACATTACTTACTAACATTACAGATTTTACTTTTTTTTCCCCTAATATCTTTTTTTTTGCTCCAGGATCCAATCCAGGGTGCCACACTACATTTAGACACACACACACACACACACACACACACACACACACACACACACACACACACCCTCTCTCTCTCTCTCTCACTCCCTTTTTCTTATTTTTCTTTTTTTTTTTGAGACGGAGTCTCGCTCTGTCATCAGGCTGGAGTGCAGTGGCACGATCTCCGATCTCGGCTCACTGCAATCTCCGCCTCCTGGGTTCAAGCAATTCCCCTGCCTCAGCCTCCAGAGTAGCTGGGACTACAGGCGCGTGCCACCATGCCTGGCTAATTTTTTTTTGTATTTTAGTAGAGACGGGGTTTCACCATGTTGGCCAGGATGGTCTCGTTCTCCTGACCTTGTGATCCCCCCACCTCGGCCTCCCAAAGTGTTGGGATTACAGGCGTGAGCCACCGCTCCCGGCCCACTCCCTTTTTCTTTATAGTCACGTATCACTTGATGATTGGGATATGTTCTAAGAAATGTGTTTTTAGGTGATTTCATTGTTGTGTGAACATCATAGAGTGTACTTACATAAACCTAGATGGCGTAGCTTAGTACACACCTAGGCTGTATGGTATAGCCTGTTGCTTCTGGGCTACAAACCTGTAGAGGATGTTACTGTACTGAGTACTGTAGGCAATTGTAACAATGGTAAGTATTTGTGTATCTAAACAAAGGAAAGGTACAGTAAAAATACAGTATAAAAGATAAAAAATAGTACACCTGTATAGGGCAGTTACCATGAATGGAGCTTGCAGGATTGGAAGTTACTCTAGGTGTGTCAGTAAGTGAGTGGTGAGTGAATGTGAAGACCTAGGACATTGCTGACACGACTGTAGACTTTATAATCACTGTACACTTAGGCTAGACTAAATTTATAAAATTTTTTTCTTCAATAATTAATTACCTTTAGCTTACTGTAACTTTTTTACTTTACAGACTTAAAACTTTTTTAACTTTCTGACTCTTGTAATAACACTTAGCTTAAAACACAAAAACACTATGCATCTGTACAAAATATTTTCTGAATATCTTTATGCTATAAGCTTTTTTCTATTTTAAAAACTTTTAATTTGTTTGTAAATTTTAATACTTTTTAATTAAAAATTAAGACACAGGCTGGGCGTGGTAGCTCACTCCTGTAATCCCAGCACTTTGGGAGGCCAAAGTGGGAGGACTGCTTTAAGCCAGGAGTTCGAGACCACCCTGGGCAGCATTGACCTTGTATCCACAAAATATTTAAAAAAATTAACTGGTCTCGTTAGTGTGTGCCTGTAGTCCTAGCTACACAGGAGGCCTCAGCCTCAGCCTCAGCAGGAAGAATCGCTTGAGCCCAGGAGTTTGGGGCTGCGGTGAGCTATGATCCGCACCACTGCACTCCAGCCTGGGCAACAGAGCGAGACCCCGTCTCTAAAAAATAAAAAAACTCCAAAACTGAAGACACAAATATACACATTAACCTAGGCCTACACAGGATCATTAATATCACTGTCTTCTGCCTCTACATCTTATTCCACTAGAAGGTCTTCAGAGGCAATATCACTCATGGAGCTGTCATCTCCTATGATAACAATGCCTTTTTCTAGAATACCTCCTGAAAGACTTGCCTGAGGCTGTTTTATAGTTAACTTTAAAAAAAAATAAGTAGGAGTGCACTCTAAAATAATGGTAAAAGGTATAAATGATGATAAAAGTATAGTATGGTAAATACATAAACCAGTAACATTATTGTTGTTTTGTTTTTTTGTTTTTTGTTTTTTTTTGGAGATAGAGTCTCGCTCTTTCGCCCAGGCTGGAGTGCAATGACGCAGACTTGGCTCACTGCAACCTCTGCCTCCCAGGTTCAAGCGATTCTCCTGCCTCAGCCTCCCGAGTAGCTGGGATTACAGGCGCCCACCACCACGCCCAGCTAATTTTTGTATTTTTAGTACAGATGAGGTTTCACCCTGTTGGCCAGGCTGGTCTTGAACTCCTGGTCTCAAGTGACCCACCTGTCTTGGCCTCCTAAAGTGTTGGGATTATAGGTGTGAGCTGCCACATCTAGCCCATTTATTATCATTATCAAGAATTATGTACTGTATATAATGGTATGTACTAGACTTTTATACAGCTTCCAGCACAGTAGGTTTGTTTATTCCAGCATCACTGCAGTCACTTGAGTAACACATTGCGCTGTGATGTTAGGACAGCAGTGATATCATGAGGTGATAGGAATTTTTCACCTCCATTATAATCTGATGGGACCTACTGTCATATACGTGGTCTGTCATTGACCAAAATGTCATTATGTGGTGCATGATTTTATCTGAACCTTATTTGTGGAAGAAACTATATTGTTTTCCGTAGACTGAGTTTTTTTTTTTTTTTTTTTGAGACAAGGTCTAGCTCTGTTGCCTAGACTGGAATGACGTGATTGATCTCAGCTCACTGCAACCTCTGCCTCCTGGGTTCAAGCCATCCTCCCACTTCAGCCTCCTGAGTAGCCGGGACTACAGGCATGTGCCACCATGCCTGGCTAATTTTTGTATTTTTTGTAGAGACAGGGTTTCGCCATGTTGCCCAGGCTGGTCATGAACTCTTGAGCTCAAGTGATCTGCTGGCTTTGGCCTCCCAAAGTGCTGAGATTACAGGCATGAGCCACCATGCTTGGCCTATATTCTGGATTTTAATGATTGCATTCCTGTAATGTTATTCAACATGTTTCACAGTCCTGTGTTCATGCTATAAACTGGTAGTTAGATCTATTTCTAGAGGCTTGATCTGATTCTAATTCAGTTTTTCAGGCTAAGAACACTTTATATGTGGTGTATTTTTTTTTTTTTTTTTTTTTTCTGAGTCTGTTGCCCAGGCTGGAGTGCAGTGGCACAATCATGGCTCACTGCAGCCTCGACCTCCCTGGGCTCAGGTGATCATGATCCTCCCACCACAGCCTCCCGAGTAGCTGAGACTACAGATGTACACCACCATGCCCGGCTAATTTTTTGTATTTTTAGTGGCATGTACTTTTTAATATGCATTTTAAAAAGGCTCTGGATACACCTTGCTAAATACCTTCCCAGAACATTTTGCCAGTTAACACTCCCTTGAGTTGGATATGAGAGAATTTACCTTATTGTACCCTTGCCACCATCAGGAAAGATGCATTTTTTACTTGTCCCAGTTTATTCAGGAGGGATACTTAACTAGCTAAGCTCTTCAGACGTGGCTAATTTTTCTGCCTGCCGAGACAATTAACTTTGAGAACCTCTTGGTACTTTTATGTAAAAGTAATTTTTTAACCTCCAGAACTTGAACTGGTAAAATTCCCAAATTTTTACAGTTCCGAAATTTTAAAAGTATAGTTAGAAAAGGCAGAAGAGGCTGGGTGTGGTGTCTCACGCCTGTAATCCTAGCACTTTGGTAGGCCGAGGTGGGCGGATCACTTGAGGTCAGGAGTTCGAGATCAGCCTGGCCAACACAGTGAAGCCCCATCTCTACTAAAAATAGAAAAAATTAGCTGGGTGTGGTGGCGCACGCCTGTAATCCCAGCTACTCGCCAGGCTGAGGCATGAGAATTGCTTGAACCTGGGAGGCGGAGGTTGCAGTGAGCCGAGATTGTGCCACTGCGCTCCAGCCTGGCAACAGAGTGAGACTCTGTCTCCAGCAACAACAGCAACATCATCAACAATCTGAAAAGGCAGAAGAGTAGAAGAGTTAAATGCTATATTATTATTACTTTTTAAGTGGGAAATGAATGGCTAATCAAAGCATTGAATAAGATTATTCAATGCATTGGGTCTTCTCGTTTTCCACTTTAGATACCTCCAGAGAGCTGATGTTGATAGCATTGACAAGTCTGCATTCTGATGTATTTCCTCTGATGGTATTGTTGTCAGGCAGTCATGATAGATGTCCATTTAAAGAGTTTTAGTAACTTAAAAAAATTCTGTATGCAATTTATGTTAAATTAGGGACTGTTTTAGATTGTGCCAGTAACTGTGTGGTTCCAAGATGCTTTGTTGCAAAAAAGTCTTGGTTAGCAGCTGGGGATCGTGGATAAATTTCATAAGCTCTCCAAGTCTCAGTTTTTTTGTCTGTAGAATGGGGACAGTAATTCCACATTCAAGGAATGTGGCGTGCAGAGCCCCTCAGAGCACTTGAATCCACTTCTTTTGGCATCATCATTTCTGACTTTGTGATTGGCTTTTTGACCTCCTAATCCATCTATGCGCAGACTCAGTTTTTCCTGGACTTTTATTTACACTTAGCTATTAGTTGTCACAGAATGCCGTGTCTTGATGGGAAAGTATTTATAAAATGTTCTCCATGTTTTCTTTTAGTTTAATAAGCAATCATTGACCCAGACACCAGGGCGAGAACCTTCTACTTCCCAGGTACAAAAGAGGGCTCGTTCGCGCTCCTTCAGTGGGCTTATTAAGGTAGGTATGCTGGGCTGTCGTTTTCAGCATTGATTTTTAGGAAATGTAACAATGTGATTTTTCTTATGCATAAAAAGTTTTCTTCTGTTTTTTGGGGACCCTATAAAGGGCTAGTTTATAAGGGGGTAAAGACAAAATGTTGAAAAGCTTTTATATTGCAAAGTGCTTTGCTGTGTTGCACATCAGAGAAGGGGCTCTGTGACGTGAGGAGTAGAAGTAAGGGTCCTTCCTTTTCTTCTGGGGCTAAGGGGCTAAGGACAGAGTCTGCATTCCTGAGCAGTGTAAGAGGCCCTTTTGTTTTCTGATCAGCTTCGAGTTACACACTTCTTTATGCAATTTGGTAAACCTGTGGAGAAGTGAGGAAGTTGAGACAGACTAGGGAAACTGTTAGAAAACTGGATTTTCCAATAGGCTAGTGAGTTTTGATACCCCAAATTTTTGTGAGCTTAATATTTTTAACAGTTGTTGTACTTTCTTCCATGTATCAAATTCAGTAAAAATCTTGTTTTTAAAACAAATACAAAATATGCTTCTATGTTATTGCTGCTATCACCATGTTTGCAGATTAAATTTATAAGTCTTCAAACTATCGGAACATGTAGTGAAGGAATATTGCCATCAGGTGGCAGTAGATAACTTGATCATGGGGTTCAAATTTCCATGCATGAACTAAGGCAAGGTTTTGGTTAACTTGGAGAGAGATGAGTGCTATATACACTGCTTTTCTTTTCTATTTTTCTTTTTTGGAAGAGATTGCTGCCCCAAAAGCACTGAGTATCTTTTTTTTTTTTTTTTTTTTTTAATTTTTATTTCTGGGTACATGTGCAGGATGTGCAGGTTTGTTATATAGGTAAATGTGTGCCATGGTGGTTTGCTGCACCTGTAAACCCATCACCTAGGTATGAAGCCCAGCATGCGTTAGCTATTTTTATTTTTTTAATTTTTTTTTGAGACAGAGTCTCGCTGTTGTCGCCCAGGCTGGAGTGCAATAACATGGTCTCGGCTCACTGCAACCTCCCCCTCTTGGGTTCAAGCGATTCTCCTGCCTCAGCTTCCCAAGTAGGTAGGATTACAAGTGCCTGCCACCATGCCCAGCTAATTTTTGCCTTTTTAGTAGAGAGGGGGTTTCACCATGTCGGCCAGGCTGGTCTGGAACTCCTGACCTCAGGTGATTCACCCGCCTCAGCCTCCCAAATTGCTGGGATTACAGGCATAAGCCATTGCGTCTGGCCAGCTACTTTTCTTAATACTCTCCTTCCCCCCACTCCACCCCCCAACAGGCCCCAGTGTGTGTTGTTCCCCTCCCTGTGTCCATGTGTTCTCATTGTTTAGCTCCCACTTTTTTTTTTTAGATGGAGTCTCTCTCTGTCACCCAGGCTGGAGTGCAGTGGCTTGATCTCAGCTCACTGCAGCCTCCGCCTCCTGGTTTCAAGCCATTTTCCTGCCTCAGCCTCCCAAGTAGCTGGGACTACAGGCGTGCGCCACCATGCCTGGCTCATTTTTGTAGTTTTAGTAGAGACGAGGTTTCACCATGTTGGCCAGGCTGGTCTCGAACTCGTGACCTCAAGTGATCCACCCGCCTTGGCCTTCCAAAGTACTGGGATTATAGGCATGAGCCACTGCACCCGGCCAGCTCCTACTCACAAGTGAGAACATGTGGTGTTTGGTTTTCTGTTCTTGTGTTAGTTTGCTGAGGATGGCTTCCTTTTGTTTTTATTTTTGGTGTTTTGCCCTGCTTTTCTTTTAAAAATTACTTTGTTATTAAGATATATAATTCCAGCAACACAGGGAGCTCTTTGCTTAAAATTTAAAATTTTTGCCCTAAAAATAAATAACTTGTAATATTTATTTATTTATTTATTTTTGAGACAGGGTCTTGCTCTGCTGCTCAGGCTGAAGTACAAGTGGCACCATCATGGCTTATTGCAGCCTTGATCTCCTGGGCGCTCAGCGATCCTCCTACTTCAGCCTCCCAAGTAGCTGGGACCACAAGTGCATGCCATCATACCTGGCTGATTTTTAAATGTTTGTAGAGATGGGGTCTTGCTGTGTTGCTGGTCTTTTTTTTTTGAGACAGTCTCGCTCTATGCCTCAGGCTGGAGTGCAGTGGCGTGATCTCAGCTCACTGCAACCTCCATCTCCAGGGTTCAAGTGATTCTTCCACCTCAGCCTCCCTAGTAGCTGGGATTACAGGCGCCCACCACCATGCCCGGCTAATTTTTTGTATTTTTAGTAGAGATGGGGTTTCACCATGTTGGCCAGCCTGGTCTTGAACTCCTGGCCTCAAGTAATCTGCCCGCTTCGGCCTCCCAAAGTGCTGAGATTATAGGCGTGAGCCACCATGCCCAGCCTGTGTTGCTGGTCTTGAATTTCTGGGCTCAAGTGATCCTCCTGCTTTGGCCCCCTGAAGTGCTGGGATTACAGATGTGAGCCACTGTGTCTGTAATTTTTTTTTTTTGAGGTACAGCTGTTAGCATTTACAAATTCATCTTACTGTAATTTTGGTCCTAGTTATAATTTATAGATATCTAGAATTCACTCTCAATCCTGACCTCCTGGGGCCAGTAGCTTCTAGGACATTAGGCTTACTTGACATCAAAATTTCCTTTGCCATCTACAGAGTGAAAAGGCAACCCTGGATTGGGAGAAAATATTTGCAAATCATATTTATGATTAGGGATTAATATCCATAATAATCTAAAGAACTCCTATAACTCAACACAGCAAAAACAACCTCATTAAAGAGTGGGCAGAGGCCGCGCACAGTGGCTCACGCCTGTAATCCCAGTACTTTGGGAGGCTGAGGTGGGCGGATCACGAGGTCAGGAGATTAAGACCATTCTGGCTAACACGGTGAAACTCCATCTCTATTAAAAATACAAAAAATTAGCCGGGCATGTTGGCATGTGCCTGTAGTCCCAGCTACTCAGGAGGCTGAGGCAGGAGAATCGTTTGAACCCAGGAGGCAGAGGTTGCAGTGAGCCGAGATTGAGCCACTGTACTCCAGCCTGGGTGACAGAGCGAGACTCTGTCTCAAAAAAAAAAAAAAAAAAAAAAAAAAATAGTGAGCAAAGGACTTAAATAGAAATTTCTCCAGAGAAGATGTACAGATGGCCAAGAAACACATGAAAAGATGTTCAACATCACTAATCATTAGGGAAATGTAAATCAAAACCACAATTAGATACCACTTCACACCCACTAGGATGACTATTATTAAAAAAAAAAAAAAAAAAACAACGGAAAATAACAAATGTTGATGAGGATGTGGAGAATTTGGAACCCCTATGCATTATTGATAGGGATGTAAAATGGAGGAGCCACTGTGGAAAACAGTATGGCAGTTCCTAAAAAATTTAAATAGAATGACCTTGTGATCCAGCAATGCTACTCCCGGTATATAACCAAAAGAATTGAAAGCAGGGTCTTGAGGCAATATTTGTACACCCGTATTCATAGCAGCATTATTCACAAAAGCCAAAAGGCAGAAGCAACCCAACTGTCTATTGACTGATGAATGGATGACAAACCTTGGATATACAGATAATGGAACATTATTTGTCCTTAAAAAGGAAAGAAATTCTGACATATCCTACAACATGCGTGAATCTTGAAGATATTATGCTAAGAGAAATAATCCAGTCATAAAAGGAAAAATACTGTATGATTCCACTGAGGTACCTGTGAGTCAAGTTCAGAGACAGAAAGTAGAGAAGGTGGTTGGTTGTCAGGGGAGCTAAGAGTATGAGGAGAATGGGGAGATATTATTTAATGGGTACAGTATTTCTGTTTGGGAGGATGAGAAAGTTCTGAAGATAGATGATGGTGATGGTTGCACAACACTATTAATATACTTAATACCATTGAACTGTATACTTAAAAATGGTTAAAATAGTAAATTTTATGTTATGTTCATTTTATCATTGTTTAAAAAAAATCCCTTAGCTAGAATCCTAAAAGTGCATTTACCTGCTTAGACAGGGCTAGTAAAACGAACATCGTTAGTTTACTCTTGTTTTTTTCTTCTCATTTGGAAGAATCTGTCATTCCCTCTGACTTCCCTGTCATAGAGATGATTGAGAATCAGAAAAGTTATAGTCAGATAAATGTTCCTCTATGTGTTAGTCTTTTTTTTTTTTTTTTTTTTTTTTTTTTTTGGTGAGACAAGAGTCTCACTAGGTGTGCAGGCTGGAGTGCAGTGGCATGATCTCAGCTCACTGCAACTTCCACTTCCTGGGTTCAAGTGATTCTCATGCCTCGGCCTCCCGAGTAGCTGGGATTACAGGCATGCACCACCACGCCCAGTTAATTTTAGTAGAGACAGTATTTCACCATGTTGGCCAGGCTGGTCTCAAACTCCTGGCCTCCAGCGATTCACCCGCCTCAGCGTCCCAAAGTGCTGAGATTACAGGCGTGAGCCACCGCTCCCGGCCTAAAATATTATTTTTGTGTTTTCCCTCAGCCTTATCAAGGTATAATTGACCATCTAGCCTGTCTGGATCCCTTTTTTGGCTAGAGTTTTTTCCTCCAGAACTCCTCTCATGTAAATTATTTATTAAATCAGAATGTTCTGAATATTGCTGCTCATATTTATAATGCAGGGTTTAATGTTCTAGTTTTGATATGTTCTTTTTTTAGAATTCAAATTTATTCTCTAAGGGAAAAAAAAATTTCTCCAAAGATGGTAGAATTGTCACTGTTGGCGGTTACCTAAACTACATCATCTTCTAAGCTGTTCAGAGATGAAAGGGCTTTTAGTCTTGCTCTGAATGTCAGTACAGTCATGTGACCCCCTTAAGAAGGCCTCTACCTTCTTGTGGCTATATTAGGAACTCTTATAGAATGTCTCCAAATGTTCCAGTCCTGTGTGAGTAAATGACAGGGAGGAAGAAGTGCCTTAGAGAAGAGCCAGCCTAAGTATCCCTCAGTGGTAAGTAGGGGGGAGGGACTTTTTAAATAGTTGCCAGAGACAGCACATCTTTGGGGAAAAAAATTATATGATGAGTAACTGGTGTTTCTATATTGTGAGTAACTGGTCTCAGAGGCACACTGTAATTGACCTATATTAGCTTGTTTAAATCAACTATAAAGTTGCTTCTAACCTTTCAGCCCTTTTAAATGTGGAGGAAAAGTGATCACTTAAACAAAAGTAATGATTTTGGGTTTTTTTGGTAACATGCTTTGGCCTCTCTTGTATAAGATGGCCTGAGAGGGTCCATACAGGATTATCAGAATGCTGAGATTTTTTTAACCCAAGGACATTACAGTTTTGAAGGCTAGTATAGCTCCACTGTAGATGCAGTAGGTGTTTATAAATCAAATGTTTTCTGTTCTTAAATCAGCGGAAGGTCCTGGGAAATCAGATGATGTCAGAAAAGAAAAAGAAGAACCCTACTCCAGAATCTGTGGCCATTGGTGAATTGAAGGGAACCAGCAAAGAAAATAGGAACTTAGTAAGACACTGTTCTTTGGACTGTCTGTCTGTCTGTATATATTTGTAGAAAAGAGGAAAATTGATATACTGTCATCTGTTTTACTGTGTTTCTTTGGGCCATTCAAATGGCTTTTTCTCAATCCTTTCATTTATGCTACCTTCTTTCTGTTGGTTTTCATTGACTCATTCAACAAACAAACACATTTTGAATTCAAGAATGATATCACTAGTCACAAGCAGATGAGTAGTACAGTACAGTAGCTCCTTAAACAAGTGCTGGAGGAAGCAATTAGTTCTTACTGGAAGATTCCACAGGTGACATTTGAGCCAGGCCTCCTAGGCTCTATATTACCTGTGGGGTGGTGGTTCAAGATATCCTAGGCATGCCTACTTCATTAAGCCAGCAGTAAATCAGTTAAGATTAATGAGATATAAATACATCAGTCTCAGAAAAACTCTTCACATTGAAATTGAACAAATAATTCATTTGTTAGTAAAGTCTGTCTATAGGAATGGCATTAGAACATTGAAACCACTGTACAATTTTCTTATTACAGTTATTTTCTGGCTCTCCAGCTGTCACGATGACACCAACAAGATTGAAGTGGTCTGAAGGGAAGAAAGAGGGGAAAAAAGGTACTAATTGTACTTACTCTCTGTTCTTACTAAATGTAATTCCTTTCTGCATCTAGTCAGTAGCATTTGTTTGAATTCCCAGGATAGTACATTTGTAGTCAGAAGTGACATAAAAATTACAAGGCCAGGTCCTTGCCCTTGAGTTCATTCACCAGATGGTTATTGAACCATTTACTCAGCATTGTCTTGGGTGCTAAGGGTAGAGCTGTGAACACAGACCCACATGGTCCCTGTGTTCTTGGACAGACAGGACACATGGGGGAAAATACCTTAAGAATACTTGCGAAGCAAATTAAAAACAAGTGTAAATGAATTTGTGAAACCAAGTTCAACAGTGCTGGGAGTATGCTTATGGAATAGTTAGGTTCCTTTTCTGTGTAGGCCAGCCCTAATTAGTGAAGCTTTCTAGATCAACAGCTCGTGCCTAAGGATCCTGGAAGTCATATCATACAGCATATTTTGGGGGCTATTTAGGACAAAGAGGACTATTTAATGCTGGGACTGCTGATTGTCCCAGGCTCTTCTGGTAAAAGCCTGCTGTGCCTTCCTCTGAAGGAGCCAAGTGGGTCAATGGAAAGACCGTGAGATTTGTGGTTAGTCCTGATGGGAGTTATCATTCCTCTGACCCAGGAAAACCACCCATTCTCTATGAATTCAAGTTTTCTCCTCTGAAAATGAGGATAAAAGTTACATCTACTTCACAGATTTATTAATTTATTATGAGGCTCAATTGAAATAATGTTTTGGCAGCACATTGTCATTGTTAAATCATTAACAAGTGGTTATAGTTGTTACTGTAGAAAACGGGCTGAAACCTGGTCTTGTTATATAAGGCTCATGTGGCAGCTGAAGTGAGTCTGGTTTGACATGATTGTTTTATCACTGGGATATGAGCATAATTACTATTTGAGACATCAGCAATAGGCAGAGATCAAAAGCCTAATCCTTATGGATAAATTCTTTTCTGGAAAATTAGATTTCAGTATATTCTTCTTACTTATCCTTGAATGAATTATCTAAACTCTCTTTTCTTTCCTCGTTGCTTCTGTCTTCCAGGCTGGGCTGTCTAATTGAGACAAGATGGGGGTTTGAGTTTTTTGTGTCTAAATATTTCTGTATGTCCATGAATCAAAACCAAGCATAAGTTATTTTTGAAGGCTACATTGTTTTGTATCAGTTACAACTTTTGTTGCTGTCATTTTTGAAAGACATGCGGAAATAATACCTTTCTGTATTGACAGCTCTACCTTGGAAAGAAAGAAAGACGTTTTTTAAAAACCAGTCTAATATTTCACCAATAAGCTTTAGAGCAGGGATTGTTGACCTTGTCATCTGTGGACTTCCTAAATGGTCTAATAAAGTTCCCGGTATTGTTGATGCAATCTTTTGTGTAGGTACATATGTGTATTTTTCTGGGGGAGAGAATATATGGTTCTAATTAGATTCTCAAAAATGTTAGTAGTTCAGAGAAGTCGAGATAATGAATGACCCTCAATTGGATCAGGCAATGGCATTTTCACTTTACTCTCTCCTGGTCACTTCCTCTATCTGGAAATGCCTTCCTGGTGTTATGATGCTACATTATTCTCGTTCTTCTTCCTCTTTAATTCTTTTCCTTATCTGCAGTGGCTTACTGTTGTTTGCCTATTCCACTACATCTTTATTTTTTTCAATGCTCTATCTTAAGTTCTGCTCTTAAGTTCTGTTCGTTTCTGCACCTGCTTCTCCTGCCTCTTTGCAGCTTGGTCTCCTTCCACTGCTCAGCTCTGCTCTCTGTATGATAACTACTTCCAGCCTGGCAATGCCAGGTCTGAACTCTCTTCAGACATTGGCAGTCTCCAAGCCCACAGATCCAGGTGCCTGCCATGTATTTCTTTTATACAACAATGAATATACAACCTCAGATTTTTTGATAGTGATGTTTATAATAAAAGTAACATATTCTTTGAAGAAGATAATGTAATTTTATTACTGTGATCAACAACATAATCCAAAAAGACTATTATTTAGTACAGGATTTCTCAACCTTGGCACACTACTGACATGTTGGTTCAGATAATGCTTTGTTGTAGGAGCTGCCATGTGCACTGTATGATGAGCAGCCTTCCTGGCCTTTACCCCATCGATGCTGGGAGCATCCTTCCCCCAGTTGTGATAAGTAAAAGTGCTTCTAGACATTGCCAAATGTCCCATGGTGGGTGAGGAGGCAAAGTCATCTCCACATGAGAACCACTGATTTAGCACCTACTTATTATGGCCATTATTTTCAGTAGTCAAAATCTTACCCATTCTTCAAAGTCTAGCCTAAATCTCACCTCCTCTTTGAAACTTTCTCTGGCTAACACAGCCAAATATAATACTTTTTCCTTTGAACTTATTAATGCTACAAAAATATTGACACTTAGTATGATTTACTGTATTTACTTCACATATTGTCTTATCTCTGTAACTAGTTTTTCTTCTAGAAGACAAAGGTCAGACTTAGTGTATTTGTGGCCTTCTGTCTCCTGTTCTTCTCATCTTCCGAAAAATGACAGTGCCTTGTGCTGAGTCGGCTTTTAGTAAACATTGAGTGTTGAGAGGGGCGGTGGTGGTAGGAGCATGAGTTCTGCATTCAGCTGGGCTTGGGTTCCATTCCCAGTTTTGCTGCTTAATAGCTTATATATTAGTCCTCGGGCAAATGAACTATGTAGGCTGCAGATTCTTACTCTGTAAAATGGTAGGAGTAGTACCTCATATACTGGTTATTGTGAGGATAAATAATGTACATAAATAACTTAGAGCAGCACAAAATATGTACTTACTGTTAGCTGTTACGGCCATT
This sequence comes from Homo sapiens, assembly GCF_000001405.40. Classification (NCBI taxonomy): domain Eukaryota; kingdom Metazoa; phylum Chordata; class Mammalia; order Primates; family Hominidae; genus Homo; species Homo sapiens. The sequence goes on along the minus strand of NC_000010.11, from coordinate 97,226,322 downwards.
AAGATGATTTAATGAACGAGATTATATCAGGCAGATGTTTATTTGGTAGAGTCACACATTCTTAATTAAACTCATTAGCCTTCAGTTTGGAGAAAATATTAAGTGTAGACCCTGTAGCTTTTGAGTGGGATGTTTGCAAAAAGAAATATTTAAGAACATGTCTAACGCTCTTGTTTTTCCTTCAACCTAGGATTTCTCTGAAGGATCCAGAGTTGTCTCCTATGGTCCATGCAGAATTTTCTGTTTAGTGGGCAGGTGTTATTCCTGCCCACAGCAAAGCTTGGACTTGCAGCTTGCTTGCTGCATTTTGAATTGTCAAAGCCAACTAATACCGTGACCCGACTGATACCTCTAACCCCACTCACTGGATGATGTTTGCAAGCTGTGCCTTCTGAGAGAGTGCTTAGGCCCTGTCTCTCTTTTTTAATATTATGGGGAAACCACTAACTATCCAACCAGCTTATACAGCACACTAAGGTGGGCTTCAGTGCTCACTCAATGTGTTTAGGCAGATTCCACTTTTGAAAAAAAATATGAAATGTGTGCTCAACTGCCAGTAATTTTTTAAAAAGCACTGTCCCAGTGGATTGATGTTGTTTTTAATGGATATTTTGGGTTTTTCTCTGTTTTGATAGTATTGGGTATTTGGTTGTTTTTGTTTGTTTATTTCTTTGTTTTAAAAGCCATGTTTTTGGTTGGGCTCTAAGCTAGATATCTTTCCCTCTTTTTCACTTTGAGCTTTGGGAAAACTCTTTATCTTATGAGGCTGTATTCCTCAATACCTAATTTGTGTCCAAAGAATTTATAGCTTTTCTGGACATTTTTTATTATTTCTTGGGTGTGACATCAGAGTATTTGACCTGCAGTATTGAAAAAGGAGAATTCAGAATGATACAGTATTTTAACAAATCTTAATTATTAAACTCTTTTCCTTCCTTCCATTTCTCCCTCCCTTGTCCATCTCTCTCTCTCTTTCCCTTTCCTCAGTGATGTGAAAATAATTGTGTTTTGCTGAACTTGTTATCTTCATTCAATTTCCTCTTGACTAAAACATCTCTGGTGCCAACGTAATACTTCTGAACCAAATCACTGTGACTCAAGGAAAGTCACTGACAGCATAAGAGAAGTTTGCTAAAATATTTGTATGTGGGGGAAGCTCTGGAGTGTGCCTAGGAGGGGGCTGGCTGCCTTTATGTCCCAGGATGACTCTTTATGGGTGGGATTACATTGCACCCTCTGAGGGTGCAGGCTAGACCGTCTCCTGAGAGGAAGTTAGGATCAGAAAGAAGAAGCAAGCAGCAACCTCTGCAGGGCTGACAGGATTTAAAGGAGAGAATGTTCTTATTTGGAAGCAGCTGTGGCTTGTCACCAATGTTCAAGGAGTGTTACTGTTCCGCCCTCTCTTTGTCAGAAGGGACACAGGTGGTAATTTGGAGATGGGGCCAGAGCTTCTGGCTTTTGGATTTGGTGTGTTCACTTGTGTTGGATAGAGCAGTGGCATGGCTTTGACCTAGTATGAACTGGTGTCTGCCCAGAGAGCAGCATGTAGCAGGGGGGAATGCTCAGGTTTGTGCCTGGCTCTGTGGAGCTGTACAACCCTTCTCACCCTGTGGGTTGGAGCCGAGTCAGGCCACTATGGGGAAGCAGTTGCCCCACAAAATGTGGTTTGCTGACCTATTTCTAAACTGTTGAATATGCTGCACCATTGCTGAAATGAAAGATGACTCTGGGGGAGCAGAGCTTGGCCTTGTGCCCAGCTGGCAGCCCCCTCTGCCAGCCTTTCTGCTGCTTTTGCTGCTGTAACAGCAATAGTGGAGAAAAATGTAAAATTTGGTCTTCCAGCTTAATGCAGTGTGAACAATAGATGGTTAGGAAAACAAAACTGCTTAGAAGCCCCTTTCTCTAGAGCAGTTTTATGTCATTTGTAAAAACACATATTAGCAAATTCGTTTGCGTAGGTTTCTATTAAATATTTGACTTTTTTTTTCTTATTAAGAAAATGAAATCCCTTACACCAGATATCAGTTAATTCAAACAGAAAACCCTTTGGGTATCACCAAATTGAAATGGTATTCTTCCTTAACTCTTCCTTCTTTCCTTTATTTGTTTAGACGTGCTTCATCCCGAAGTGGTGCTATGGTCTGTTAAACAGGGCTGGCATCAGGTAGAGGGAGCAGAGTGGTGACCTGATAGCTCCTGTCATCGTGTTAGTTTTTGATTCTATTTAAGGGAAGTAGCTGAGATTTAGACGGATGTAGATGCTCTTTGGGTGAATGGAATCATAAGCAAAGGTTGTGTTCTGGGGTGAGGATCATGAGAGAGATATTTATCACATGCACATGCCTTTATATAGCTGGTCTCCTTGGGTGGTTTATGTGTGTTTTGTTTATTTATTGAATATGTTTTCCCTTGCTTTAGGGGTTTTATAGGTCATTTTTCTTAATAGAAGCTGTGATCGACTTAGAATCCAAATTTGAGGAGTAAGCAGCATAACCTTCTACCTTGTAATATGTAACTATTCTAATCCAGTGGAATCTTACGGAAAACACAGAGAAAACCCCTTTTATCATTTGCCACAGAAGGCTGCTGTCTCCCTTCTGATTTGGTGGGCAGGTATTGTTTTTGAGCCAGTATTTAACAGAGTTTTTTAATCTATAAGATTTTTTTTGAATCTATTTCATTGTGTTTGTTTTTCATGTTGGAACAATCTCTCTGGAAGTGCCTCTTCTTGTGGCTTTTACAACTTCATTTCTTTCTGGGGTCACCTGTGATGGGCTTTGATGTGGTGTCAATTTGGGGCCTTGTGTTTGTGCCAGAGGGATACACATATTAAACTGCAGGCCACCTTCCTGGTCCAGACTGTACTGTGTGAACCCCACTGACTAAATTAGTGAGAACCATAGGCGTTGGAATTTCTCACCTTTTACAATGATAGACTTTTGCATTGGGACCAATGAATCTGGTGTGAAAAACCCTGCTGTAGTAGTGAAAGAGCATCAGGAGATACTGACTGTACCTGAGGGCCAAAACAGGAGCAGGTAACGAACCGTAAAAAAAGGAGCAGGTAATGAATCGTAACCAAAACTACAGTTGATCCTCCGCAAAGGAAAGCTCTTTACCCAGAATGTCCTTCCAGAGTCATTCAGGAAGGACAAGGGAACACCCTTGGGAAATGGGCTAGTGGAGGGCTGTTGACTGCAGTGACACCTGGGTGCTCCGGAGGTATCTGTTCTGTTGACCTGTAAGGAAGCAGTCGATCCTAGAGTGTCAGAACAGAGCCATTCTCTCCTCCTGAGTAGGAACGTTTCTGTTCAGTTTCCCTCACAGCAGCCTGTGTTAGCATGCAGTTGAAAATACTGCCGTCTAGGAGAACCTGTGGTCACTGGGAACGTGCCCCACAGTGACTGGCCATGCAACCAGGTGATTTTTAGGAATAGATGTCTCTAGACTCTGTCTCCTTTCCTACAAGGCCTCACACAGATGCTTGAGGCTAATGGCCCCCATTCTGAGGTCATTTTTGTGTAGAACTCCTTTCCCCAGGAGAGAGCCTTATCTCTGCCCTCCTTTACCCTGAAGGCTTCAAACGGAAGACAGGACCTAGATCTAAACCTAGATACTAGCATTTTGTGGGATTGTCTAGAATTTGGGGAAGATTTGGGTTCCTAAGATGCACAAGCGTTTTACACCAGTGGTGATTAACTCAACTAAAACCCACTGTAGGAAGTTAGCTTCCCCAGACAGCTAATGCCGAGATCTTCTACCAGCGTAGAGTTGACAGAAGCAGGCCAGCGAGGAGGTGTGGGACATAATAGCCTGAGTGCTTGGGTTACCATGGAGACTGGAGTGTGTGAGGCCACAGCCTGTGCTAAAGAGCCATGGAGCCCTCCCCTGGCCATGTCTGGGGACAGATAGAACCTGTTGGGGGAAATATTCCCTCACCCCAGGGTTCTTTCTGCAGAGCAAGGGTTGCCTTTGTCCTATCCCTGAGCTTGCTCAACAAGAGAAACAAGGTTTCTTAAGTGTTTTGGTTAAAGTTTTCATTCTTATTTGACTATGTATATGTAATTGTAAAGAAACGATCCTATGCATTGTCTTTCTTTTATATTCTTGTAATATTCTGAAATTAAAATTGTTTTGTTTCATATCCAGAGGATTTGACTGGTCTATTCACATTTTGACTGTTGATGTTGAAGAGAGAGTTTTTCTCTTGTTCTGAGGAAAGTGAAGCCTCTAGAAAGGCTCCTCTTTGGCTTGTTTTTAGGTGGGTGGGTGGGTTCAGGAGGAGCGGGGCTTTTGGCTGATAAGAAGTATGATTTGGAGCCTCTGGGATCCTGAGCTTCCTAATTTCCCATGGCTGAGTCTAGAATGCTTCACATAGATTTCAGTTTCTCACATAATTTTTATTTCTTCATTTAAAAACAAGGAGTGATGGTTACAATAACAGGAAAACCTAGATGAAGTTTTCATCTGAGGCAGGAAGGTGTGTTTAGACAGCTCATGTTGAAATGTTCCTGCTGCTGTCTTGGTGGGCTTGGGCTGCTTTAACAGAACACCATAGACTAGGTGGCTTCTCAACATCAAAAATGTGCTTCTTACAGTTCTGCAGTCTGGGGAGTCCAAGAGCATGGTGCCAGCAGATTGGGTGTCTGCTGAGGGTGCACTCCCTGGTTCACAGACAGCCGTCTTCACTGTAACCTCACATGGTGGAAGGGACAAGGGATCTCTCTGGGGCCTCTTTTAGAGGAGCACTAATCCTATTCATGGGGGCCCTGCCAAAGACACTCCCAAAGACCCCTCCTACCAAAGACCCTACCTCCTAATATCATCACATTGGAGATTAGGTTTCAAAGTTAATTTGTGGGAATACAAACATTTAGTCTATAGCAGCTATTTTTTTTTTTTTTTCGAGACAGCATCTTACTCTGTCACCCAGGCTAGAGTGTAGTGGTGCGATCTTGGCTCACTGCAGCCTCCACCTCCCAGTCTCCGGTGATCCTCCCACCTCAGCCTCCCAAGTGGCTAGGGCTACAGCTGTGTGCCACCACACCCAGCTAATTTTTGTATTTTTTGTAGAGACGGGGTTTCACCATCTTGGCCAGGCTGGTCTTGAACTCCTGTACTCAAGTGATATGCCCGCCTCAGCCTCCCAAAGTGCTGGGATTACAGGCGTGAGCCACTGTGCCCAGCCTATGGCTGCAATTTATTAGGTATGTGACTTTGGGTAAGTCCCTGAATCTCCTGTCCCCTCATCTGTAAGGTGGGGAGAACGGTATACATCTCAATAACAAGGACTTCGCATGGAGGATTTTAATCTAAGGTCTGTGGTTATGCTTCAGGACAATAGTTTGCCCCTGTAATTCTATGTAAAATTTTATGTACATTTGCATTTTTCTAGGGGAGAGATTTCATAGCTTCTACGAGAATCTCAGAGGAATCCTTGACGATTAAAATACTGAGAATCACTAGCTTTACACAGTGCTGGCAGATGGCAATTATTCATTAAAGGTTAATTCTCTTTCTCTCTGCCAAGGGTAAATTTTATAATCAGCAGGTTATTGATGCTGACATAGCTACTTTGATGACAAAGATGTTGTTTAAATCCTGAATAGAAATAAACACTCTACAGTTGTCTTTACTCTGTTACCTACCCACACACTCCTCTTTTGCCATGTTAGCTTCTGAGGCGCTATTCAGAACTACTTGTCCCTCTCTCCCCAGCCCCCAAGGGCCAGCTTGTATTACTCACTGTGAAGAAAGGAACCAGGTCCTTCAAAATGAAGCATGGAGAGACTCTTAAAGTTACATGTGGGAAACTGGGTGATGCCAAGAAAAGGGAGTGGCGGGGGCAAGAGGGACATTTTGAAAAACAGGAAGAGGACCAAAATGCTGAGTACGGTACTGAGCACATAATCATTAATCACTGAATTGTAGAAAGGACTGAAGAGGTAGACATGCATTAAATAGTGGAAAGGGGCCGGGCACAGTGGCTCACAACTGTAATCCCAGCACTTTGGGAGGCTGAGGCAGGTGGGTCATCTGAGGTCAGGAGTTCGAGACCAGCCTGACCAACATGGTGAAACCCCATTTCTACTAAAAATACAAAAATTAGACGGGTGTGGTGGCATACACCTGTAATCCCAGCTACTTGGGAGGCTGAGGCAGGAGAGTCACTTGAACCCAGGAGGCGGAGGTTGCAGTGAGCTGAGATCGCGCCACTGCACTCCAGCCTGGGTAAAGACTCTGTCTCAAAAAAAACAAAAACAAAACAAAACAAAAAACGTGAAAAGGAAAGATAGAAAAACAGAAACGTGTAAAGAGTTTTCCTCTCAGTCCCCGTTCCTGGCAGGCTAGTTCCATTAGCTTTGCCTGCTATGTGGGCTGCCCACTTTTTGTTCCTACCTGTATTCCTGATTTTGAGGGGTTCAGGGAATGGGAATGGTGAAGACTGCTGAACCCCAGGCCAGAGGGTATGGTGTAGAGGACGTCATGCTTGCTGAGATGCTTCAAGGCCCAGCCTCTTGATTTTCACTATAAAAAAAAAAAAAAAAAAGGAAGAAAAATTGAAGTTGAGCAATGACCAAGTCTTGGTTCAAATTGATCATTAATATCTAATCCTTTATCATCAGCATCCAGTGCCCAGAACCTGAGTGTTCTATCCTAGAATCGGGATTAGGGTGAGTAGCTGGGGCCACTGGTGTCATGCTAGCTCTCCTCTTTTATTCTCAGAAATAGGTTGTTTTTATTTTCAATGCCTTAGTATTGAGGAGTGCTTATTTCAATTGAACCATATCTGTGGGCAAAAGAGAAAAGAAACAGGCTGTCTAAAAATCATGAGCCCAAGGGGCAAAGAAACCAAAAAAGTGGGGCCAGTGGGCTAGAAAAGAGCTGTAATTCAAACTAACAAGGTACACAGTTGACCCTCGAACAGTGCTGGGGTTAGAGGCACCAACCCCCATACAGTCGAAAAATCCACATATAACTTTTGGCTTCCCCAAAACTTAACTACTAATAGCCCTATGGATAACATAAAGTCAATTAACACATGCTTTGTATGTTACATGTATTTCATATAGTATTCTTATAATAAAGTAAGTTAGAGAAAAGAAAGTGTTAAGAAAATCCTAAGGAAGGGAAAAATAAATTTACTATTCATTAAGTGGAAGTGGATCATCATAAAGGCCTTCATCCTCATCATCTTCACATTGAGTAGGTTGAGGAGGAAGAGGAGGGGTTGGTCTTGCTATCTCAGGAGTGGCAGAGATGGAAGAAAATCTGCTTGTAAGTGGACCTGTGGAGTTCAAACCCATGTTTTTCAACTGTACATGGTCCAGGGCATGCATATATATATATATATATATATATATATATATATATATATATACACACACACACACACACACACACACACACACACACACACACACACATATATACACACACACACCGACCTTGGGGGAAATGTCAGTTTTCCACATGGACACAGCTGGGGCTCTCTTGACTCATGGCAATTGCAAATTTAAGGTTGCAGTTGAGGCTAGGCACCATGGCTCACACCTGTAAACCCAGCACTTTGGGAGGCTGAGGCAGGCAGATCACTTGAGCTCAGGAGTTCGAGACCAACCTGGGCAACAAGGTGAAGCCCTGTCTCTACTAAAAATACACACACACACACACACACACACACACACACAATAGCTGGGCGTGGTGGTGTGTGCCTGTGGTGCTAGCTACCCAGGAGGCTGAGGTGGAAGGGTCACTTGGGCCCAGCAGGTGGAGGCTGCAGTGAGCCAAGATCATGCCACTGCACTCCAGCCTGGCTGACAGAGTGAGACCTTGTCTTAAAAAAAAAAAAAAAAAAAAAGGTTGCAGTTGAGATCAGCTCAGAGGGGAAAATTAAAGCCCTCAAAGGAAAAATGTGAATATGATATACATGGATATATTCTAAACATTATATCTAATTATAAAGAATGAATCACAAAATTAAGCATCTTAAATATAGGCATGAAAAAATAACCCTCAACCAGGAAGCTGCAGCTCTGTCAGATTGCATCATTTGAGAACCAAGAAAAGCAAGTTAGCATACTAAGCATGAGAGAAGCAGAGGTTATTCCTCTGATGCAGTTAAATATTACTCATTTCCTTCCTTCCCTCCTTTCATTCTTTTTTTTTTAGAGATGGGGATCTCAATATGTTACCCAGGCTGGAGACAGGAGTTCAGTGGTTATTCGGTGGCTAGTTCAGGTTCTGTGATCACACCCGTGAATAGCCACTTCTGGGCTCAAGTGATCCTCCCTTAGTCCCCTGAGTAGCTGGGACTACAGGCACACACCACCATGCCCAGCAATATTCTGTTTATTTTTATAGCTGTGTTAAGGGAGATCCTTACATGAGCAGAAGATTCTATCCAGGGAACTGAAACTGTTGCAGTGGAAACACTATCCTTTTTAGAAAGTGGCATTCTTTGGAAGATATATCCAACCTCAATCTCTCCCATTGGGATTGTGTTGTATTTGATGAGCTAGGAAGTTTCAACCTAAAAGCAAACATCAGTTCCATTAAAAAAAACTCATTTGTGTTTTATTTGCTCTCAGCTCAATTAAAAAAAAACTAAGAATTATTTACTAGTCATTCTCTACATAATCACATTTCTTAGTCTCACAGTAGAAGCTTCTAGAAATAAGAGGCTGTGGTCTCATTCAACTAAGTTCCACTGGTTCACTTGAAGGGCTGAACATAATAGTTCAGACCCACATGACATTCACAGTGGATGGTGAAAATGGGTTTGATGGTTGGTGCCAGAGGAAGGAAACCACACCAGGAACCACAGCCGTGGAGTCTGGATTCAGTTACTCTGTCTACATGTGAATGTATGAGAACTGTAAGTATTAGGTTGGTGCAAAAGTATGTGGCATTTTAATGGCAAAAGCCACAATTACTTTTGCACCGACCTATTACATAATCTTGCTAAGTTTCAACGTATCTGTAAAATACAGATATTGACAACCACTCTACTTCTCCATATAATGTACTCTGAAATCCAGACAAGATCATGTATTAAAAAGAGCTTTATAAATTGTAAATCCCTGTGGAGTGTGTACATGTGTACATGTGGCAAATAACCTAAGAAAGTTCTCAAAAACCAGTATAGCTTTTCACCCCATTTGAAGTTGTTAACATCCTAGAGTCTATTGTGTGTCCAGCCTGAATGAAAAGACATTTCTTGACACTAAAAAATTAATGAAAATTGTGAGCCCAGAAGCCATTCCTCAGCACTCATGTTCAGAAGTGGGGATCGCTGATGGGAGCCCCTTCTGCCCACGTACTTCCCTTTTTCCAGCAGGGCCTCTAAGGAGTTCAAATTTCTTGTGAATGAAAAACTAATTTATTGAGTACTTACTATCTACTGAGCTCTGTGCTAGCCAATTAATTCATTGTTTCATTAAACTCATACATCTCTGTGAGGTATTGTATTTGTCTGTTTTCACACTGCTATCAAGAACCACCTGAGACTGGGTAATTTATAAGGAAAGGAGGTTTAATTGAATCTCAGTTCTGCATGGCTGGGAAGGCCTCAGGAAACACAATTATGGTGGAAGGCGAAGGGGAAGCAAGGCATGTCTTACATGGCAGCAGAAGGGGGCCAGGGGACTGCCACACACTTTTAAACCATCAGATCTTGGCTGGGTGCAGTGGCTTATGCCTATAATCCCAGCACTCTGGGAGGCTAAGGTGGGCGGATCATGTGTGGCCAGAGTTTGAGACCAGCTGGGCCAACATGGTGAAACTCTGTCTCTACTAAAAATACAAAAATTATTCAGGCGTGGTGGCACATGCCTGTAATCCCAGCTACTCTGGAGGCTGAGGCACGAGAATCACTTGAGCTTGGGAGGTGGAGGTTGCAGTGAGCTAAGATCACGCCGCTGCACCCCAGCCTGGGCAACAGGGTGAGACTCTATCTCAAAAAAAAAAAAAAAAAAAAAGATCAGATCTTGTGAGAACTCTCTCACTATCAGGAGAACAGCATGGGGGAAACCACTCCCAAGATCCAATCACCTCCCACCGTGTCCTGCCCCTGACCTGTGGGGATTACAATTCGACATAAGATTTGGGTGGGACACAAAGCCAAACCATATCAGGTACTGTTATCTCCAATTGTATAGAAGACACATATGAATAGTTTGATAACTTATGTTGTCAGTTACAAAGAAACGTAGCTGACAAAGTGGCCAACCTAACATCCAGGGCTGCTGGACTCCCAGGACTATGGTGTTAGGCAGGGGTTACAAAACCCAATATCTATAGGAGCCAGGAAGGTCATGTAAGGTAATGAGAACCACAAGTGCTTCAAGATATTTAAGAACGCCATGGAAGCCAAACCCGACCCCTCTGCAGCCTGCATTTGGCCCAGGAGCCCAGCTGGCATCCTCTGCATGGCGCTGGGCTGCTCGGCTCCTGACTGCTTGCTGATCTGCACAGGACACTCCCAGAGCCTCTCAGTGGTGGCTCCCAGAGGACAGCAAGAAGCGCGCCTTCCGGGAAGAGGATAAATGGCATTCGGACGCAGGAGGGCATCCACTCACTTACCTCCGCCAACACTCCCCACGCCCTGCAGGAACTGCTTAGGGAGGGTCTGTCCTCATTTCTCTGCTCTTCTGCATGCCCTGCCTAATGCGTTCGTCTCTGGCCACAGGTGCATATTAAGCACTGGAAACGTGGCCCATCTGAACTGAGATGTGCTGTGCGAAATAACAGAATTCAAAGATGTAGGAAGAAAAAAGGAATATAAAAATATCTCGATAATTTTTTACACTGATGACATGTTGAAATGAGATTTTGAATATGTTGGGTTAATAAAATGTATCATTAAAATGAATTCTACCTGTTTCTTTTAACCTTTTTAATGTGGCTAACTAGAAAATATAAAATTACACATGTGGCCCATGTTATATAGTGATTGTCCCAGAACCTCTGGGCCTCTAATCCTATGCTGTCCTTTCTCCCCAACAACCTACTCCACCAGAACCTTGGCCACATCTTTTTTCCTTTAGTTAGTCCTTAGTCCACTCTGGGGAGGAGAAGCAGGGAGAGCTGGTCAGAGGACAGGACAAACACTAAAAATGTCACCCCACCCCCGTGAGCTACTGCCCTGGGCATACAGACCCACTAAGTCTTTCTGCTCAGGTTAGAGGCCTTGGGCCAGGGCCTTCTGCCTCTCTGATGAAGAGCCATGGGGATTTAATGGACATCTAATGACCCAGTGATCCAGGCTTTAATAAGTACTTTGATGTAACCAAAATTGGCCATTAATGAGAGGTCTTATATTGTAGCCCCTTCTTAAACACCCGCCGTATGTGCTTTGTGACATGACCTAGGAAGAGGAGAATGGAGAGGAGAGACATGGCCTTCTTTCTTGTCTCTGCTTCCCTCTTCCATGGGAGCATGAAAACCTACTCTTTCCACATGGGGAGGAATATAGAACCATCTGGTGTGGAGGAAAAGGGGATATATTTAGTCTGAAGCAAATCTTTAGCAGAGACATAGAATCAAAGACGGTCATTGCTATTTGGGACCTTAGAGACAATGGATCCCAATGGTTTCAGATAGGTTTATGCAGTGCCGCCAGGGTTACTGTGAGGAGGGGAAGGGGGTCAGAAGGACAGCACCTGATTCTCCGCATCCTCTTCAGCCAGGGAGCTCCCTTTTACCTGGTTTAGAGTAAGATTTTGTTTAAATAAGTGGCTTGAAAATCATTGAACTAGCCCACAAACCATGTGTTAGAGAAACAGTTTCAGAAAGATGGCGACTTAGGCCCAGTTGATGCATTAGTGAGGGGCAGTGTGGGGGACTTGAGTCTATCTCTTTTTAAATTAACTCTATTAAGCATATAGTTTGATACATTTTTTTTTTTGAGACTGAGTCTCACTCTGCCGCCCAAGCTGGAGTGTAGTGGCGCAATCTCGGCTCACTGCAGCCTCCTCGCCTCCTGGTTTCAAGTGATTCTCGTACCTCAGCCTCCCAAGTAGGTGGGATTACAGGCAAGCGCCACCATGCCCAGCTAATTTTTGCATTTTTAGTAGAGATGGGGATTTCACCATATTGGCAAGGCTGGTCTCGAACTCCTGACCTCTAGTGATCTGCCCGCCGTGGCCTCCCAAAGTGCTGGGATTACAGGTATGAACCATTGCGCCCGGCCAGTTCGATAAGTTTTGACAAACATATACGTCTCTGTAACCACCACCCCAATTAAGATGTACATTTCCGTCAGTCCAGAAAGTTCTCTCATGCCACTTTGCAGTCAGTTCCCCATGCCCCTGCCCCAGGCTGCCAGTGATTTCATTTCTGTCACTGGAGATGGCTTTTGTTATTAAACCCCTGCTAACTCACAGTTGGTGTGCTGACCATGCCTCCCACTCTGGCTGACCCTGTGTTTCCAGGTGTTCTGATGTGGACAAAGGAGGATGCTTGTGACATGTTTCTGGGAGCAATAGCAGGAATAAGAAGACTGGTTCTGGCTTATGGGAATCTGAGTTCCTTGAAGGCCAGAGCTGTTCTTTATATTCTGTTTCCACACTACCTAGTGCAATGCCTGGCACATACGAGGCCTTTGGTGAGGGTGGGAAAGTAAGGTGGAAGGGTGGGTGGGCGGAGGCCCGGAAAGATGTGTACGGGAGGTCCAGGGACACTTCCTGGAGCTGTTACTTAGAGACGAGTTACATAAGGACGGGGGCTTGGGGCGCTGTGGGGCAGAGGTGGATGTTTTGAGGGCCCAGAGTTCATTCATTCCGTGTGTATTTATTTAGCTGGTGATGTTTCACAGGGAGTCGTCAGGGATGTCAGAGTCTTGGGTGGGGGGTTGATGGAAGGGAGGTGCTGGATGGTCCAGGAAGGTAGGGCTGTCAAGAGTCGGGGCTGCAGATGAGAGGAGGAGGGAAATGGAAGCCCTGAGGGGTAGACAGGAAAGGGTAGGATAGAGTGTGTTGTGAGAGAGTCAGGCTACACTGCAGGCATCGTTTCCCCAAAATGACTTCTAGACAGTACTTTGGATAAACAGGTGTTTTGTTTTTTTTTTTTTTTTTTTTTAAAGACAGAGTCTTGCTCTATCCCCCAGGCTGGAGTGCAGTGGCACGATCTTGGCTCACTGCAACCTCTGCCTCCTGGGTTCAAGTGATTCTCATGCCTCAGCCTCCCAAGTAGCTGAGATTATAGGCACAACTTGTTGCCCAGGCTGGAGTGCAATGGCACGATCTTGGCTCACCGCAACTTCTGCCTCCTGGGTTCAAGCGATTCTCCTGCCTCAGCTCCCGAGTAGCTGGGATTACAGGCATGTGCCACTACGCCAGGCTAATTTTGTATTTTTAGTAGAGACAGGTTTCTCCATGTTGGTCAGGCTGTTCTCAAACTCCTGACCTCAGGTGATCCGCCCACCTCAGCCTCCCAAAGTGCTGGGATTACAGGTGTGAGGCACCGCGCCCAGCTGCTAATTTTTATATTTTTAGTAGAGACGGGGTTTCATCATGTTGGCCAGGCTGGTCTCAAGCTCTTGACTTCAGGTGATCCACTCGCCTCGGCCTCCCAAAGTGCTGGGATTACAGGTGTGAGCCACCATGCCTGGTGATGAACAGTCTTTAATAGTGTTTAATATGTGATAGAAAAATATAACTTATATGTTAAGTCTGAATTTCTAGATTCTTTAGGACCAGGCTAAAGTGTATATTTGGGGTTGTTTTGTTTTGTTTTTTAGAGACAAAGTCTCTGTCATCCATCCAGGCTAGAGTGCAGTGGTGCCATCATAGCTCACTGCAGCCCCTAACTCCTGGGCTCAAGCAATCCTCCTGCCTCAGCCTTCTGAGTAGCCGCGATTACAGGCACACACCACAGTGCACAGCTAATTTTAAAATTTTTTTTTAGAAATGGGGTCTTGGTATGTTGCCCAGGCTGGTCTCATATTCCTGGCTTCAAGTAATCCTCTTGCCTTGCTCTCCCAAAATGCTGGGATTACAGGCATGAGCCACTGTGCCCACCTAAAGTGTGTATTTGAATTTGTATCAAATTTAAAATGTTGAGGAAGAAATAGAAAAGTGGCCTGCATATGTGATAAAATTACTGAAAGTTTGCTAAAGTTTGGTGAAGATTACCATGGGCGAAATGGTGAAGGGGAAGATGACAGGGTAGTTTTAGGCACAGGAGTTCCTCCACAACCGAATAGGGGCTCCACTGACGGAGGGGGTGGGAGGGGAGCAGAGGGGAGAGCAAAGGAAGCTGTGTTTTTGTTTTGTTTTGTGTTTTTCTTTTTGAGACGGAGTCTTGCTCTGTTGCCCAGGCTGGAGTGCAGTGGCGCGATCTCGACTCACTGCAAACTCTGCCCCCCGGGTTCACGCCATTCTCCTGCCTCAGCCTCCCGAGTAGCTGGGACTACAGGCATCCGCCGCCACGCCCGGCTAATTTTTTTGTATTTTTAATAGAGACGGGGTTTCACCATGTTGGCCAGGATGGTCTCGATCTCCTGACCTCGTGATTCACCCACCTCAGCCTCCCAAAGTGCTGGGATTACAGGCGTGAGCCACCGCGCCCGGCGGCTGTGAGGGCTGATAGGGCACTGGTTCTCAAACTGACCAGGCAGCCAAGTCACCTAGAAGTCTTTCTGAAGCATGGCCGGGCCTTACCCCTGGAGTCTCTGATGCAGGTCTGAGGCCCAGGAACTTGCATTTCTCATTGGTTCCCAGCTGATGCTGATACTGTTGGTCCAGCATGACACAGAACCACTGATGCAGAGGTGGCAGTGGGTGTGCGGTTTGTGCCCTGTGGTGGGTGTGGATACAGGGAGGCCGCCCACTGCGGGAAGTGGAGGGGCTGGTGTGGCTGGGAAGACCCCCAGGCAGAAAGGTGGGATTGGGCCTTGGCCCACAGGATGAGAGCAAGCTCACGAGCTGGCGCCTGGTGCTGTGCACACAGTGGGCGCCGAGGCGGGCAGGGGCCCAGGAGGGCGGCAGCTGGAGCTGGTCCTCCACAATTAGGAGGGCTGATTGCCTGGGCCACACACCTGCAGCATAGTGCCAAAGGGGAAAAAGGGAAATAAATCCAGACCCTCTGAGAGTGCCCCCAGGAGGCTGCCTACTCTAGTTTTTCTGCCATTTTGATTAGCTCTGACAGAAAGGAAACCAATTTCTCCTGAGCGTAAATGTCTTAGGCATTTGTATGCCTTATCGCATTTAATCATCATAGTCTCGTGATGTCGGTATCACCCATCCATTTTTAAGGATGAGGGAACTAAGGCCTTGAGAAGTGAAGGAACTTGCTCGTTGTGATCTAGGTGGACCTAGGATGCAATAGCCTTGGGGCTGACTTGTCTGATTAAACCTTCCCGAGGCTTCCCTCACCCCCAATATTATCATTTGAATGTGTAATCAATAGAAAACCAATATGTAATCAGTATAATCCATTGTTAAAGAGCTACTTTACATTATTTTTCATACTAAGTCTTAGAGATTCAGTATGCATGTTACACCTTCAGCCCATCTCAATTCGGATGAGTCGCATTTCAAGCGCTCCATAGCCCTGTGCCCCCTACTCCTGTGGGACAAGAGCTGCCCGCAGGGATGAGAATGTCCAGCCACACGTGCCTGTAATCACCATTTCTACCACTAGATGGCGCAGGTGAGCTTCCCTGGTTCAATGCATCAAGTGTTAAGAGACGGGGTTGGTGGGGACTTAAATTTCTCTGTCTTTGATTTATTTGTTTAAATTTTAATCATTCTGCCAGAAGTGAGCTTGAAAGATTCCAAGCCACTACATACTTACCCTAGAAAAATCACAGGTAGTTGGGTCTGTGTGTGTCTGGGTACAACTGTAGAACGGAGTACTCCAAGTTAACGTCCATGTAGAATACAATGTTTATTAAAAGATAAATAATTTTAAAATTGCTAATTTAAAGCTTACACGTACATTATGAAAACCTAATAGTAACTGTAGTAATTATTTAGAACTCAGGCAAAACAAGGATTTTTTTTTTTTTGGATGAGTATTTTCTTACTGGCATTGTTTAGAACAGCAGGTGTATTGTGATAACAAAAAGGAGACCAACTATTAGTTAATTATTTAAAAACTTCTTCAGAGACAAATGACTCTTTTTTTTTTTTTTTTTTGAGACGGAGCTTGGCTCTGTTGCCCAGGCTGGAGTGCAGTGGCACGATCTTGGCTCGCTGCAACCTCCGTCTCCTGGGTTCAAATGATTCTCCTGCCTCAGCCTCCCGAGTAGCTGGGACTACAGGCACACACCACCACGCCCGGCTAATTTTTGTATTTTTAGTAGAGACGGAGTTTCACCATGTTGGCCAGGCTGGTCTCGAACTCCTGACTTCAGGTGATCTGCCCGCCTTGGCCTCCCGAAGTGCTGGGATTACACATGTGAGCCACTGCACCCGGCTGACAAATGACTTGTGTTCTGCACCCAAGGGGAACTGATTCCACAACGTACCCCCTCATCACCCCCTAGCCTTGGTCCACCATTGGTCCTCGCCATCCTGGAGCTTCCATTCTGTTTCAAGGATGAGGAATCTGAGCCTAGAGAAGCACAGTGTCCCCACTTCTGTCACATGGGTGCTAGCGGCAAACCTGGACTAGAAGTCAGGTACCCCAGACTCCCTGCCCAGTGCTCTTTTCACTGGGTCATTCTGTTTTAGCAGTGGTGGCCATGGCAGCCATTTCTGTTTCTCATGTCTCTAAACCCTAAGCCTGAGACAGTGACCAAGGGCCCAACCCCTGCTATGTCATTTATAGTCTGAGCATAGGGCTGGGACCAGAGGAGGCCCCCAGCAAATTGTTGAGTGAATGTTGAAAGGAAGGAAAGAAAATGCCCTCCAGACATTTCAGAAGCTCATCATTCCTGGAGGTGGGGGGACCTCAGCCAGCCATCTGGTGGCAGACTAACTACATTGGACCCCTTCCACCATAGAGGGGACATCAATTTTGTCCTCACTGGAACAGACTCTTATTCTAGATATGGATTTGCCATCTCTTCCCAAAATACTTCTGCCAGTGCAACCATCTGTGTCCATGGAATACCTCATTCACTGTCATGGAATTCTACATAATATAGCTTCTGTCTTGCTCTGTCGCCCAGGCCGGAGTGCAGTGGCACGATCTTGGCTCACTGCAACAACCTCCACCTCCCGGGTTCAAGAGATTCTCCTGCCTCAGCCTCCTGAGTGACTGGGATTACAGGCACCCGCCACCACACCAGGCTGATTTTGTATTTTTAGTAGAGATGGGGATTCACCATGTTGGCCAGGCTGGTCTCAAACTTTTGACCTCAAGCAATCCACCCGCCTTGGCCTCCCAAAGTGCTGGGATTACAGGCATGAGCCACCGCGCCCAGCTGTCTTTTTACTTTCTTATTGTGGCTCCAGAAAATGTTGAATTACCTATGATATCTGAATAGCTAGTATATGTATATGGCACCAGATTCAAAAGGTATGAAAGGATATTGAGACTCACAAAATGGAAGAAAATATTTGCAACTTATATATCTGACAAGGGAGTAGTGTCTAGGATATATAAAGAATTTTTTTTTTTTTGAGACAGGGTCTTGCTCTGTTTCCCAGGCTGTTGTGCAGTGATGTGATCACAGCTCACTGCAGCCTCAACCTCCTGGGCTCAAGCAATCCTCCCACCTCAGCCTCCCCATTAGCTGGCACTACAGATGTGTACCACCATACCTAGCTAATTTTTTGTAGAGATGGGATCTCGCTGTCTTATCCAGGCTGGTCTCACGTTCCTGGGCTCATGGGCTCAAGCCATCCTCCTGACTTAGCCTCCCAAAGTGTTGGGATTACAGGCATGAGCCACTGAGCTTGGCCAAGAATTCTTACAACTCAACAATAAAAAAAAACAAATAACCCAATTTAAAAATGGGCAAGGATATGAATAGACATTACTTCAAATAAGACGTACAAATGTCCAGTAAGTGTATGAAAAGATGTTCTGCTGCTTGAATCCAAAGAGTGTTAGTTCATGTCCTGTCCAGGAGATGATTTCCCCCACCTTGACTTTCCCCAGTGTCATTCAAGCCCCAGCTTTTAAGATCCCGCCCCCTAGAAGCCTTCTCTCTCCAGGCAGAGCTCTTGGCTCCACTAGCTGAATTCCCACAGCAGCATGAACGCATCTCTTCTGGAGCCCTGGTCACGTTGCACAGTGTTTATGTGACTGCTTTTCTTAGAGATGGTGAGCTCCTGCAGGGAAGGGATCAGTTCCTATTCACCCTTGCATCTCCCTGGCTTAGCAGGGTGCCTGGAACACAGCAAAGACTCAGTGTCTGGCTGGCTGGCTTGCAGGAAGGACAGCTGTCTCTATTTTTAATTTTTTTAGAGATAGGTTCTCACCTGGGCTGGAGTGCAGTGGTGCGATGACAGCTCACTACAACCTTGAACTCCCAGGGCTCAGGCGATCCTCCCACCTCAGCCTTCTGAGTAGCTGGGACCACAGGCACGTACCACCATGCCTGGTTGCCGCCTCTATTCTGGACTGAGAGTAGGAGACTGTAGCAGGAAGTCAAACCTGATTAGGTAAAGACCACGGCTCAGAAAGGTTAGGGAACTGCGCAGAGAGTTCTGGAACTGTGGCTGCCTCCATCTTACTAGAAAGATGAAACTGCTTTCTGAACCTGAAAACTCACCTATCTGGCTTGTAGATCTTTTAATATTCTAGGTTCCTGACTGAATGGGACGCCCATGAGTCACTGTAGGGGGGGCACAGGTCTGAGGAGAGGCAAGGCAGTGAGTCCCTAGGTTTCAGCTCAAACAGAAACCCTTTGAGCTCTGAAGGGGCATGTGCTTGCCATAGGAGGGAGCACCTGCTGGTCCTTCCCTCTCTGGCTCTGGTGGGTTGTTTCTGGAAACCCTTGGGTCCTAAGGAAACCCTTTCTCAGTCTGCCCCATTGGCTGAGGGCAGATGTGGGAGATGAAGGATGGGCAGGGGCCCTGCTCCATGAACCCGCACTTGGCCCGCCCTGGGGAGCCAGCAGGGTGCTCTGTGAACCCACACTTGGCCCACCCTGGGGAGCCGGCAGGGTACTCCATGAACCGGTACTGGGCCCACCCTGGGGAGCTGGCAGGGGTTGCTGGGCTCACCACCTCCTGTCTCTACAACCCCCAATCGCTGGCCGCTCACAAGTGGCCATTGGATGTGTGAGAGAGATTTCCACAGAAAGTGTTTCTGTGGCTGCCTCATTTTAATTAAGTGAACCTGGAATTTAAGGGTTAGCTCCTCGGTTTTGGGGTGAGCCTCTTGTAGAAATCCATCTCTTGTAACTCCCAGTGTTGGCAAGTGTGTAGTGAGATGGGGACCCTCACACCTGCTTGGGGTCGGCGGGGGGCTTTTCTGGGTAGTTTGGCAATAAATATCAAGCCTCAGACATTTCCCCTTGTGTTATCATTTATTTTTTAGGTGTGATAATGCGGTTATGTTAAAAACAGTCCTTTTGTTGTAGAGATACATACTGAAATATCCATGGGTGAACTACACAGCAAACAAATCTGGGATTTGTTTCGGCATCATACATTTGGGGTAAGGAGCGTGGGTGGGGTATAGCTGAGAAAAGCTTGGCTGTGGGTCAGCTGTTGTGGATGCTGCTGGATGAGGGGTTCAGGAGTTCATGGTACTGTTCTGTCTACATTTATTTATTTTTTAAAATTCCATAATAAAAAAGTTCAATTAAAAAGTCCCCTTTGACTTGGCATTTCTACTGTGATGACATCAGTCCAAACCCCCAGCATCACTCACCAGGCTTCCCTGTTTTCATTCCCATCCCTCCTCGGTTCAGGGGGATCATGCCCCATCTGCATCTCCACTCACAGCCCTGGGATCCCTAGGGCCCACCTGCCCCCAGGCTTCCAGATCCCAGAGCCTGTGGGTGCTCTCTGGCCTCAGCATCAGGGACACTCTCCCTCCACCCCCAAACCCCTCACCTGGATGGTGACTACTCATTCATCTGATGTCAGGTTGGTGTCATCTCAGGGGAGCTGCTGACTCCCAGGCAAAGTCACACTTCTCTAATACTCTCCATCCTTCATGGATGGGTCCTTCATAGCTCTCACTATAATTTGTAACTATAAACTCTTTTTTTAATTAATTATTTTTTTGAGACAGGGTCTCACTCTGTTGAGGCTGGAGTGCAGTGGCATGAACACAGCTTACTGCAGCTTGGCCTCCCAGGCTCAAGTGATCCTCCCACCTCATCCTCCCAAGTAGCTGGGACTACAGGCACATGACACCACGCCCGGCTAATTTTTGTATTTTTAGTAGAGAGGGTGTTTCATTATGTTTCCCAGGCTGGTCTTGAATTCTGGGCTCAAGCGATCCGATTGCCTCAGCATCCCAAAGTGCTGGGATTATAGGAATGAGCCACCACACCCTGCCCTGATAAGCTCTTGTGATTGCTTTTGTTTCATTGCAGTCTGCCTCCTGTACTAGACTGTGAACTCTCTGAGGGCAGAGACTATGTCCGTGTGGCTTACCACTGCATCCCAGAGCCACACACAGAGCCTGGCACATAGTAAATTAATGCAGAAGGGGACACGTGTTTGACAAACATGTATCATGTTCCAGGCAAACTCTGTGCATATAGTTGGCTGGCTGAGAACATACAGTTGGAAATGTTAGGCAAGGGCCACATCACAAGGGCCTTGTGGCAACATTAGGGGACTGGCCGGATGGTGCAGATCCAGGGAGCCATTGAAGGTGCTCAAATGGAGGAGTGGCATGTGCTCCAGGCAGCCCCTCTGGCTGTCTCATGTTGGAAGGGAGACCCTGGAGGCCGGGTAGCCAGATGGGCTGGCACTGGGGTCCCATGGGGGCTTGAGCTCAGGCCAGGGCAGTGGTGATGGGGGCGGGAACGGAGCCAGTGTTTGTGGCAGTGATCCGATGTGGCAGCTTCTTGGCCCTTCTTCCCTGAAGAAACAGTGCCTCTGCACAAGAGAGGTGGGTAGGAGCTGTATAGGGCCCTGCTGGGGACAGAGTATGTTCCACAGACACATCCCTGGATCACAAAGAGGTTTGCAAACGGTCACTAGGAAGTGATTATACAGCACGGTGCCTTGGGGCAGGGGTAGGGGCAGGACCCTTGTCCCTGAGGCTAGGGAGTTGAGGCTCATGATGGCAGAGCCTGGCAATGGTGAAAGGCAAGTCACTTGTTCGGCAGTGCATTTTAGGGTTCCATGCAGAGCCAGCCGAAGGAGCTTGGGAGACCCTGGAACCTGAGAAGCCACTGGGGCCTCTGCAGGCCTCCTGGTTGGGTCTTCAGCTGGAGCCCAGGAAAGGCTGCTCCCAATAAGTGGCGATGTCATCAGCTGGGTGTGTGCCGCCCACCAGCATTGCGCTTCCCTGGGACCTGCTGTACCGCTGCTGTCCCAACGCATGTGCCACACTTGCTGTCTGTCCCCTAGGAAGCTTGTAATTGGCTGCAGGGCAGCCAAGTCACTCAGCTCCTCTCCCTGTGGGAAGTGGCTGTGGGGAGGCCAGAGGGTTGGGAGGATGCCGAGTAAAAACTATATGATAGCTACATAGACTGAAAGCTAAGTCGTGCCAAGCCCAGTGTTGGGCTCTTTAAATGTTACTCATTTGACCTGAGCTAGGTCTCCTTTCCCTCTCTCCAGTGGAACTCTGTACTTTTAAAACACTTCTCACAGTTGTAATAGAGAGAATCGTTCATGTGTTTATTTATGTAACATCTGTCTTTCTCGCTAGACTATTAACTCCACGAGGGCAGCGATTGGGTCTCTGTCCTCTACTGTAGCTTCAACACCTAACACACTGCCTGGCACAGAATTGGCTGCAATAAGTATTCATTAAATCAATGAATGATCCCCCCAAAAACCCAATGAAGTAGGTACGATTATTATTATCCTTGTTTAAGGATGGGCAAACTGAGTCTTAGAGAGCTTGAATAGTCCAAGCCACAGACCAGGAAGTAGCACCCAGAATTCAGACTCACATGATTAGCCCAAGGCAGGGGTATGTGGCCCAAGGTTGGCCAATAAAACTCGAGCTGGGGAAAGTGAGACTGCTGTCCTTTTTGTCCCTTGGCTATTGGGATGTGAGACTAGGGTTGCTGGTGGCCATACTTCTAGCCTAGTGGGGCAGCTGGCCTGAGAGTATGGAGCATGCAATGATGGGAGAGAGACAGAGAGCTGGCGGGAGAGAGAGAGAGAGAGAGAGAGACTGATTCTGAGTTCCTGGATACCCTGTGGCTTGGGCTGGCCTAGTTCCCCTTCCTTGCACTTGTAGCGGAGAGTTCCAATGGGCATAGTGATGAAATCTATCACCACCATTGGTGTAGTGGAAAGAGAATGTCCTGGGCTTCAGTTCCAGCTCCACTGGGCACTCAGTGTGTGACACAGCGAGTCCCTGTTGATCTCTGGGTCTCAGCTTCCTCAGCTATAAAATGGGGTCATGACTTCCAGCTCCTAAGCGGTGAGTGGGAATAATGAGAGAGTACTAAGGTCTGTGACTCGGTGCCTGCTAGCCAGCAGTTGCTCAGGAAGCGTGAGCTGTCCCTTGTAGGTGGCTTTTGGTTGCAAGTAATAGAAAACTCATCCAGGACCAGTGTAAACAATGAGGGCTTTCATCTTTATAGGCCACAAAAATATCAGGGGAAGGGCATGTCCAGGGTGGTGAATCCAGAAGCTCAGCATTGTCACCAATAACCTGGGTTCTTTCTTTCAGCCTTGCCATTCTCACCGTGGCAGTCATTTCCCTCGAGGTTGCAAAATTGCTGCCCCAGCTCCAGGCATCACACAATGTTGGCCTGAGGAGGAGGTGTTTCTTCTTCATGTCCCTTTGTAAGGGTGAGGAAAACCTTCCCAGCAGCTCCCAGCAGACGCCTCGTCAAGTTTTATTGGCTGGGATTGTCATTCGTCTAAGCCAGTCATGGTGCTCTATTCCCTTGTGAATGCTAGCATCGGTGTAGTGGAAACAGGATGGCCTGGGGTTCAGCTCCAGCTTCACTGGGCACTCAGGGTGTGACAGCATGAGTCCTCTTGTCTGACTGGACAGACAATGGTGGTACTTAGAGCGAAATACTCAAAGAGAAACTCAGCTACTTTTATAGCAAAACTTCCTTGCATTTCTTTATAATTTCACCCAAGAGTGCCTTCTTAAACTCTACAATTTAGTCTTACCCATGTGCAAACTTTTAAAATAAATTGTAATTGTAGTAAGAAACACAATATAAAATTTACCATCTTAACCATTTAAAATGTATAGTGTAGTAGTGCCAAGTACTTTTTCATCTTGCTGCCTGGGCAACATGGCGAAACCCCATCTCTACAAAAAAATGCCAGCATTTATAAGGGAATATAACACCATGATTGGCTTAAACAACAAAGACCCCAAGGGGCCAGGGTGAGAGATGGAATGAAATTTGTTTGGTGAGCAAGGAGCAAGGGGAGCGTGACTGTGTCTGCCGTGTTTGTTCACTGACATTCCCCAACCATCTCACACAGAGCCTGGCCATGGCAGGCGCTCAGCAAGTCCTCACTGGATAATCGAATACGTGCCCAGGCCTTCTTTCCATCCAGCAGGGTAGAGTCGGGGGAGCAGGTTCTTAGGTGGAGGGAATTCTTCAGATGACTGTGGTGATGCGTCTTTAAGAATCTTCTAGGCCAGGCTGGGCATGACGGCTCATGCCTGTAAATCCCAGCACTTTGGGAGGGCAAGGCGGGCAGATTGCTTGAACCTAGGAGTTTGAGACCAGCCTGGGCAACATGGCGAAACCTCATCTCTACAAAAAATTAGCTGGGCCTGGTGGCGGGTACCTGTAGTTCAACCACTAGGCTGAGGTGGGAGGATCACTTGTGCCCAGGAGGTCGAGGCTGCAGTGAGCCATGATCTTGCCACTGTACTCCAGCCTGGACAAGAGTGAGACTCTGTCTCAAAAAAAGGAAGTTCCAGGCCTTAGGGGAAGTACCCAGGACCTAGGACCCAGACTCACTGGCTTGTTAGGGACCTGCGGAGGAGGTTTTGGCTCTCAGTGGGGCCAGAGGGGCCAGGTTTGCATGGCTGCCTCAGTTCTTCTAGGTCTATTCTAGTTGCTTGGAGCATTTTTTTTTTTTTTTTTTTTTGAGACGGAGTCTCACTCTGTCACCCAGGCTGGAGTGCAGTGGCGCTATCTCAGCTTACCGCAACCTCCGCCACCCAGGTTCAAGCAAGTCTCGTGCCTCAGCCTCTCAAGTAGCTGGGATTATAGGCACCACCATGCCCAGCTAATTTTTGCATTTTTAGTAGAGGCGGAGTTTCACCATGTTGACCAGGCTGGTCTTGAACTCCTGACCTTAGGTGATCTGCCTGCCTCAGCCTCCCAAAGTGCTGGGATTACAGGTGTGAGCCACTGTACCCAGCCAGTTGCCTAGAGCTTCTGAGCAGCAGGCAAGGAGGGTGAAGAGGAGGGAGCAGGTGGAGGGAGGTGAGGTGGCTCCTCTAGGAGGGGTCTAACGGCTGCAGAAGGTGGCAGGTTTCCTTGGGCAACAGCATGCAAACGGTGGCAGCTGGGATGGGAGGACCAAACTCTCTTGTCAATCTAATATTTAGTTCATTCAGTTTCTCTTCACTGAGCACCTGCAATGCGCCAGGCATGTGCTAAACCAGGAGATAAAATGACGAGCTAATACAGGCATGACTCCTGCCTTCTTGGAGCTTAAAGCCTAGCGAGTGAGGCAGATATGAATCAAATAATTCTAAAAGTAAATTTAAATTGTGACTACGGTAATCCACTTTTGGCCTCCCAAAATGCTGGGATTACAGGCGTGAGCCACTGTGCCCGGCCAAGTATTTTTAAAGTATATACATTGCCTTTTAAAACACAATAGTAATTGCATGCTTAAGAGACTACAGTGTAGGGTAAACATAACTTTTATATGCACTGAGAAACCAACAAATTCATGTGACTCGCTTCATTGCAATATTCTCTTTATTGTGGTTGTCTGGAACTGAACCTACAATATCTCTGGAATATGTCTGTATTTCCAGTAAATTGGTAAATCTAGAGGCTTGATCAAATTCAGGTTTTGATTTTTTGACAACTATAGGTGATGGTGTGTTCCTTCCTCAAGAGGAGCACATAATGTATTATTTGTGTGTGTGTGTATGTGTAAAGGGAGTGACGTTCACAGCTGCTGATACACAATGCCTAGATTCATTCATTAATTGGTGGGTACAAAATGGTATCACTCTAATTTGATCATTCCTTTTTCATTAATTAGCTGCAACATCTTTCTTAGCAGTCAGCCAGTAGAGAGAAGCTAAACTATAACCAGTGCAATACCGCTTTTTTGTATCTTATTGTATTTATTTTTTGAGACAAGGGCTTCCTCTGTTGCCCAGGCTGGCATGCAGTGGCATGATCATAGCTCACTGCAGCCTCGAAGCAGGCAGATCACTTGAGCCTAGGAGTTTGAGACGAGCCTGGGCAACATGGCAAAACCCCAAATCTCCCTCAACATACAAAAATTAGCCAGGCGTGGTGACATGCACCGGTAGTCACAGCTACTCAGGAAGCTGAGGTGAGAGGATCACTTGTGCCCAGGAAGTCAAGGCTACAGTGAGCTGTGCTTGTGCCACTGCACTCCAGCCTGGGTGACACAGCAAGACCCCGTCTCAAAAAAAGTAAAATAAATAATAAAAAATAAAGTGGTGAAAGTTGTTACTTTCAGGAGAGGGAAATGGGGACGAGGAACTGCCATTTTCATAAAAAATCTTGCAGAACAAGTTGTCCATTTATGTCCATGGATAACTTTGATGAAAAATAAAAACTAAAATGAAAGGATAAGGCACAGAAGGAGCACGGGCTTTGTATGACACAGACCTGCGTTTGAGTCTGGAATCCCTTACTTCGTTAGCAGGGTGTTTATGAGTCACACGACCTCTTTGAACCTTGGTTTTCTTACTTTATTTTACTTTTTTTTGAGACAGAGTTTTGCTCTTGTCGCCCAGGCTGGAGTGCAATGGCATGATCTCGGCTCACTGCAACCTCCATCTCCCGGGTTCAAGCGAGTCTCCTGCCTCAGCCTCCCGAGTAGCTGGGGATTACTGGCACGCACCACTATGGCTGGCTAATTTTTGTATTTTTAGTAGAGATGGAGCTTCGCCACGTTGCCCAGGCTGGTCTCGAACTTCTGACCTCAAATGATTTGCCTGCCTCAGCCTCCCAAGTTGCTGGGATTACAGGCGTGAGCCACCTCGCCCAGCATATTTTATTTTTTTGAAACAGAGTCTGGCTCTGTTGCCCAGGCTGGAGTGCAGTGGCGCGATCCTGGCTCACTGCAACCTCCGCCTCCCAGGTTCAAATGATTCTCATGTCTCAGCCTCCTGAGTAGCTGGGATTACAGATGTGCCAACATGCCCAGCTAATTTTTGTATTTTTAGTAGAGGTGGGTTTCACCATGTTGGCTAGGCTAGTCTCGAACTCCTGACCTCAAGTGAACAACCCGCCTCGGCCTCCCAAAGTGCTGGGATTACAGGTGTGAGCCACTGCGCTCGGCCAGTTTTCTTATTTTAAAATGAGGCAGGGGTTTGGGGTGGAGAGGCTAATTCCCACCCTATCCAGATCTCATGATGGCGTGATAGTGAAGCGGAAGATTTTGTACGCTGTGCAGGATGAACCCCACAGGAAGCGTTATCCTCCCCGATAAGACACAGTGCCTTGGTGACTGTTGAGGGGCAGGCTGTGCTTCAGGTGCCAGAGAACCTCGGGCAAATCAAGAGGTGCCAGTCCCTGCAGTCCAGCCTCAACTTCTCTCCTCTTCCCTCTCCTCAGTCAAGAAAAACCAGTTAGTTCCACTTGGTAGAAAATGTGCCCAAACTTGAGCCTTTCCTGGGTCCCATGCTTACCTGTGTGCTGCGTTAATCTGCCAGCCCTCTGTCAAGGGGCTTCCTTCCTGTGGGGTGCCCCTCCCGCTGTCACTCTCCCGCATCCAAATGTGCTCTTCAGAAGCCACTTCCTCCTGGGAACTGAACCCAGACTTTGGGGAAGCTGCCACCAGTCCATAGTGAGAGTCAGGCTTCCTCAGAGTGTGGCTTAACAAATTGAAGATGATAATTAATAATTAAGATGGTAAGATGATTAATTAATTATCTTAATCAACATACTTGTGTATACATGAGGGAAAGCTGAGAGTTTTGCCTCAAAGCACAGCTGGCTGGAGCACTGGATTGAGATGGTTCTGAAGCCGAGCTCAAAGGAAAGGAGTGTGGTGATTAATTAGCGACATCTGCCGCGGGCCGGGGAGGGGAGAATGGTAGCTTGCCCACTATGCACTTGTCATCCTGGCCGAAACGATTTCTTCCTGTTTTCTATTGAGGCATAACCTTCATAAAGTGCACTGATTTTAAGTGTATAACTTGATGTATGTTTACATACTTATGCTTAAACGTGTATATATGTGTATAAATATTTATACACACACGCACACATTACCACCACCTAGATCAAAATACCATTTCCAGAGGCCCAAAATGTCCCCTTGTGCCGGCTTTCAGTTACTGCTGTCTCAAAGGCAACCATTATTTTGACTTCTGTCACTATAAATTAGATTTGCTTGTGTTCTATTTCATATACATTGGATTAAACAATATATATTCTTGTGTCTGGCTTCTTTCACTCAGCATAATGCCTGTGTAATTCATTAATGTTGTTGAGTGGCTTGTTCTTGCTCATTATTCCATTGTATAGCTACGCCACAATTTGTTTATCCATTCCCCTGTTGATGAACATTTGAGCTGCTTCCAGTCTGAGCTATTCTGAATGAGGCTGTCATAAATATTCTTCTACATGTCTTTTGGTGGACCTAACCGCTCATTTCTGTTGTGTGTGTATATATATCTATATCTATACATCTATGTTTATATACACATGTACAAATATATATACGTACAAATATATATGTGTGTGTATACATATATTCAGGAGAAAAAGTGCAGAGTCACAGGGTAGGTAAACGTTTAGCTCGTGAAGTAACTGAGTTTGACTCACCAAGCCTTGAATTGCATCAAACGTGAACGGCTTCCATTGCATGTAAAACAGCGTGCTGGGCTCCAGGTACACACATATCTGTTAAACTGAGACTCTGACTCTGAGATATGATATCAACTTAGAGCAAGTCTTAAAGAAAAGCAAACACCTAATACAACCAGGCAGCTCATTCTCTAACCTTTCCCTATTTTCATATTTTATAGTACTTCATATTTTTTTTTCTTCTTTTTTTAATCCAGGGTCTTTGTTACCCAGGCTGGAGTGCAGTGGCGAGATCTCAGCCCACTGCAGCCTTGACCTCCTGGGCTCAGGTAATTCTCCCACCTCAGCTTCCCGAGTAGCTGGGACCACAGTTGTGTGCCACTATACCCAGCTAATGTTTGCATTTTTTGTAGAGATGGGGTTTCACCATGTTGCCCAGGCTGGTCTAGAACTCCTGGACTCAAGTGATCCACCTGTCTCAGCCTTCCAAGGTGCTGGGATTACTCACATGAGCCACCATGCCCGGCCTCTATATTTTCAATTACTTAATTGAACTTTGGTTTCCTGCAGGCTCTAATAAATCTTGCATTCCCCCCAATTCTTTCTTGACTTTCCAGAGGTTTGTTTAGGCTTGTTTTGCCAGATATCATGTCTTCTTTAGCTTTCTTTGGTTGTCCCAGAGCAGATCTTATCTGTATTGGCTAGGAAAAGAGTTGGGGACACATCCCCAGTCCAGTGATCAGTTCCCTATGCCTGGAAATTTTTTTTCCAATCAAGAAGAAAAAAACTTCTCCAAGAATGACCTCTTTTAACCTCTTTTAAAATGGGCTTTTGCTTTTTGAAATAACAGCTGCAGTATTTATAGTCTGTATTGAATACTTATGTTTGGCCACTAAATACTTCTGGCTGTAGAAGACTCCTGACTTGTAAATTTGCTTTTGATTTTAACAAGGATCACATGTCTTGTTTGAGCAATATAGGGCCTTGTTCATGGTGGATGCACAATAAATATTGAATGAACTTAATGAAAATCATTTAAGAAAACATTACATAGACTGTAACTAGAGGCGATGGAAATTTCCTTCCAGCTCTAAGGTTTTAAGGCGAAGCCCTCAGAGGATATCTTCATCCTCAGCCTTGGGAAGGAGTGGGGAGATGACGAAGGGAGGGAGGGAGTGGCTCTTTTTTTCACTGTAGACAGGAGTGGAGCTGCGTGGGCAGCGGTCGGGCGTCCCTGGGTTGGGTGTATTCATCCAGCCTCCAGCTACTCTGACTCTAAACAATGGTCAGTACTCTTGGATTTCTAAATTCTGTCTGGTCTTAATCTAAACCCAGATTAAGGACCTGGGTTTTCTAGTCCCATTTCCGTTCGTTTGCGTTTCACAAGCATTTATTGAGCACCTACTAGGTTCCAGGGACTGCGCTGGGGACTAGACTGCACACATGAGTTGCACAGAAGCTGACAGATACGTGGGCAGGTAGAACCACAAAGGCTTCATCTCAATATGTAAGCGGGGTGATGGAGGGAAGGCATTCGGCTCTGCCCCCAGCAGTTCTGTGACCTTGGGGCAGCTGCTTCTCCTCTAGGGGCGCTATTTCCTTATCTGTAAGATAGGGGGATTGCAAGGTTTTCTTTCCGAAGTCGCTTCCAGCTGTACTGGGCCGGGGGGCTATGCATCTGTCCCCGCCAAACGACGCTGAGGACAGGGTGGTTGGACAACTGGACAGGCCTCAGAGTGGACAAACCCAGAGCTTCCCTGGGTGCGCCCCTCACAGATGGTGCCTGAAACCTCCCGAAGGGCCTCTGCGCCGCCCCCATTCCCGTTTGTCCGGAGGCGCTGTTTTGATTGATCCAGTAGAGGTGCGCGGTTTCCGTTTGCTTGGCGCCCTTCTTAGCAAACGCACCCACCCCCAAGCGGCGGTACAGATGGCCCCGCCCCGCCCTCGCGCGTCCTCGCGGCCCCCTTGCGCTCCCTCCCCCGGGAGTCCCGTCGTGCAGAGCCGCGCCTCCGCGCCGGGGAGCCAGTGTCCGCGAACCCAGCCGGCACTCCGGGTTCCGCGCCGCTGCCCCGACGCCGCGGGCCGGGGCTGGTGAATGTTTATGGAGGAGGATGAGAGATCCTCCAAGGACCCAAACTGGCTTGGCAGCGGAAGCCCAAAGCAGCCACCAAACGGTCGATTTAAAAAACTCATCCTGCCCTCCCTGGAAACCTCTCCAAGCCTTTCCAGCCTGGCCTACCTCAGCTCCCTGACCCAGCTTCAGTATTGCGACGGTGATTTTAAATCTGCCAGCAGTGTTGACACCGCTGTCTGGCCTTTGCAGGTGCCAGGCCTGGGCGTGAACAGGGGGCTTTGCCACCCACTGGCTGCATAACCGAGCAGCAGTCGACAACTCCTCCAAGGCTCCGGTTTCTCCTCTAAACAGTTAACAGCAACTCCCTTACAGCGTTACCTGCAGATCATTCCTGTGTGACATCATTCCAGATGTGACATCAACAGCAGGCAGTTTTGTCATTGTGCAGTAAAAAGGTTCAGGGTGTGACATCTGGCTTCAGACTGCCTGGGGTAAGATCCCCTGTCCCTGTCAGTGGGGCATGATGAACAAGTTTCTTAACTCCCTGGGCAGCAGTTGCTTAATGCTAGGGATCACTGGCAGCAGGAGACAAAGACCAGTGGAGGACCCGCGTTCTGGACCACATTTTCTCCCTTAGCTGAGCCATCACTTATTATTTTTTATTGTGCTAATTATATACATATGACAAAATTTACCATTTAGCCATTCTAAATGTACAATTAGTGGCATTAATTGCATTCATAGTGTTGTGCGATCATCACCATTTATTTCCAAAATTTTTTCCTCACACCTAACAGAAACTTTGTACGCATTAAACAATAACTTTCCATTCCCATCCCCCTCCAGCCCCTAGCAACCTCTAATCTACTCCTTGTCTACATAAATTTGTCTGTTCTAGATATTTTCATACAAACTGTCGCTTATTTTTTATTTTATTTTTCTGAGACAGAGTCTCTCTCTGTTGCTCAGGCTGGAGTGCAGTGGTACAATCTTGGGTCACTGCCACCTCTGCCCCCCTGGGTTCAAGCAATTCTCTTGCCTCAACCTCCTGAGTAGCTGGGATTACAGGTGCCTGCCACCACACCCTGCTAATTTTTGTATTTTTAGTAGAGATGGGGTTTTGCCATCTTGGCCAGGCTGGTCTTGAACTCCTGACCTCAGGTGATCCGCCTGCCTTGGCCTCCCAAAGTGCTAGGATTACAGGCGTGAGCCACCGCGCCCAGCTCGTCGCTTATTTTTTAAGCACCCTTTGCAGATTAGAGCAGCTCCCTCAGTGCAGGAATATAAAATGTGTTATTTAGTATTTAGTGTGTTCACATAAAATCATTAAATTTCGTATACGAAATTTAGTGGTAATTTTATTCAAACTATAATGGTAATTACATTTTTATTTCTAAAAATTTTTTGTAGCTTATTGTAGAAAATATGGAAAATATAGAAGGGTA
Organism: Homo sapiens; assembly: GCF_000001405.40. Taxonomy (NCBI): domain Eukaryota; kingdom Metazoa; phylum Chordata; class Mammalia; order Primates; family Hominidae; genus Homo; species Homo sapiens. The sequence goes on along the minus strand of NC_000010.11, from coordinate 97,194,803 downwards.
TAAAATAAGAGACTAAAAATCACTGATAATTCCAATGATTTAACATTTGGATGTATTCTCTTTTAATTAGATTAGATTTACTTTTAAGTTCATTGAATGTTTTTAGGCTAGGAGCTGCTGAATCTAGGTTTTTGCCATTTTGAGAAGGACAACTACATTTGCGATGAGAAGACCACCCACAGTCTGTGAGGGAAAGGAAAGGTCTAAGAATATCTGGGTTTCGTGTCAGTTACACAAGCAGACCCAGAACACACACATTTGCAGAAGGAGCTAAGGAAAAAGAAGAAGAAGGAATCCTCTAAAATTACTTGTACATAATGTTTGTCAAACGGAACTTTCTCTAGACAGACCTGTTGCCTAAGTTATCCCTATAACCAATTTTGGCTTTTTAAAAAAATGAACACACTAACCACATGCCTGTACATGCAGCATAAGGCACTTTCTTTTTTCAGTTTTTAAATTTATTATTATTATTATTATTATTTTTGAGATGGAGTTTCTCTCTTGTTGCCCAGGCTGGAGTGCAATGGTGTGATCTCAGCTCACTGCAACCTCTGCCTCCTCCCAGGTTCAAGTGATTCTTCTGCCTCAGCCTCCCAAGTAGCTGGGATTACAAGCATGCACCACCACGCCAGGCTAATTTTGTATTTTTAGTAGAGACGAGGTTTTACCACGTTGACCAGGCTGGTCTTGAACTCCTGACCTCAGGTGATCCACCTGCCTCGGCCTCCCAAAGTGTTGGGATTACAGGCATGAGCCACTGCACCTGACCAAATTTATTATTATTTATATATTTACTTTTTTGAGACAAGGTCTTGCTCTGTTGCCCAGGCTGGAATGCAGTGGTGCGATCACGGCTCACTGCAGCTTTGACTTCATGGGTTCAAGCCATTCTCCCACCTCAGCTTCCTGAGTAGCTGGGACTACAGGCGCAAGCCACTGTGCCCGGCTAATTTTTGTATTTTTTGTAGAGACAGTGTTTCGCCATGTTGCCCAGGCTGGTCTTGAACTCCTGAGCTCAAGTGATCTGCCTGCCTTTGCCTCCCAAAGTGCTGGGATTACAGGCGTGAGCCACTGCGCTTAGCCCATAAGGCACTCTCCTATGTACTACCCATTCAATCCCCACACTGGCCCCAGGAGGTAGATCTTAAGTAAATGGGTATTTTACATCTCAGCTCTGCCACCTACGTGCTGTGTGACCTTGGGTGAACTCCCAAACGTCGTTGTGCTTCCAGCTCCTTCTAAGTTTCTTGGGAGTATTAAATGATTTAATAGGTAAAGGTCTTGGAAGAGTATGAGCCCCTGGAATTTATAGGTACAATAGAAGTGTTTGTTAGTTGGTAGGATTATTCTTTACAGACAAGGCCCCCAAGATGCAGATGGATTAATGAGCTCCCTGATGCTGCATTTTTGTCATCTTCTTGGACTTTGGAGGACTGAAGGCTGACTCCGATGGAGAAGGGGATGCGGTGGAGAAGGGGATGCGATGGAGGAGGGGATGTGGTGGAGAAGGGGGTGTGATGGGGAAGGGCGTGTGATGGAGAAGGGGGTGTGTTGGAGAAGGGCATGCAATGGAGAAGTGGGTGTGATGGGGAAGGGGGTGTGATGGAGAAGGGGGTGTGATGGAAAAGGGGATGTGATGGAGAAGGGGATGTGATGGAGAAGGGTATATGATAGAGAAGGGTTTGGCTCTATGATGGGCTTCCAAACAGGGTCTCTTCCTTCCTACCTGCCATGGGAGGCAGAAGGGGCTGAGGCAGAAGACAGTTAAAGGAGAGAACATAGATCATATCTCATGCCTCAGCTTAAATCCCCAGATGACTTCCTATTCCCCTTCGATGGGATGGGGGTGCTGACCTAACCCCGCATGAGGAAAGGCTTCTTGAGGAGTTATTGCTTAAGCTGAGACCTGAAGGGTGTAGAGAGCCACACCAGCCGTGGGAAGACCATTCTAGCGTAGGGACTGGCCTGCACCAAGCATTATGTGCTTAATAAACTGCGAGAAGCCTGTGTGGCTGAGGCCCCTTCCTCTCTGGCCAGCTTCAGGGCACTTGTCAGGGTCATGTAATTGTCTGTTTGTTTGACTGTCTTTCCCCAGCACACAGAGCATGTTTTGAGGGCTTGAAGTATTGTCAAAAATTTCTTCCACATTTCTGTTTCTGGCCAAGAAGATATAATGGGACAATTTTACCCCTCCTGGCTTAAACAACTGACAAGCCAGGGAAAAATGGAAACAACTCTTATGAGACACTAAACAACCGGTAGTGTGGGGCAGTGATTTCTGAGAGAGAGGAAACAAATGGGATGAGCCCTGTAACTGCCTGGCTTACAGCGTGGAGAGAGTTTCCAGGCCACAGAGCAAGAGGGGGACCCAGGTGGAACCCAGCATCAGTCTGAATTGAGGAATCAGAGCTGAGAGTCCAGGGAGGCCAAGGTGGCTCAGGTTCCCATGGAAGACGGGAGAGGAAATTGCTGCACAGAGAGAATGAGCAGCTAGAGATCTGCAGATGGTTCTTCCCTGCTGTGCCACCCTCTCCTCCCCTAGTCTTCAGCTGAGAACTGATCAGTGCCTGTGTGTAAACTATCTGAAGGTGGGAAAGTTCCACCCAAAAGGAGCAGGCAGAACAATCCTTGGAGTTCCTGCAGGGTTGGGATTAGCTGGCATTTCCACCAGCCAGAGCAGAAGCCTCCTAATTCACAGGGCACTGGGGAGACCATTCAGAAGGGTAGGGAAATCAGCCCTCGACCACAGGCTAGTCCTGGTCCTGCCCAAGAAAGCTTAAAAGCAAGCCTCAAAAGGATCCAACTGGCTCCAAGTAACTTGACTCTGTTCCAGGACAAAGCTCAAGAGTATTTTTTCAAAATACAAGAATATCCAGCACCCAGCAAGGCAAAATCCACAATGTCTGGCATGAAATCTATAATTACCAGGGTACAAAGTACTGTAGCTCCCCTTTATCCATGTTTTCACTTCCTGTGGTTTCAGTTATCTGTGGTGTAGTACAATAAGATATTTTGAGAGAGAGGGAGCTAGAGAGATGACATTCACATAAGTTTTATTATCGTATATTGTTATAATTATTCTATTTTTCTTATTAGTTATTATTGTTAATCTCTTACTGTGCCTAATGTATAAATTAAACTTTATCAAGGGTATGTAGGTATAGGAAAAACATAATGTAATAGGGTTTGGTACTATCCTTGGTTTAGGCATCCACCTGGGGTCTTAGAATGTATCCCTATGTAGATAAGGGGGGACTACGTAGTAGGAAAATATGATCCATAATGAAGAAGAAAAGTAATCAATCATTTCAAACCCAGAAGTGATACATATAATAGAATTGGTAATGTAGTTATTACAACTATATTCCATATGTACACTAAGGTAGAGGAAAATATAAGCATGTTAAGAAGATACGTGGAAGATTAAAAAAAAAAACCGAAGTAGATTTTCTAGAGATGAAAAGTACAATGTCTGAGATAAAAATTGTACCAGATGGAGCCGGTACGGTGACTCAGGCCTGTAAGCCCAGCTCTTTGGGAGGCTGAGGTGGGCAGATCTCTTGAGATCAGGGGTTCCAGACCAGCCTGGCTAACATGGTGAAACCCGATCTCTACTAAAAATACAAACATTAGCTAGGCACGATGGCACACGCCTGTAGTCCCAGCTACTTGGGAGGCTGAGGCAGGAGAATCGCTTGAACCCGGGAGGCGGAGGTTGCTGTGAGCTGAGATTGTGCCACTGCACTCCAGCCTGGGTGACAGTGAGACTCCATTTCAAAAAAAAAAAAAAAATTACCAGATGGGATTAACAGCAGATTAGATACTGTAGAAGAAAAGATAATGAACACGACAATACACCAGGAGAAACTCACCAAAACGAAAGAGAGAGAGAAACAAGGCTAAAAAAAGGAACAGGGCATCATCCATCCATGGACTATGAGACAACTCCAAATGGCCTAATTATGTATAAATGGGGCCCCCAAAAATGAAGAAAGAGAGGAGGGAACAAAAAAAAGTGAAGAAATAATGGTTGAAAACTTTAAATTTGATGAAAACTGTGAACAAGATACAGGAAACCCAGTGAACCCAAAGCACAGATCTCTTCTATTTCCAGTGCGTGGCTCTCAGCTGGCATGCAATCAATGTCTGATGAATAGATGAATGGTTGCTGTCAGTGCAGGCTGTCTGCCTGCTTTCTGCCTTTCTTTTCCTCCTCTTCTCCCACCCCAGCACCCACTTTGCTTCTCTCTTGCTTCCAGTGCTTCTATTTACCAGAGTTATCTTGGATGCCTATGATGGCCTCTGGGCTATAAACGCCACTTGACCTTTAGTCTAGGAGCTTGTCCTTGCTGTAGGCTTTGCCACTGAGAGCCTCCAACAATTCAGCCTCCTCCAAATTTGACAATAGCCAGGGGTTTAGAGACTAAAGCTAAGATATCATGAGTCCTGCTGGCACAGACTTCCCAGAGACTCCTGTTTTCGTAGTTCCCCTGTGGTGGCAGGGCCAGGAGGAGTGCCCAGGATGGACTGGATGCTGTGTTCTGCCCGGGTGTGTGGCCTCATTCACGGCCCACCTCTGCAGCTCCTTTGCCTTGTGAGGTCAGGCTGGTTGCTTCATTTCTCTGGGCTTCTAACTGTTTACTGGTGCTTGGATTTGATCATTTTTTAATCCCCTTCCAGCTCTGACATCTTGTACTCCCCTGCCACTCTCCCTTGACCATCTTTCTCTTTCACATGCCTCATCCTTGCTAATGGTGTGTGGAACCTGGAGATGAGGAAGGCAGGTGGGCCTCAGATCCATTGTCCCTGCCAGGCTCCTTCCTTCAATGGCTCCCCAGAGTTTTCAGTCTAATTCCAAACTCATAACTCAGCACACCAGGCCTTGATTCTTAGAGCATGGTCTCTGGAATCACCTGCATCAGAATTAGCACCGCCTCTACCCCCCATTCCCAGCTTGCTAACACTGAAGGTTCTGACTGGGAAGATCGGGGGTGGGTCACAGGAATCAGCATGTATGATAAGCACCCCAGGGGGGTTAAAATGTATTGGTAGGGGGAAATTAGCTCCTACCACACAGGGTAAAAAATCCGAACAAAGGCTGGGTGTGGTGGCTTACGCCTGTAATCCCAGCACTTTGGGAGGCTGAGGCGAGAGGATCGCTTGAGCCCCGGAGTTGGAGGCTGCAGTGAGCTATGATTGTGCCACTGTACTCCAGCCTGGGCAACACAGCATGATTCTATCTCAAAAAACAAGCAAAAAACCTCCCAAACAGTAGAAAAGAAACATCTGCTGCAACTTTCTCCTTGCTACCTCCCAAGTCACCTCCCTGGAAGCACCAGGTTCCAGAGACACTGGTTCCAGAGGTGGTGCATTTCCAAGCCCATGCATATATAGACATGTGTTTGAGGACAGGGCCAGGCCAGGTGATGCTGAAAGCCCAGTGAAGCCAGAGAAAGGCTGCACCAGGGCCTCTGGGGTGTGTCCTCATTACCTCTGTAACCTCCATCTGTGCTCCCCACCTGAACCCCCTGCCACAATCCAGCCTTGCTGGACGTGCCCCAGCTCAGCCATTGAGAATGCTGCCCCCAGTCTGTGTGACTTGCCTCAAGTGCTTCTCTTTGCTGAGAGAGCCTTTTTTCCTGTTTTGTTGCCCAGAGAATGCCTATTTATCCTTCAAGACCTAGTTCAAGTGCCTCCTCTTCCAGGGAGCCTTCCAGCCCCACTCTGTGCCCTCATTCTGGGTTCTCTGCAATTCCACATTCGCTGACACCCAAATGAATATGCTTTCCTGCTTCCTGTTTCTGTGCCCCCACCGGACAGTGAGCCCACTGAGGGCCAGGGCCATTCTTGTCCCCTGTTGAATTGCTGAGTTCCAGTACAGCACATGTAGTACACAGATACTCCGTAAGTGGTGTTTATCAGATGTCTACTTAGAAGGCATTCTGTCTCACTTTTCCTTTTTGCAGTTTGGAAATCCATCCCACAATGCTCCTCAGCCTCACCCAGGTTCTCCCGCTTCTTGGTGCTCCAAAAGGGGCTGGTGGCGGTGGGAGAGAGGACTCTGTGCAGAAGCCATAAAGAGAACGCTCTCTTCTTGAGTCACACGGGGGAAGTGGCCCTCAACTCCCAGCACATGTGGCTGAGAGGACTCAGAGGGGACTCACGTCACTGGGCTGGGGAGACTCAACCTCAAATTTCCCTTCCAGGGGGTTGCCCTGCTGGTGGCAGGTGAGCAGGGACAGGCTTGGTGGAGTATTCCTGGCAGAAGCAATGTGCCAGGCCTGCCTCCTCCCCACCCGTGCAGCGGGAGCAGGTGGCCCGGCTGCAGGGAGGGGGTAGGGAGACCCAAGAGAGGGAGGGGCATGGGAGAGGAAATTGAAAAAACAGAGTGGGGCTTGGGGGTGTGCGGCCAGCCAGGCAGTTGTTTAACAAGTAAATGTGCCGGGCACGCTAATGAGCTGCGCTCATTCATGGCGAGCCGCCTCCTGAATTGGGGAGCTGGCCAGGTTCTGGGGTGGAGGAACCAGGGACAGGAGCCAAGCTGGGGAGCTGCCCGCTGCTTGGGCAGGGCCCCCTGTGATGGGCTGCTGGGGGAGTCTTTGTCCTGGGTCTGGGGGGCTCCTTCCTTCCCTCCCTTCAGAGGAAAAGCCAGGCTTTGCCAGGCAGCAGCAACTCAGCCCAGGGCCTGCTTGGGATTCACTGTCCAGGCTGGTCTGGAAGCTTCTAGGGCAGGGGCTGGTTCTCAGGAGCCATAGGCAGGGCTGATCTTGCACCCCTGCTCACTCCCACCCTTCCTCATACCCCTTCACTCTGTCACTCTGAGGACCTAGGGGCATGTCGCCTGGCTAATCAACACTCTCTCCCTTCTCCACATGGGTCTTGGCTTCCAAGGGGCCCTCCGAGGTCCTGGGACCAGGGAGCTACTGCTGGAGCAGAAGGCTGGAGACATCTTCAACAGCCTGAGTGCTGTCTGTGACAGGCCTACTAAGTGCCAGGTGCTGGGGTGTGTGTCTGGGTGAGCGAGTGAGGATGCCAGGGGGTGGGCAGGGGTGTGGAGAAGCAGCTGCAGGTACTAAGAGGGGATAAACAAAGCAGCGGGCATGGAGGAATGTCACTCTGAGGCTGCGGGGAGAGCATGGATAGAGGGGCTGGGGCCCCATGGAGCAGGAGCTGGTGAGCTGCAGGGCAGGGGCAGCCCTCTCAGACTCCGGCCTGGTTTGTGGGAAGCTTCCCTAATATCCCACCACACAGGCACCCCTGAGAAAGCCCTGCCCCCTGAGAAACTGAACTTATGCTCAAGAACCCACTTACCGGATGGAGGTCATGGACAGGGATGTGTGAAAACTTTAAAAGAACTGTCAAAAGCCCATAAAATCAGCCACCTAAATTGTAACATACTGTGCTATGACAGTAGAGAGACTGCAAAATTCTCATCAACATGGAAAAGAAAAGCAAAGAAAACGCCTGAGCCTTGGGTACCTGGTGGGTGATAAGGCTTCAACCTTGTGGAGTCTATCAACCTCCCCTATCCCCACCCTGCCCGACACTCTCCCCACCAAATGCGTCCATGCTGTGTCTGGACCCAGGCCGCTCCTGAGACGGGAGGTGCTTCTCGGGCTACCCAGCTGTGTCCTCTTGCCAAGCAGCCTCACGTCAAGGCCCCGACTGCTGGACACTGCCCCAGCGAGCCACAGCTGTCCTTGGCGTTGAGGAGATCTTTCGTCTTTTCTGGGGTTGAGGAGAATTCTCTCCCCACCTGGATGTCCCGTTCACACCCACGTCCACACATGCCTTACGGTGACGAAGGTCCCTACCCAGCCGGGTGTGAGGCCTGGGTCTGACGGGGCTGGCCTGTGGGGTTCTCTCCCAAGCAGGCCGCCCAGCGCTATGCCAGCCCTCTCTGTCTCCTTTGATGTCAAGATGGAATATTCATTTTCATCTGTTTCCACCTGTCAGAAATGGAGGAACGCTGGTGTGAGTGGAGGAAGACGTTTGCCAGATTTCCAAGTCCCCTTAATGTCTGTCCCTCTCTTCTACAACGGGGGAAGAAGCCCGTGTAACTGTATGGTACAAATACGCCCTGCTGAGCAAGTGTTCCAATCAGAGCCATTCTCATCCTGGGCATGCGGCTAGCTTGTTCCCCTCTGAGAAGTGGGTGCATTGAGGTAGGAAGGAGACTGTACTCCGCCTAGCGCTTTCGTGGACCCTCCCCCCCGACAAAGCTCCATCCTCAAAGTCCAGGCTAAGTAAGGTTGGTGGCTTGAGGATGCTACCTGGGGCACAGGCACAGGGTTTCCCTTAACCAAGAATTGACACAGCGAGTCGGGTGGGGCCGAGAGGCCGCTGCTGCCGTCGGGGGATGGGGGGAAACGGGTCTGACTCCCCGGGAAGGCGTCCAAGCGGCAAAATAAGATCTCCCTCCCACCCTGGACTAGCAGCTGGGGCCGCGGGTGCCGGGGTGCGTGCGTCTAAATGTGCGCATCCTCGCCGTGTGTGTGTGTGTGTGTGTGTGTGTGTGTGTGTGTGTGTGTGTACAGCCAGGACTTGGCGGGTCGAGTCACACCCCCTTCCCTCTTCTCCCATCCCCCGCAGCCCCGTGCCCGCTGACGGCGCCTCGGAGGTTCCACCTTTGAAACTGTAGGCGGCTTGCAGCCGCTGAGTGGTCGTCGGGAGAGGGGGGCTGCGGCGGGGGAGGGCGGGGAGGAGCCTGGCCCTGGATGTGTGCTTTTCGATTGATGGATGACTGCCGGGTGGGAGCGAGCGCGCGGGTGTGTGTGTGATCGTGTGTGTGTGTGTGGTGTGTGCGCAGGGTGCGTGCGCGCGCGGGGCCTGCCCATTTTCCTCCTCGCAGCAGTCAGTTGGGAGCTGGAGGGAGGGAGAGGGAGACGCAGGCGGCGAAACGGCAGAGGAGCCGAGCCCCCTCCGCCCAAGGCGCCCTCCCTCCGTCCGCGCACAGGCGCCGTCGCTTGGAGGAGCAAGGTGCCTCCCAGCCCGCAGGGGCGCCGCGCGCAAGCCCGCGGGCTCTTCGGTGGCTCTGCCCCGGGACTGCACCTGGAGGCGGCCCCGGACGGGGATGGTCAGCGGCTGCTGCCGTCTGGCTCGCGAGCGGGACGCTGTGAGGGCACCATGGCGCTGACTCCCGGGTGGGGGTCCTCGGCGGGGCCGGTCCGGCCGGAGCTCTGGCTGCTGCTGTGGGCAGCCGCGTGGCGCCTGGGTGCCTCGGCGTGCCCCGCCCTCTGCACCTGCACCGGAACCACGGTGGACTGCCACGGCACGGGGCTGCAGGCCATTCCCAAGAATATACCTCGGAACACCGAGCGCCTGTGAGTATGGTCCCCGCCCCTGGCTCCCTGGCTCCGAGGTTGCCCTCCCACCCAGACGCAATTCCGGACTTGGGGGTGGGGGCAGGACCATTGGGGCCCGTCCGGGCTCCGCAGCCCACAGACGGGTCAGTGCCTGCCGGGGTCTTTCCCGAGCCAGGAGCCAGGAGCGCCGTGGTTTCCCCATCCCTGGGATTCAAAGGGCCCTCGGCGGGGTTGTCAGCTTCCGTCCTCACACCTGCACCCTGCACCCTGCACTCCGCACCCTCAGGCCCTCCTCACTGCGCCAGCGCTTTATTCCTCCAGGGTGCCTGCGAACTGGTGTCAGAAAGCCTTCCTTGCACCCAGGAGGGACACTTCCCACACTCGCCAAGCACAATGTCTCCTTTTGGGCACATGGGGCTACGGCCGCGTTCTGAGCCAGCTGCGCAGATTCCCGCTCCCAGAGCTTGCTCCTGACGAAGGGCAGCAGGGTGGGATGGAGGCGAAGTTTCTGGTCTGCCCCTTCTTCTCCATTGTTTGCCCCAGAGCCTTGAGAATTCTTCCCCTGCAGGTGCCACGCGTTGGTCCCCTACTCACCCGCCTCCCTCCACACCCAGCCATCCCCAACACAGGCAGACAATGGGACCTGAGGGCTTTGGGTATGGGGCTTGGGGTATGTAACATTCAGCACCCGAAAAGGGGCAGGTGTGTCTTGGATGGAGAACCCGGTGGATAATGCCAAGAAGTCAGGAGCTTGGAGAGGGGGGCCCAAGGTTAAAGATATTGACCATGACAAGTAATAAAAAAATAGCATTTCTCTTCCCCTGTTCTGTCTCACTTGTGAATTCTTGAGGAAACTTGATCCTTTTCTTTTCTAGACCCAGTAAGCTAGTAGAATGTGTGTGTGTGTGTTTGGGTGTGTTTGAGTGTGTGTATTTACAGACCTTTATACTTTGTTTTCTGTGACTCTCCTGCAGAATGTGTTTCTGTGTGAATTCCTAGTATTAAGGGGCCACCTTAATAGCGTGAGGCCATGAGAGTCCCCGTAATGGGCTGTGTGTGTGTAGATTTTGGTCACATGCAGGGCCTTTGTACTGCTCGCAGAGGTGACTACACCAGGAGATTTTTGAACAGGGCTTTGGAGAAGGCTGCTGGCTCCTTTGAAACCTACCTACTCCTCCTTCCCACACTCCTCGGTGACTGCAGTGGCTCTCAGGAAAGGTGTGCATATTTTGATAACTTTCGAGCACATTTTCATGGCCCCCAGCTGGTCAGAGACAGAAATCTGACCCTGAGGAGAGCTGTCTCCCGAATCAGACTCTGTACCAAGGCCAGCAATTAGTGAGCACACATTTGCCCCAGACTCTTCTTGGCTGCATCTGAAAAATTCCCGTGGAGGTTTTAGAGAATTTGCAATCTAGATGCAATCTAGATGGGAAGTGTGTGTGTGTGTGTGTGTGTGTGTGTGTGTGTGTGTGTGGTGCATGTGTATGTGTGTGTGTGAATGCTTGTGTGTTACAGGGCTGGGGAGAGGTGGTACCAAACTGAGTTTCTGTGGGCAGCGTGTGCATTATCCTGTGTGGACCCAGAGAGGATCTGAGGGTCAGAAATCTGTCCAGAGGACCCCCGCAGTGGCCTGGTCACCCTCCATGCCTGTCCCCTCTGTACCTGCTCCCTGCTCCCCTTGCCTTGTCCACTGGAGTTTCTCCTGAAGCTGCTACCCTGGTTGCAGCCTAGATCTAAGACACATTAGCCCTTCTTCTTTGCTTTTGAATCTTGAGTCTTAAAGTCATCTCCTCCCTCTTTACTCTCTCACCACCTTTAGTGTTTAAGACTTCCATGAACTCTTTAGCTCTTTTGTGATCAGAGTGAGATGAAAATGAAATTTCCTAGTACAGAGGAAAGAGGTGGCATTCTGGGAGCTATACTGCCTGGTTCCCCAGCTCTGTCACCTATTAGCTGTGTGACCTTGGGCAAGTTACTTAACTTCTCTGAACCTTAGTTGCTTTCCATCAGGAAAATGGGGCTGAGGCTACATAAGGTCTCTGGTTCTTGTGAGGATGGAAGATCATGTATGGGAATTGCCTGGTACCTTCTGATGCTCGCTAAACGAGAGCCATTATTATGATAGGATAGGGAGGGGAATCTCATTATTTTAATTCAGCAAATGTTTCGGAGCCAGGAACTGCCCTGGGTGCTGAGGCGTCAGCAGGGAGTGAGCCCATCCCTGTCCTCAAGGGGCACATGGTCTAGAGAACTGGGCAGAGGACCTCTAATGGTGAGCTCTCAGGAGAGGGCCAGGCAGCCTCAGGGAACGGACTGTGGGAACACTGGGGTGAGAAGCCCTTTTCCAGGGTGAAGGGGTTTCTCAGAGGATGGGCCACTTTATCAAGGTTGGTTTGGATTTTGCCAAGCACAGAGGGCAGGCAATCTAGGCAGAGGGAACAGCTGGGCTCCAGGCCCAGCACATTCTGCTGCTTGTCAGGTCATGGGGCCTGCTTTCTTGCAGACGTCTTTTTTTTTTTTTCCTTTTTTGTAGAGATGAGGATCTGGCTATATTGCCCAGGCTGGTCTCAAACTTCTGGGCTCAAGCAATCCTCCTGCCTCCGCCTCCCAAAGTGTTGGGATTACAGGCGTGAGCATAAGCAAAAAGCCAGCAGGTGTGAGTATGAGCCAAAAACCTGCGGGTGTAAGCATGCCTGGCCCGATATGGGCAGATGGACCAGCTTGTCCCTGGGGCTGAAACATGCTCTGGCCAGTGGCCAGTGGGTGGGATGGGACTTGAGGCTGGAAAGAGATGTTGGGAAGGGTCAGGAAGACTTTCTATATGTGAACTTTTCCTCTGGGAACTTCCTAGTTGGAAGCCAGGGGTGAGTTATCCTGGGGAAGTGGAGCAGGTCTGATCTTTGCCATGTGGGCAAAGCTTCCTGGACTGGGAAAGCGCAGGGAGCCCGCCTGTTCTCCAGGCAGCCCGTGAAAGAGCTGCTCAAAGAGGAAAAGAACATCTTGAAAGAGGCCTTGGTGAGAGCCCAGGCAGACTCAAAATAACTGTGGCAAATGCTCTCTCTAATCAATATGAGTGTTGTGCAGTATCAGAGCCTGAAACAGTGGCTTCTTCTGAGGCTGTGAAATTTTTATGGACTGCAGCTGTGCATTTGCCTTTTGTCCTTTGGGCAGTTTCTGCGGCAGCCTGCGAGGCCCAGCAACTTTATGATCATATATTCTATAACTCTGGGTCCAGGCCTGTCCCCCGAAATGGAAAGAAATGGTCATTGGTTTGCTGTGGGGACTTCTGGAAAGAGGTTGGGTAGGCCCCAGAGCTGCTGAGGAAATTGGTTCAGCCAGAGGGGCTGTGGGGCTGGTCAGCTGGGCAGGGAAGGGATGCTAAATAATTCACTGTAATGAACAGTTAAAATACAGAGCCAGGGCTGGGAGAGGTGGCGGAGGCGGCCCGGGAAGCTTCCTTTCTTTGTACTGCCCAGGCGCAGAGAGACCCAGCCATGGTCACCATTAAGTTATTTTTTTCTTCCACAACGACCTTGACTTTCAGTTGGACTTGGTTTTTAATTTAAAAAATCTTTTGAGTGTCCAGGAGAGTGTGACAGGAGAGTGCAGTATGTGTGGACATCGCTGGTTCCCCCAGCCCTGGGCATCCTGGGTATTTGAGGTTTGTGGAAGGTTCCCCTTGTGCAGAGAGGGTAAGTTGTCCGAGGATGGAGGGAGGCAGGCAGGGCCTCTGGGAAGGCCTACTGTTCTCTCTTTGCCTCCAGGCCCAGCACATTCTGCTGCTTGTCTGGTCTTTTTTTTTCCTTTTTTGTAGAGATGGGGATCTAGCTATGTTGCCCAGGCTGGTCTCAAGCTTCTGGGCTCAAGCAATCCTCCTGCCTCAGTCTCCCAAAGTGCTGGGATTACAGGCATGAGCCACCATGCCCAGCCTTGCCGTCCTCCTTATGTGCCCTTCCCTCCTTGCCAGTTCGTCCACCCTGCCCTATCTCCATGCCTGCTGTAGAGGCCTGGGAGGCCCTCTCTAGACTCAACTCCCTGAGCTAGAGGTCCCATTTAACAGGGCTGAGTGGTCACGCATAAGGAAGGCTGCCCAGGGCACCTGAGGCTGATCCTCTGGGGAGCCTGTTTGAAATTCCAAATAATAATTGGATGGTGACCTTGGTAAATGAGGTCAGGGGCCACTGCAGCCACATCTGCCATCAGGGCCCGATTGGATCTGAGCAGGCCACCATGGTCTCCTGCAGCAGAGGCCTGCGCTGTGTAGGGGAGGTGCCTCCCTGCAGGGCAAGAGTCTCCTGCTTGCTTAGGCTTTGGTGTGGTCACTGGCCCACTGGCTTATTGCTGGGCTCTGAATGACTGGTGTTAGGACCCCCGTGCCGTGCCTCTCCCTGCTCTGAGACCCAGTTTCCCCATCTGTAAAACGGGACGACGACAGCTGTGCAGGTTGATAGTGAGGAGTAAGTGAGGCAGCGTGCCACGCTTGGTAAGTGGCTGGTGTTCGCCCTTCTCTCGGCCTCTGGGGCTGATAACACCTACTACCTCAAAGGGCCTGTGCACTCACTCATGCTACAGTTGTGAAAATGCTTTGTGATTCAATCATTAGGATATTATTGTTATTATTTGGGAAGCTCAAGCTAGAGGCTCGAGGGTTTGGGTGGGGCAGAAGAGAGCTCGGGAGGTAAGGATTTGAGTGTTGCCTCTCTTGCAGTCTGTCTGCTTAGAGCGCAGTCTGTCTGTTTAGAGCGCTCATTTACCTTTCCTGGGCATCTCTGCCCCTTTCCCTTGGGATGTGGAGACAGAGTGGGGACTGTATGCAGGGCGGATGGTCGTGATGGGAGGGCTGTGAAGCCAGACTGCCTAGGTTTTTAGCCCCACTCTGCCACTCAGCAGCTGGCGGGGCCTTGGGCAAGTGATGGGGTTTAATTCCCTCATTCAACAGATAGCTATCTATTGAACGTCTGCATTGTGCCGGGTGAATAGTGCTGGACAGAAACAGAAACCCGAGTTTTAGTCCAGCAGGGGAGATAGAGATGAATGACATAGTATAAGAATAAGCACATAACTGCAAGCTGGGATAAGTGCTCTGGAGGAAAGGGCGACTTCTCAGAACCCCCATTTCCTTGCCCATAAAGTGGGGATGATGATAGGGCCTGCTCCAAAGGGTGGTCATGAGGATTAAATGCGGTAATGCTCGCAGGAGCGCTTTGCACAGGGCCTGGCAGACAGCGAGTGCTCAATAAATGGTAGTATTATTATTGTTATTAAGGTGACAGAGAATTGCAGGGATGTGAAGGAAATTTGGGCGTCACGCTGGATCCCAGGGTGGCCCTCCTCTTCGCCATCAGGCAGCCGCTGGGAACCCTGGAGCACAAGGGGAGGGGCTGATCTTCCTCGGTGCCCCTTCTTGGGCGGGGCGGGCTGTCGGTGGCCCAGGCTGCCCGAGGCTGCCAGCAGGGGCGGCCGTGCTCTTTTGGGGCTGGGCGGCTCCTGCATTATTGGGAGCAGACGGGTGCTTGGCGGAGTTGCCGCCTCCAGTTCTGTGCCGGCATTAGCAGCTCGGCGGGGCTCTTGCTTAATGGGATTTTCTTCCCAAATCCTGTAATTATCGCCATACAAATACTTATTACCCAGAGCAGATGATGGCCAGGCCTTGGGCAGTAGCCAGGGAGCTGGGCTGTGCCGGGGGGCGGGGAGGGTGTGGAGAATTGGCTCCTCTTTTTGACGGAGCTCATGACCCCCTCCTCTCCTTTCTGGAACCCAGCCTGTGGCGGACAGACAGCTGTTGGGCACCTGCAGGGTGCATAGCGTCGTTGAGAGAGGCCTGAGGAGCTTTTGGCCTGGTGAGGGAGAAAGAACAAAAGTGTAAGGATGTCCATAGAGACGAGGAGCACAGTGGCTACCAGCCCAGGCTTCAGTACGAGAATGGCCCAGTTTGAATCCTGGCTTCATCACCTACCGAGAGATCTTAGACAATTCACTAGTGACTCAACTTCCTCATCTGTAAAATGGGACCAGTGACAGCATTTACCTCATAGGGCTGTGAAGTTAAGATGAGATGATTTTTTTGAGACGGGATCTCACTATGTTCCCCAGGCTGGTCTCAAATTCCTGGGCTCAAGTGATCCTCCCACTCAGCCTCCCAAGTAGCTGGAACTACAGGCATGCATCACCATGCCCACCTAATTTCTTAGTTTTGATAACTGTCCATGGTTATGAAAGAGGTTAATGCTAGGGAAAGCTGGCTGAAGGCAGCAAGAATAAAGATTAATAATTAGAATAGAGTAATGCCTGGCACATAGTCAATGCCCCATCAGCATGGAGATGAGGCTGATGAGAGTCGCTAGATGGGAGTGAGATGGGGAGGAGGGATTGAATTGTTGTTGTGTTGTGGAGGTAGGGTTTGAACTGGGGCTTAAAGGCTGGGCAAGACTTAGGTTAAGTAGCGAGGCGAAGCGAGGGTAAGGGAGTTTGGGAGCATTCAGAAGGTAAGTGCCATGTATTTGGGAAGGAGAGTGAGAAGCAAAACCCCCTGAGGGGCGACGATTTGTGTTGGTGAGTTCTGGGAGAGGAGATTAAAGAAATTTAACTTTTTGTTAAATTTTAAAAAACAAATAAATGATTTTTAATAAACTTATGGACTTGTGCAAACATCACAATCCAATTTGCTTTATCATAATCACACACACACACACACACACACACTTTCTCTCTCTCTCTTCTCTCTATCGCACACACTCATAGGTAATTTTTTTTCTGAACCTTTTAAGAATAGCTTGGAGACGTTGAAACTTTTTTCCTTTAAATATTTGGTGGGTGTTTTCTAAGAACCACAAGGCTATCAACATCAGAAAATTAAACATCGGTGCAAAACTATTCTCTACTCCAGAATTCACATTCAGTTTTCATCAATTGCTCTGATAATGTCTTTCATGGCTATTTTTTCCCAGGTCCACAATCCTGCCAGGATCGCACATGGCATTTAATGGTCATGGTCTTTAGTCTCCCTTAATTTGGAAGAGCTCCTCAGCCTTTCTTTGTTTTCCTTGACCTGGACATTATTGATGTATGCAGGCCGGTTATTTTGCAGAACGCTCCTCAGTTTGGCTTCATCTGATCTTTCCTCACAATTACATTCAGATTATGCATTTTTGCAGGGAATGCCAAATAATGACTCCATGTCCTTCCTGGTGCAACATGTCAGAAGGCACGTGATGTCAGTTTGTGCCAGTATTGGTGATTTTATCTTTAATTACTTGATAAGTTGATGTCTGCCAGGCTTCTCTGCTGAGAGGTAGTTGTTTTCTTCTTTGGTATTAACGGGTAATTTGTCAGGGGGATTGTCTGAAGCTGGGTACATATTCTGTTTCTCATCAAGCTTTCATCCCCCGAGTTTTAGCATTCATTGATGATTTTGCAACTCCATCATTTGTTCTCTATTAGTTGGCTTTCTACTCTAAGAAAGAACTTTCCCTTCTCCCTCATCTGTTTTTTTGTTTGTTTGTTTGTTTGTTTTTTTGAGATGGAGTTTTTGCTCTGTTGCCCAGGCTGGAGTGCGGTGGCACAATCTCGACTCACTGCAACCCCCACCTCCCGGGTTCAAGTGATTCCCCTGCCTCAGCCTCCTGAGTAGCTAAGATTACAGGCACCTACCACCATGTCTGGCTAATTTTTGGATTTTTAATAGAGACGAGGTTTCACCATGTTGGTTAGGCTGGTCTCGAACTCCTGACCTCAGGTGATCCACCCGCCTCAGCCTCCCAAAGTTCTGGGATTACAGGCGTGAGCCACCGCGCCCGGCCTGATTTCCTTCTTTTTTTATGGTTTCATAGTACTCTGTGGTGTATATGTACCATATTTTCTTTATCCAATCCGCCGTTAATGTCCTGCCGCCACCTTGACTTTAACATGGTTAGACTGATTTTGGACTTCTAACTTCCAGAACTGAAAGATAATACATTTGTGTTACTTTCAGCCACTAGCATATGGTAATTTGTCATAGGAAGCTACTACAGTCATAGAATTCAAAGCTATTGCAGAGGCCAAGATACGAGGGGAAGTGGGTCTGGACCAAGGCAGAGAGAGCTGAGAGAGTAAGTGGGAACGGCGTGGCAGACTCTGATGCTCGAGTCTGAGAGAGTGATCTTGGGACAGGAATAAAGCTGGAAAGGGCGACTGGTCCTGGAGGAGAAGCTGTGGATTTGGCTTTTGCCTGTTTTCTTTGAATTGCCACTAAAAATCTATGTGAAAAAGATGGCCCCAGAGGTCATGATGGGGAAGGTTACTCTGGAGAGTATTCAGGTTGGAGAGAGAGATGGGGGGACCTCAGGGGAAGCGCTTCAACCTATGAGGGCAGTGGAACAGAAACTTTGGTGGGAATAAGGATCTCCTGGGAGGCCGGTACAAAATGCGGATTCCCAGCCCATCCTAGAGGTGCTGGCTCTGTAGCTCTTCAGCAAGGCGATTCCGGTGATTTGGATTCTGGAGTGCCCAGGGCACAGTTTAAGAAATACTGCTTGGTGCTGGGATTTCCTGGAGAAGAAAGCACATCCTTCGAGGACTCACACACATTAGCTCCCACCCACATTAGAGGGCAGGAGGAAGGGAAGGTGTTGAAGGAAGAGATAGTGGAGAGGCGGGAGGAACTCCTATCCTGTGTTTGACAGTGGAGAGCAGTGGCTACACGTTTGTGGATTTGAACCTGGGCCGAGGAATCATTGCAAAGGCCAAAGGAGGAGTTTGGTGAAGAGGAGGAGGGTTAGCAGTGTGGAGAGCATTCAGTCCGTCTGAGGAGGAGGGTTAGCAGTGTGGACAGCATTCAGTCTGTCTGAGGAGGAGGTCCAAGGAAAGCTTCTGGAACTCGAGATCGGGGTCACTGGTAAAGTGGGCAGAGCAGTTTCCTGGGAGAAGCGGAAGGCAGGAGGCAGATGGCCGGCAGCAAGTAGGTGGTAAGGAAGTTTGCAGAGGAGAGGACAGGCATGGGAGCTCTGAGGGGGAGCAGGCTCAGGAGAGAGTTGCCTGCAGCATAGAGGCAGGTGGACTGGAGTCTCTTGGGGAGGGAAGGAGGGAGCCAGGGGTCTTGGGGAATGTGGGAATGGGGAGGGCTGGCAATGGGCCAGAGAAGGACAGAGGCAGAGAGAGGTGAGAGGGAGTTTTGATGGTGGCTGTGGTCGTGGTCGTGGCTTAGAGCTCCTCCCTCTCGCCAGCCTCAAAGGAGCTGCTTTACCTGAGTTCCTTCTTTTACTCCTCATAACACTCCTGGGAGGAAGGTATTACTCACCTCTGCTTTGCAGGTGAGGAGAAGGTTCAGAGAGATGGAGCCATCTGCCCAGGGTTGAACAGCAGGCTGGTAAGTGGTAAGCTGAGATTCCCTGAGTCTTGAGGCTCTGAGACGTGCCTGTGTTTAGTTTTTAAATTTGACTTCTGCTCTATAGTCTTAATGAGGCCTGACTTCATTCACTCATTCATTCATTATTTGCCAGATATTCATTCAGCATCTATAAAACACCTGCCAGTTTAGCACTGGGGCTGTAAAGGCAAATTGGCCATGATTGATTCCTGCCTGCACATGTTTGCTGGGTGCACCCATGTTGCAGGCTGGTATAGGGAGTGAGGTGTCTGGTCTGGGGGTGGAGCGTGGTGAGCAGAGTTGGGCAGATTCAGGGAGGTGGTGGTGCAGGCGGAGGTCAGTGGCGGGTGGCCTCCCAGGGGCCTGCATGGATAGAGAGCATGGAGGCCTAGGGGCTGTCAGTGGGGCCCTGGCTGCAGGGCTGTGGTTTGGGGGTAGGTCCCAGACCTGGGAAGGGGATTGGCAAGAGCAAGGCAGGGCCTCAGAAGTGAAGGGACTGGGGTGCACTTTGGGCCTCAGGACAGAATCCTATGGAGTTGGGATTAAGAGCTGGGCCGTGACTACCTCACACCCACTCGGATTGCGACTGTCAAAAGAACAGAAAATATCAAGTGTTGACGAGGATGTGCACGCTGTTGGTGGGGATGTGAAACGGTGCAGCTACTATGGAAAACAGTATGGCGGTTCCTCAAAAAATCAACAGTAGAATCACCATATGACCCAGCAATTTCACTTCAAAGTAAATACCCAAAAGAACTGAACACAGGGTCTCAAAGAGATATGTGTACACCTATGTTCAAAGTGGCATTATTTACAATAGCTAAAATGTGGAAGCAAGCCACATGTCCACCAACAGATGAAGGGATAAACAAAATGTGATCTATATATATAGAATAGAATATGATTCAGCCTTAAAAAGGAAGGACATTCTGACACATGCTACAACATGGATGACCCTTGAGGACATTGTGCTGGGTGAAAAAGCCAGTCATAAGATGACAAACACTGTATGATCTCACTTATCTGAGTTACCCAGAGGAGTCACATTCAGAGACAGAAGGTAGAAGAGCAATTGCCAGGGACTGGTGGAGAATGGGGGAACTCTGTAGCATAGAGTTGCACTTTGCAGATGAAAAAGTTCTGGAGATTGGTTTGCACAACAATCTGAATATATACATTTTAAAGTAGTACAGTACACTACAGAACTATCCACTTAAGGATTAAGATGGTACATTTTATATTATGTATATTTTTACCACAATTAACAACTAATTATTATTATTATTTTTTTAAAAAGAGCTGGGTCCTGGGGTCAGATGTGCCAGAGCTCAAGTCCTGCTCCTCAACCAGCTGGGTGACCTGAAACAGGTCATTTAAACTCTTTAGGCCTCAGTGCCCTCATCTGTCAGTCAAGACTGACAAGGAGCCTCTGAGCCAGGTACTACTGCGAGGCTTAAATGAGCTGGCTTGGTTGGGATACTACTGTAGCAATTGCTATTTCTCCAGCCAAGGAAACAAGATGGGTCCCCAGGAGCCCAGGCGCAAGGGTGGAGTGGATCGGCAGCAAATGGGCCCTGGCATGGGGTCCCTGCCTCCTCCTCCTTGGGGCTTCCCCACTGGTCACATGTCAGAGGGTGGTCCCAGGCTGGAGTTGGTGTCTGGCTGTGGCTCAGCCTGGTGGGTTGGAGGACTGGGATGCTGGGAGCCCTGGCTCCTCACCTACTAAGGCCTGAGGATGTGGGGAAGGCCCAGCTGGCTGACGGGAGTGCGTGCAAGGCCTTGAGTATGGTATGCCAGCAGCCCCTAGGCTCAGTGGGCAGGGTTGCTCTGGCAGCCTATATTCAGTGAGCACCTACTATGTGCCAGGTATCCTCACAGGTGCCGGGGATACAGCAGTGAGCAAACCAGCTGTGGCCTCTCCCCTCACAGGTAGCTGGGAGACTGGCCTTAGGCAAAGGACCTCCTATTGACCCACAACTCCGATGGCAGTCCGAGCTCCAGAGGAGATAAGTGGGCACCTGGGGAAGCTGGTTTAGAAGAGGGCGTTTGACTGGAGGCCTGAAGCCTGTTCAGACAGGGAGCCTGGTGCATGTGCTAGGGGCAGGGGAAGAGCTTGCTGAGCTCTAGGCTGCTCCAGGCCAGAAGGAAGCGCTGATATTGAAGGGAACGGAGGAGCAGAGTGGAAGCCCTGCTGCTGAGGGGCTGGTATTTTCCTATTAAAGGGCTGAGGAATAATTATTCTTCTACCCCCTGGGCCAAGGCAGGCTGGCCAGAGGCCTTCGCCCTTCAGGAGCCCCAGCTACCCTTTCCTTGGGGTCAGATTCTGTGCTCACTCTGCCCTTCTGGGCTGAGGTCTCCAGGACTTCAGAGTCCTCCGATACCTGCCAAGTCTTGCAGCTGCGCTCAGGGATCCCTCTGTGACCCCCTCCTTCCCCATCAACCTCACATCCTGGAAACCCCAGGCTGTACCCATTGGGGCCTCAGGCCCTCTGCCTCACCGCTGCTTGAGGCCAACGCTGGCTTTGCTCAGATCCTCGTCACCCCCACTTGAGCCTGGGAGGTCAAGGCTGCAGTGAGCTGTGATCATGCCCCTGCACTCTAGCCTGGGCAACAGAGTGAGACCCTGTGTTAAAAAAAAAAAAAAAAAAAAAAGGATGGAGCTGGGATTCCAGCCCAGGCCTGTGCCTGCAAGACCTGAGTTATTTGGCCCAAGCACTGAGCCACTTGGATTGGCTTCCCAGCTCTGCCACTCAACCTGTAGGCTCCATTTCCTCATCTGTAAGGTGATGTGAAAGATGCCTACTTCCAAGAGATGTTGTGAGAAGCATGTGGAGCTCATGTTTATGAAGGAGCCAGGCCCGTGCTGCCCCATGGAAGGGACCTGCCCCGTTCCACCGGCTACCCTGGCTCTCCTGAAGCCTGAGACCGGCCCTGAGCAGGAGGAAGACAACCCATCCTTTCCTCTTTCCTCCTGAGGGTGTCTGGAATCACCCAGCTTCTCACTTAGCAGCTTGGACCCTAAGGACGCTATTTCCTTGCTCATATTGGGCTCACTTATGAGAATGGAAGGACCTGGAAGAGAGGAGGTCGTTGGTAACATGGGAGCATCCTCTGCGTGTGGAGCTTTTTTGGGGTGATGTCCATTTGGGGAGAACATTTATTTCTTTTCCTCTCTCTCTCTTTCTAAACTTCTCTCTCTCTCTCTCTCTCTCCCTCCTTCCTTTCTCTCTTTCTTTCTGTTTTTCTTTTTCTTTCAACAGGGTCTTGCTCTCTTGCCCAGGCTGTAGTACAGTGGTGCAATCATAGCTCATTGCAGCCTCAACCTCCTGGGCTCAAGTGATCCCCCCACCTCAGTCTCCCAAGGAGCTGAGATTACCACGCCTGGTTAATTAAAATAAAATTTTCTTTGTTGAGACAGGGTCTTGCTATGTCACCCAGGATGATCTCAAGCAATTCTCCCCACTTGGCCTCCCAAAGCACTGGGATTATAGGAGTGAGCCAGCACGCTTGGCTGGGGAGAGCATTTCTTAATGTGTGTGTGTTTTTATTTTCGGAGTAGGGAAACAAAGAAACATGGAAAACCCACTCAACTAATGCTATTTAAACTGTCAATTTTAATGCAGATTCTTTCCTGCATTCAAGAAATCCTTACTGAAACATCTATCATGTGCCATGTTCTGTGTTGCACCCTGGGGGTACAATAGTGAGAAAACACGGTCTGTGTCCCCAGGGAGCTTCTAATCTCATGTGGAGGCTGGGACATCAGTCAGGGAATCCCCCAAATCAATATAAATTGGCTCTGGCTGGGGGAGGTGGCTCATGCTTGTAATCCCAGCACTTTGGGAGACAGAGGCAGTTGGATCACTTGAGGTCAGGAGTTGGAGATCAGCCTGGCCAACATGGTGAAACCCTGCCTCTACTAAAAATGCAAAAAAATTTAGCTGGGTATAGTGGTGGGTGCCTGTAATCCCAGCTACTTGGGAGACTGAGGCATGAGAATAGCTTGAACCTGGGAGGTGGAGGTTGCAGTGAGCTGAGATTGCACCACTGCACTCTGGCCTGGGTGACAGAGCAAGACACTGGCTCGAAAAAAAAAAAGCAATATAAATTGGCTCTGATTTATGCTACAGAGGAGAGGGTTGGGGCGCTCTGTGGGCCTGTGATAAGAAGGTTTGCCAATTGGAGTTCGTAGGCAAAGAGGAAGGAAGGAGCATTCCAGGCAGATGGAGTAGCAAGTCAGAAGGAGCATGGGGCAGGCTGGGTTGGTGGACACAGAGCAGGCCACTCGGGAACTTGTAGTTCATGGTAAGGAGATTTTTTTTTTTTTTGAGATGGAGTTTTGCCCTGTCACCCAGGCTGGAGTGCACTGGCACGATCTCACCTCACTGCAACCTCCGGCTCCTGGGTTCAAGCGATTTTCCTGTCTCAGCCTCCCAAGTGGCTGGGATTTCAGGCACCTGCCACCACACCCGGCTAATTTTTGTATTTTTAGTAGAGACAGGTTTCGCCATGTTGGCCAGGCTGGTCTCAAACTCCTGACCTCAGGTGATCCACTTGCCTCAGCCTCTCAAAGTCCTGGGATTACAGGCATGAGCCACTGTGCCTGGTCAGTAAGGAGATTTTTGTCTTGATTCCAAGAGCAATGGAAATCCATTGAAGGCTTTAAGTGGGGAGTAACATGATCAGATTTGCATCTTGAAAAGACCACTCTGGCTGTGGCTTGGAGAGCAGATTGGAGAGGGGCCAAGGTGAATGTGGGGAGCCTGTGAGGTGGCGCTGCAGGACTCAGGCTCGAGGATAGAGGCATGGGGCGGGTGTTGCAGCTGGCAGGTGGGATGGGGCAAATGCACCCGGGCTACCCTGCAGATTGGGGTGTTAGGCCTCTGTGGGCCCCTTTACTGCTGTCTGCGCAGTGGCTGGGGAGAGAAGTTCTTTCTTTCCTCCGTTTTCCCCGTCTGACTCTGCACACTCTCAGCGCCGCAGCCTTGGCCAGGGTAAGATTTCAAAGCAAAGAGCTGGGTGTACATTTCCCGAGTAGGCTTGTCTTATTCGGTGACAGCATGCGTGGTTTCTTTTTTCTTTTTTTATTTTTTTGAGACCCTGCAGGAAGGGTGAGCCTCTCCATCCACCGCAAGCTGTGATGAGGAAGGAACGTTCTAGTCCCTGAGGGAACAGGAGTGGCTGGAGCTCCAGGGTGAGAAATTGTGAAGCTGGTGCCAGGAGCCCCCAGAACAGCCCGAGAGGAGCCCAGGGAGTTTATTCTTGCAGCCCCGGGAAATCCCAGGGTTTCTTTTGGTTCCTCACAAACACCCAGAGACTGGGGATCAAATTCTTGTTTCCTGAGAGGATTCAAGACATCCTTGTGTGTTTTTGTTTTTCCCTTAGTAACTTTGCTTCGGAGGATTTTCTCCAAAATCTTTTGCCACCGAGGTTTTCCTTTCAGGCTAGGACCACACAGGAATGGAGGGAAATCAGGGCCATTTGCCACTGGAGCATTTTTCCTCCTTGGGGAGAAGGATAGGTGTAAACTCATGACTTTTGGAAGAGGGAGAACGCGCTTAGGGCGTCTTCCCTGGTCTTCAGCTTCCTGGGTCCTGCAGGGAAGTGAGTCTCTGACTCCTCCCAGTTCAGCTTGGCCCTGCCAGTCCAGCACCGGCTGGAGCTGAGCCAGAGGACACCACCTCCTGGCAGAGCCATGGTCCTAGAGGAAAATCACAACAGTGCAGTAGTAAAGATAATTGCAGCAGGTAATACTGCTGTAGAGAGCACGAATTGTGTGCCGGGCATTATTCTTGGTGTTTTAGAAATATCAAGACATTTAAACCTCACCACATTTCCAAGAAGTGGGTCTTACCATCATCCTCATTTTATAAATGGAGAAACTGAGGCACAGAAAAGCTAACTTACATGCCCAAGATCACACAGCCAGTGTAATGGTGGAGCAGGAATTTGAAGCCGGATGGTCTGGCTCCAGAGCCCACACTCTTGGTGACTAAGAACACTTAACTCAGCCTGGCGGGGGAGCCGCCGATATTGTTGTGTAGGCAAAGCACATGGTTTTATTACAGAGCGCCTGTGCAGCCGTGTCCTCTCCAAAGCCCTCAAGTTATGTTCTTCATGTCCAAGGCATGGCCACTCGAGGTGAGGGCATGGGATGAGGGGACAAAGGGAGAGTCCAGCAACATGAGGACTTGTGACGTAGGAGACAGAACATGGAATCACACTGGCTGGGGTCTGATCCCGCCCCACCACTTATTAGCCTTGTGGCACCATGCAAGTTGCTTCATGCATCCGTGCCTCAGTTTCCTCCTCAGCAAGTTGGAGATCATATGACTCCCCTTATAGGTTGTGAAATGAGAGTGAAATGAGATGAAGCATGCTTAGGGTCAGGCCCGGAGCCTGCACACAGTTGGTGCCCAGGAAGAAGTGGTGGGTGTGGGCTCCAGTGGCAAAACCTCAGGGAGCCCAGGTGGGCTCTGGACCTTGGGATCTTCCTGACACTCGAGGCTGGGACCTGCCCAGGTGGGCCTACTCCACCGGCTGCCCTGGCTGCCCTGGGGCTTAAGGTCCTAGCAGCATCTTCCAGTCTCCCCTGGCAGCTTGCTGGGGGAGGGGGCTCCGTGGCAACATTGAGGACCTCCTGTTGGAGGAATCAGATGCAGCAGAAAAATGTCCTCCTTGCCTTATTCTAGCAGCCTCTGTTAAGGGGAAGTGGCTGGCTTAGGTTGTGAACTTGATCCTGGTGGGAGAGAGGGTGGGCTACCCAGAGGAGGTCACTTTCTCAGCCTAAGTGGCAATGATACCTCCTTAGGCAGCCAGCCCTCAGACCCGGGAGCTTAGTGAGAGCTCACAGGCTGCGGGCTGGGCTGAGGGGCTCTCCCCTGAGAGGAGGCATTAAGCTCTGCGTTAGAGAGCAAGGCTGATGGCGGCAGGCTGGGGTGGGCTTGGGCCTCTTTTGACATTCTGGTCCAGAAGCAGGGCCCCCAGGGGAGAGGCTGTGCCTGCCTTGCTGTCTGCGCCATTGTCTTTTTCTCCCTGCTTGTCTTAGGTCTTGTGTGGAGTGGGGTGTAGGAAGTGAGGAGGAGGGGTGGGACTAAGGAATGCACCTCCGCACCTGCACTGTGGGGGCTGGTACAAAAGGGTGAGAAGAGAGGTGTGCTAATGTGGGGTGTCATCAGAATGTCATCTCCACCTCTGTCCCGCCTTAGTGGGAATTCCATCCTCAGGGATTTTTGAGTTCCATTTTGGATCCTGCCTTGTTCAGATAAGTCAGTGTTTGTCTTTGCCTCAGTTTTGCCATCTGTGAAATGGGAATAATTATCATAGTCAATTGCTTTAGTTGCCATGAAAAGGAATGAGTGATGAATGATATGTAAAATTCATCAGATTTTTCATGACTTTGATCAAGTAATTCCATTTACAGGAATGTATTCCTCCCAAATGCTCATCAAACTTTATGCAATATTGTTTATAATTGGACAATATCTAAACAGCCCAGGGATTCCAGTCACAGGGAATCAGGGAGGGAGTGGTCCAGTAACTTGATATACCCAAATGAAGGGACACTTTATGGCCAATCATAATCTTAAGTGGAGAACACACAGTGTATGACGTTGTGGAAGGAGGGGGTAACATTTGTGTCTCATTCATCCTCTTATCTTCAGAACCTTGCAAAATGCTTTGCACATAGTAAGTCTTCTGTAAACATTTGTTGAATTAACTATATAAAAATCGTTTCCAGCAAAAACAGGTTTGAGGGCAAATATTTCAGAACATTAATAAGAGTTATTTCTTAGTGATGGGATTATGTATGACTTTCATTTTTTTCTTTATTTTTTGGGAAATTGAAAAATATTCAGTAATGTGCATAGTACTCTTATTTTTAAATGCCATAACTTTTATTTATATGTTGGGTATTATGGATATTATATGTTGGATATTATGTTGGTTTATAACAACATAGATGTCTTTTAAAAAATGAAAACACTGCAAAAAAGTATAAAAAAGAAACTAAGGTCACCTTGAGTCCTACCACTTAGCAGTGACAGCCATTGTTATGTGGCATGCAGCCCCCAGCTCATTCTGTATTCATGTGTGTGTGTTTGTGAGTTTCTACATAAGCAGTTTATTAGTCCGTTCTCACACTGCTAATGAAGACATACCCGAGACTGGGTAATTCATAAAGGAAAGAGGTTAAATTGACTTACAGTTCCACAGGGCTGGGGAGGCCTCAGGAAACTTACAATCATGGCGGAAGGGGAAGCAAACACATCCTTCTTCACATGGCGGGAGCAAGGAGAAGTGCAGGAGAACTGCCCTTTTTAAAACCATCAGATCTCATGAGACTTATTCACTATCACGAGAACAGCATGGGAAAGACCTACCCAGATGATTCAATTACCTCCCACCGGCTCCCTCCCATGACACATGGGGATTATGGGAACTACAATTCAAGATGAGATTTAGGTGGGTACACAGCCAAACCATATCAAGCCGGCTCTTAGAAAAGGGTTGTCTTGTGACCTTTTCCTACGTTCTGTGTTATGCACAACTTTTGTTGTCAAGAGAAACAGATCTGTACCATTTTAAATGGCCACATGGTATTCGGTTTTGCAGATGTGCTGAATTCAACCAAGCAATACTCTACTAACATCCATTTAACTTGTTAAAGATTTTTCCTCTTATAATCAATGCTGACATATTTTTATAATAGAAAAACAACAACCAAAAGTGCCTTGTGGTTTTAGGTTTGGGAATAAACATTTCAGCCCAAAGAAAACCAGCCCTGCTTGGGAAGAGAACCACTTTCAAAGGGCTTCATGATGACATTCTCAGTGTTTGAAGAAAGGCCGGGGTGCAGAGGGAGCAGGTTGGGGTGCAACACAGTGAGGCTCAGAGTGGCTGTTTCGGGAAATAATATTTAGTTCATTGAAAAATGACCTTTACATTAAGCAGAGCCATCTCATTTGGAGAGGGTGTCCTTGCAGCATTTAGGGTGGGGAGGCAGCTCAGTCAGGGACTCTCACCAATGGCTTGTGTTAGCTTGGAAAGGCCTCAGGCCCCTCTGAGAGATCCTGTTAGGAAAGCGATGAGGAGCTGGGAATGAGTTTTTGCAGCTGCTTCTGAGGATCAGGAGCCAGGCCCACGGGACAGACAGCGGGAGGATGCGTTGAATGTTGAGACAGCCTGACCTGGTAGAAAAAGCCTGGGCCCGCGGGTCAGATGGCCACGGGTTCAGATTCCTGTTCTGTCAATTACCAGCAGGTGACCTTGGGAAGGCACCTAGCCTCTTAGAGCCACTCTCATCTATAAGATGAGCACAGTTACTACTTTTTTGCGTTGTGTGAGGGTGTGCATAATGCCCAGTTCCTGGATGATGCAGAAAAGGAATCTATGTGTTGCTGATCTTAGTGGAAGCAACCCTAGAACATCCCAGCAACCCAGATCAAGCTCGCTCTTTCTTTTTTCTTTTTTCTTTTCTCTTTTCTTTTCTTTTCCTTTCCTTTCTTTTCTTTTCTTTTCTCTTTCTTTCTTTCTTTCTTTCTTTCTTTCTTTCTTTCTTTCTTTCTTTCTTTCTCTCTCTCTCTCTTTCCTTCCTTCCTTCCTTCCTTCCTTCTTTCTTTTTTTTTGGAGACAGAGTTTTGTTCTTGTTGCCCAGGCTGGAGTGCAATGGCACGGTCCTGGCTCACTTCAACCTCCACCTCCCGGGTTCAAGCAGTTCTCCTGCCTCAGCCTCCCGAGTAGCTGGGATTACAGGTGCCTGCCACCATGCCCGATAATTTTTTTGTATTTTTAGTAGAGACGGGGTTTCAACATGTTGGCCAGGCTGGTCTCGAACTCCTGACCTCAGGTGATCCACCCGCCTCGGCCTCCCAAAGTCCTGGGATTACAGGTGTGAGCCACCACACCAGGCCGGACCAAACACTTTCTAAACACCTGGAGGACAGGGACTTTATTTCTCAAAGTAGCTTGGACTTGGGTTGAACTCTTGGCCATACGCAGAACTTTTGACTAAAATTGGCCAAGTGAGAAGACTGGGCTGCAGGTGAACATGGGGCGTGAGTGTGTGAGCATAACAGTGTGAGGAAGAGGAGCAGGCGAGTGGGGAGCTGCCCCAAGGAGACAGATGGCAGAGGGGACAGCTGGAGTGAGGCCTGAGGGAGATTCTGCTGTGTGGGGCTCAGTGGGGAACTTTCTGGGGTAGGGGGAGCCTCCCTCCTGGAATGGTCTGCCTTGGTGAGGCTGAGCGAGGCTGGGTGGGGCAGACAGCTCCTCAGGTGGGTCCAAGGTGGCCTTGGAAGGAAGGAGGGGCCAGGCAGCCCAGCATGGGGTGAGAGGAGGAGCTGTAGGCCTGGCCCCAGGACCCAGATGGTGGGGTGGCCTCGCTTCCTGGACTGCCCTCCTGCTCACTGCTGCAGGACTGGCCTCCTGTCAGGCCCCCCATCCTCCTGACCCAGAGCCTCCGCTGGCCCTCGGTTTCTCCTCTGCTTGCTCTCTCCGGCCTTCTGTGATCTGGGCCTGCCTTCCCTCAGCCCTGCTTCTGACAGCTTCCGACTCTCTGGCTGTCTGCTGCCCCCTTCACCCCTCAGCTACTCTAGGCCTGATGTGGTGTGGTCCTTGGGGCACGTCTGCTCCCTCCCCGTCGTGTGCAGTTCTTCCTTGTCTTTGGGCCTCAGCTTGAGTCCCGCTTCCTCAGTCCTTTAAAATTGTACGGCCCTCTCTGCTGTCTCCTGCTTAGAATACGGCACTCGCAGGAGCCAGTGCCACCAGATGATAACACTGGTGTCCCCATGGGGACCTTTGCAAGCGCAGGCTATGCCGTTTACTTGCTTCTACCCTGTGCTAACCGTATAAGGTAGACACAGTTGTCCGCATTTTATAGATAAGGAAATTGAGGCTCAGCGAGGATTCTACCTGAATAGCCTGTCTTCTTGACTAGTTTCCGGATTCTTCCCTGGGTGAATGTCTCATCTCTCCAACTTGACTGAGTTGCATCAGTGGGCAGAAACCACGTTTTTGGTTTCCACAGCACTCCCAGTGATGCGCCCTGTGCCCTGCGGTTCCAGTGGGTTGGATGTCAGCTGCGAAGAGGGCCCAGCTTGTTGGGTCTTGACACAGACTCAACTCACAGAAGCCCCCAGCCCCGCTGATGAGACGACTGGCTGATCCAGGCGGGGAGGGCACCTGGAGCAGGGCCCCTGGCCTGGGGGCTTACCCTGCTCACCCCACTGCTTCCTTCTCTCCTTCTTCCTCCAGGGAACTCAATGGCAACAACATCACTCGGATCCATAAGAATGACTTTGCGGGGCTCAAGCAGCTGCGGGTGCTGTGAGTATGGGGTGCTCCCTCCCACCCCACCCCTGGCAATGCCACGGCAGTCCTGGGCAGGGCCCTGGCTGTGGGTGGTAGGGTGGTGGGCTGTCTGGGCCCCTCTACCACGGAGTCAGTCTTGGCAAGACATCCTGAGGGGTGTCGGGTGGGGTGATGTTGAGTCTTGAGTCTTAACTCATCATAAGGTCCGTCGCCCTGTGCTCTCAGGGTAGTGCAGGGGTCTTAGGACCTCAGTTCTTTCAGAACTCCCACCTCTGCAGTTCTGAGGGTCTTTGGAGGAGCAGGGACCTCGTGACCAATCGTCTCTGAGGTCAGAGCTGACAAGCCGCTGGGCACGGATCTGCTCCAGAAACCCCCAACCTCTGCCGCTTCCCAGGCTCTGGGTGTGTCCCTTCTGAGTCTGGGGAGGCCCATGCTCTCTCCCAGGATTCCCCTCCCCTCTGCCCCCAGGCCTCCAGCGGGAGCCTCTCACACTTCAGGCTTTTGGAAACAAAGCAGAGAAAGAGAAATATCTGGTGGCGGTTCCCCCCCCTGCCCTGCCCCCAACGTCATCTGAGGCCCATGCAGGGGCACGAAAGCCACCTGCTTGCGGGTGGAGAGGGACAGATGCAGGGGGAAAAACACACTTGACTATCTCAAAAGTTATCACGCAACAGTCAATCTGTTGGTGAAAAATGCTGCCCCACCAGCCGGATGCTCTGGGTTTCAGGGCACGTTGGCGGTGAGGGGATGCAGAGTCCCACAGAGCCAGGTGGTTCAGTTGGCGTGGGCACCCCACTCTTTTCTTCAGCAGATGGGGCCAGGCAGGGTGGGGGTACAGGGAGACAGGGTGTTGTCTGCCAATTGTAGAGTGTGTTGCTGCCTGTGTGGGCTCTGCCCAGTTGGCACAGGCTCCCCTCCCCCTGATACTGGCCGGTCCCCCCGTTCTGTCCCTTGGACATGTGCCTTCAGGGCCCAAAGAGGCCAGGGCACGTGCGCCAGCAGCTCAAGCCAGCCTGTGCTGCCTGCTGCTGGGCCTGGCTCCCTGGAGCCTGATTGGAGCGGAGACATGGTGCTTGGGTGCCCTGTGGCCTTCTGCCCTGGCAGGCAGCTTCAGAGGGTCAGGGGGTTGCAAGTGCATTTTGTGGTGAGGTAAGATGCTGGGAGCCCTGAGGAGCCCATGGTGGGAAATTTGCAAAGGTGTAAGGAAATTGAGTCCGCTCAGGCCAGGCATAGGCCTGTGTGAGGCTTGGGCATGGCTCCTGTCTTACTCCCTTGCTAATGCTGCCCTGGCAGAGGTTGCCTCTGCCCCGCCGTTGTGCCAGCTGTTTCTAGCAGCCCTTGTCCCACACCCTGTAGCTGTCCTTGTCTCTTTGCTTCCCCAGGCAGCTGATGGAGAACCAGATTGGAGCAGTGGAACGTGGTGCTTTTGATGACATGAAGGAGCTGGAGCGGCTGTGAGTCCTGGCAGGGTGCAGGCCAGGAGGGCGGGGGGCTGGCACGAGAGGGAACTGGCAGGCCAAGCTGCTGCCAGGGATGAGGGGCACTCATGGGAGGGGACCCCATGCCCAGCCTGCCTCCACCAGCGGATGGAGCCAGGAGCAGCTGCAGCTGTGAAAGTGGTCACAAGGCATGGTCACAGAGAAACCTGGAGTGGGTCCCCAACCCACATTCTCCATGCAACTGTCCCTGTTGTTTTTCCCTGAAGATACGGGATGGCAAAAAATTTACATAATAATACAGAGGAAGTGACATTTCTTCCTGTCATCTCATCCTGACATAACCGCTGTCCATTGATTTGTGTGTCCTTAAAGGAAGCCGTGCCAACGGAACCTGTCAGGGAAGCCCCGGGGGATTGGTGTCTTAGGTGCAC
This sequence comes from Homo sapiens, assembly GCF_000001405.40. Taxonomy (NCBI): domain Eukaryota; kingdom Metazoa; phylum Chordata; class Mammalia; order Primates; family Hominidae; genus Homo; species Homo sapiens. Next base: position 97,162,963 of record NC_000010.11, on the reverse strand, counting down.
AGGGCCACAGTACAGAAATGGGAAGGTGGAGGCCTGTCCTGATTCACATGGTTTGTTGCTGAATAGGGCTTTTAAGTTTGAAAATGGGTCTTGATCAATTTTTACATTTCAGTTTGGCAACGATGAAAAAAAAAGAAACATAGTGGGGTGAGGTGGGGGATGGGCACTCATCATGTTCACGGTGGTCGCCGATCTCGTCCTTCTGAAAGTGGTTTGGCTGTAGGTGTTAGGAGTCCTAATGTTCATGCTCTTTGAACCAGAAAGTCCGTTTTATTTTAAGGAAATAATCAGAGACATGGCTAAAAATCATGTATCAGGATATTAATTGCACTTTATTATTTATTTATTTTTGAGACCAAGTCTTGCTGTGTCTACCAGGCTGGAGTGCAGTGGCGTGATCTCGGCTCACTGCAACCTCCACCTCCCGGGTTCAAGCGATTCCCCCGCCTCAGCCTCCCGAGTAGCTGGGATTGCAGGTGCATGCCACCACGCCTGGCTAATTGTTTTTGTATTTTTAATGGAGATGGGGTTTCACCATGTTGGCCAGGCTGATCTTGAACCCCTGACCTCAGGTGACACACCTGCCTCGGCCTCCTAAAGTGCTAGGATTACAGGCGTGAGCCACCGTGCCTGGCCATTGCACATTACTTAAATAGAAAAAAATTGGAAACCCATTCTAGTGGATACATAAGAAATAAAATCACATTTCTGAAGAACAGTGAAGAACACATGGGAATGTGCTCGCAATATAATGTTAAATGGAAAAGATAAAAAATGACAATAGTATTACTAAAACAATTTGCATGTGGATAGAATACAGGAGGAAGAAGACAACTGGAACCACTAACTCTCATTATAGTGAGTGGTGGATTATAGATAACTTTATTTTTATTCTTTGTGTTTTTCTCTTTTAATGGATTTTCTTATGACAAGTTTATTATTATGATTATAGCTACCACCACTCTATGCCAGGCACCTGGGGAAGCTCTTTGCCTTATATTATCTCATTTAATCCTTAAAACAACACTGCTCTAAGTAGTATTTCACAGATGAGAAAGAGAGGTACACAGAGATTAAGTCACTTGTCCCCAGTTGTACAGAAGAGGGGATTAGAACCCAGATCATTTTGCCTTCAAAGTCTGAGCTCTTAATGAAGATGACTTGATACCTCACCTTTCTTTTTTTGAGACGGAGTTTCACTCTTGTTGCCCAGGCTGGAGTGCAATGGCGCAATCTCGGCTCACTGCAATCTCCGCCTCTTGGGTTCAAGCGATTCTCCTACCTCAGCCTCCTGAGTAGCTGGGATTACAGGCGCCAGCCACCACGCCCAGCTAATTTTTTGTATTTTTAGTAGAGACTGGGTTTCACCATGTTGGGCAGGCTGGTCTTGAACTCCTGACCTCAGGTGATCCGCCCGCCTTGGCCTCCCAAAGTGCTGGGATTACAGGCCTGAGCCACCATGCCTGGCTCTTTCATTTTTATATTAAAGAAAATAGGATATTAAATAAAAGGAAAAGAATCCGATTGCCTCGTTGCCCTCCTACAGCCTGGAAGAAAGCAAGGCAATCTTTCTTTTGTGCTCCTCATCCAGGCCTAAAACGAAATGATAAGGAGCCCACAGCTAGACCAGATGTCGAATGCTGCATTTGTTTTCTTTAAAAGACTTAGAATAAAATACATGTTAATGACCTGGCTATGAGGGGCTGATTTGAACCTGACCCAACCTGGCTCCACCTCTTGTGCTGGGAAGGAGGGGAGGAGGGAAAGGGTCTGGGGGGTCGAGACATGACCCCACTGGGTGAGTGGCGACTTTAGGCCTGCAGGCACCTTCCTGAGTGGTCAGTTCAATGGTCGCCGCCTGAGTTGTTGGAGACCAGTGGCGCATCAGTTGATCGTAAAAGGTGATTAAAGTGCAGAGTCATTAAAAACCACACATACCAGCCAGGCACGGTGGCTCATGCCTGTAATCCCAGCACTTTGGGAGGCCAGGTGGTGGGGGTGGATCACTTGAGGTCAGGAGTTCGAGACCAGCCTGGCCAACATGGTGAAACCCTGCCTCTACTAAAAATATGAAAATTAGCCAGGCACAGTGGTACGTGCCTGTAATCCCAGCTACTCCAGAGGCTCAGGCAGGAGAATCACTTGAACCCGGGAGGCGGAGGTTGCGGTGAGCCGAGATCATGCCGCTGCAGTCCAGCCTGGGCGACAGAGCAAGTCTCTGTCTCAAAAACAGCAAAACAACAACAATAACAACAACAAAACCCCACACATACCTTAGACATTTCATTTTATGTTAAAACATATAAATGTGCATTTACTGACCCCTCCTCTTTTTTTTGGCCAAAGTCTTTCTCTTTGGTGTGAAACGCTGGTGTTCTTTCTGTGTTGTTTGCCTCGCCTAAACCACACACGTATACCTTGTTGATGATTTTTGGGTTTGGTTTCTGGAAGATGGAGTGAGATTTTCCAAAGGGCCTTGGGAGCAATCTGGGGGAGTATTCCTGATTTTTAAAATGACACCCACCCCTGTCTGCCACCGTCTTTTACTTAATTCAACAGCCCTTTAATTAGCAGCTTTCCTTTCATCGAATCTTTCTAAAGCATTCCACTTAGTTTTCATAGAGATGACTCTTTTTCCACTAGCATTTCATTCATTTATGTAATAGGTAATTAAATTATAGAGTTAGAATGGCAAGTGCCTCTGGCATAAACAGGTTTGGGAGTAGACATAACTGGTTCTTGTGAGCAGTTATAAACTCCAGAGTAGATGCAGCAGTGTGCAGTTGAGCTGGCCAAGAGGGATCAGGACATTGTGGCCTCAGCGGGTCTGCAGGTGGAGAGGAGTGGAGTGTGCCCAGTCACCCTGGGAGCTGGCCTGGCACTGTACCGTGGCCAGGATCATACCATGGGAGCAGCCAGGATGGGGAGTAGAGAAAGGCAAGCTTCAAGATCCCACATCTACCATTCAGTAATGGCTTGGGCGAGTCACTTACCTCTTGGTACCCCTATTCTCTCATCTTTCAAAGATGAGCAACTCAACAAAGTCAGCAAACCTATCTTGGGCACCTATGAAGAGCCAAGCCACGTGGTGCAGTGGTGGCAGGAAACCTCTGTGGGGGGTGTTTGTTGAGAGTCAGGAGGGTGAGGGCACGAATGCAAAGTGCTGTTGTCACTTTCAAGAGAAAGAGGCCCACCTTTACGCTCCGCTTTCCCGCCCGCGATGAGCTCATGCCCCTAATGCATTTGCCCCATGCCTGGCACATAGTAAGGGCTGATTATGATGGTGGCCATGACTACTGTTATCATTCTCAGTAAACTTCATGTCCCTCGCCATGTGGAGTCCCTTCTTTAGTGTCCTTTAATTTTCCATTTTAAACTAGGCATTGAATCCCTTTTTCCTCCTAAATAATTTTCAGAAGCAGAAGCCAGAAAAATGAGAAAGTCTTGGGGGAAAACAAAACAAAACCAGTGGTTACCAGGCAGTGTAAATACAGGATTAATTTACTGGACCAAGGATAAAGAATTTGGAGCTATCTGATGTCTACTCCTGTTGCTTTAAGGATTGTATTGATGATTTTATCCCCCCAAGGCAATGAAGTGTTTCCCTAGGAGCCTGCCCTTAAAAGTAAACTTCCAGTGGGTCTGCAAAAGTTGACTTAATTGTCTGTACCTTGGGGAACATGGCGGTGCCCAATGTGGTGGCAATGGCCTTTCTCACATATTAGATGAAGGATGACCTTCTAGGAGGTAACCACAGACCAATTACTGCTGGCTACATGGAATTAAGTTTTTCCCCTTCCCTCTGGAAGTAAGCTTTTGGCTGAGATGGTTTATCATACAGTTGTCCCTTGGTATCCATGGGGGATTTGTTCTAAGACCCCTCAGACACCCCTGGGGCTACAAGCCTGGACTACCATGCCCAGCTAATTTTTTTGTATTTTTTGTAGAGATGACGTTTCTCTTAGTTATTTCTCTTTGTTACCCAGGCAAATCTGAAGCCCCTGGCCTCAAGCAATCCTCTCATTCAGCCTCCCCAAGTGTTGGGATTACAGGCAGGAGCCATTTGACATGCTTTTTTTTTCTTCTCTGAGACAGAGTCTCACTCTGTTGCCCAGGCTGGAGTGCGGTGGCGTGATCTCAGCTTACTGCACCACCTCCCTGGTTCAAGTGATTCTCCCACCTCAGCCTCCCGAGTTGCTGGGATTACAGGTGCATGCCATCATGCCTGGCTGAGCATGCATTTTTATTAATGATAAAAATAATCAATAAAACTATTTTCTTTCTTTCTTTTTTTTTTTTTTTGAGACAGAGTTTCGCTCTGTCGCCCAGGCTGGAGTGCAGTGGTGCAATCTTGGCTCACTGCAACCTCCGTCTCCTGAGTTCAAGCGATTCTCCTGCCTCAGCCTCCCGAGTAGCTGGGATTACAGGCGCCTGCCACCATGCCTGGCTAATTTTTGTATTTTTAGTAGAGACGGGGTTTCACCATGTTGGCCAGGCTGGCCTCGAACTCCTGACCTCAGGTGATCCGCCCGCCTCGGCCTCCCAAAGTGCTGGGATTACAGTTGTGAGCCACTGCGCCCAGCTGCTATTTTCATTTTGAAAAAAGACCCAAAGCAAACAATAAAAAAAAAAGTGAAACCTCTGTTGAGCCAAATGTGGATGAAATCAGGGCTGTGTGGCCATTAGGGTATGTCTCCCATTTCAAGTGTAGTCAGGTTTCCAACTCACAAAGGGAAACAGCATTGGAATCAGTGCCTTAGAAACCACACAGGGCTTGCAAATGTGAAGTGATGATGATGATGGCTATGGGAAGAAGTAGTGGAAGGAGAGGTGCTGGTGAGGGGCTTCCGCAGACACTCTGTTCTTATCCTCCCCTCGTGCTGGGTGGTGGAATCTCCACTTTACAGATGAAGAACTGAGGCCCAGAGAAGGTAATTTCCCTGGGATGCCACATGGACCCTGTTAGGATTTGAATACTGGACCTTCTGCCTCTGAATCCATCTTGTGCTTTCTGAGAAGTCCTTTGGATTTCCTGGCTGTCTAGGTGATTTCCAATTCTTCTTCTCTTTTATAGGCGACTGAACCGAAACCAGCTGCACATGTTACCGGAACTGCTGTTCCAGAACAACCAGGCTTTGTCAAGACTGTGAGTGACGCTCTGTGGCCAGAGAGTTCTCCCTGTGGTTTTGTCTCTCACCCTGTGGGAGGCACAGTGTTTGGTCAGTGGGGCCTGGATATTCCCATGACCCTGACCCTGTGCTCCTCCCCTGGCAGGAATGGTCCAGGGCATCAAAGGCCAGGCCCTTTCTGTAGGAAGGTGCTGTGCAGGGTATTTCTCCATGGCAAGCACTTGGAAGAACCCGCAGTTCATCCAGATTTGTGAGCTGCCGCTGACAGTGTGGGTACAAGGGTGTTCTGCAGGCAGGCATGCTTGTGGACGGTGATGCCAGCCTTTACAGGGGCTCATTCTTACCCATCTCACTGCGCCTTTAGTAACCTGCCTGGAGCTGAATATTTACTCATTCAACTAAGCCCTTCTTGAACCTATTTCTATTTTCAGCTCTTTCTACCGTTTAGGGCCATGAGGTCTGTAAGGTTATTAACCATGGTATAAGATCATATTTTTATGTATTGTCAATGTACTTCTTTCAAGTTCGAAGGATAGTTGCTAATTCTGCTGCACCATGATTTGCCACATGTGTCTGTAATTTTTCTACCATATATTTCATTTTATGGGAATTGGGTTGGACAAGACCTTTGAGATTATCTAAGGAATCTCTTCTGCAGCTCCTTAGCATATGGTCCCACAGTCTTTGCTTGGCTACCTCTAGTGATGGGGAGCTCACCACCTCTGCAGACAATCAACTCTATCACTGGACAAATAAGTAAATTAGAAAATTTTTAACTTTGGGCCCTAAATCTGCTCTCCAGTAACTTACATATTTCTCAGTTTTGCTTTCTATAACTACCTAGTTTTTGAAGAGCTGTCAGGTTTTTGAATTTTGAGTTGGGATGTTTTTTAGTTCCCTTAATTGTTGTCATTAATAACCTTAAGAGCCACCGGCAGGGCCTTCTGCATGCCTGGCACAGCACTACTGGTTCGTCCCTGAAGGAGCTATGGGTCAGCACCTAGGTAGAGAAAGGGGTAATAAGCAATGTAGGTAAGACTGAGGGGTGTGGGTTGGGTGAGAGTGGCACCCTAAGGTTACCTGAGTGCTAAGGGGTCTGACCATGGGCTCCTAGAGTCTGGGGCTTGATTTTGTCTCCTCTGATTAAACACAGCTAGTTCTTTCTGCCTCTGCCATGATTTCTAGACCTCTCTGTAAGCCCAGTGATCTCCAGAATTTGTTGTTGATCTTACCTTCAAACTTTTATTTACTTATTTTTGAGACGAGATGTTGCTCTGTCACCCAGGCCGAATACAGTGGCACGATCTTGGCTCACTGCAGCCTCAATCTTCTGGGCTCAAGTGATCTTCCCACCTCAGCCTCCAGAGTAGCTGGGACTACAGGTATGCACTACCATGCCTGGCTAATTTTTTAATTTTTTGTAGAGACGGGGTTTTGCCATGTTGCCCAGGCTGGTTTCAAACTCCTAGGCTCAAGCGATCCACCAGCCTCAGCCTTCCAAAGTGCTGGGATTACAGGCGTGAACCACTGCACCTGGCCAAGCTTTTGTCTTTACAATGGAACTCTAATTTTCAGTCTGTTGGAATGGTCTTTCTGGTCACTTCCTGTTGCTTCCTCCTCCTGGCCTGGAGACCACTCCACAGTGACCTTTAGTGATGATCTCTTTTGCTGGTCTTTGCCACCACCCTTGGGCTTGAGTTGGGCCTTCTCCTCCAGTTTTCCTGTAACTGATAGGTTGGCCAATCCATTCTGTGCCAGGCATACACAGTGGGTGCTTAATTTTTCCCTACTTGATTGCGAAAGGCAGAAGATTCTTCCCAGCAGGTGCCTCCGTGGTAATGTCTGTTGAACCTGTGGGCCATGCACTGGTCTATGTGGTCCATGCTGTTGCTGGCCACATGCAAGCATCTGGCCTTGCCCTGCCTTGGCCCCAGCAACTCCTGTTTTCTCTCTGCTGTTCTTTCTCTGCTGACTTGCAAGTGTTATCACAGCTCTGCCTTTCTGCAAAAATTCTTCTTGAATGTCTTTTCTCTTGGTCTCAATTGTGCAATTCTTTCCCCCTCCTATGTCCTCTTAACCTTTCAAGCTTTTGCCCTTGCTCTCCTGGCATGATTTGCCTACTTGGGTCCCTTCTCCTTCCCATAGTGATCCGTTGCCCTCTACCTTGCTGGGATCAAGGCATATGTATACTGTACAGTTGCCGTCAAGCTCTGGGTGCCCACTTTCACTCTCCCTCATTGATTTTAAAATCTCCAAGACCCATCATGTAAATCTGAATCCACCAACTTCCAGCCCTTTACTTGAGATCATCTCCAGCCATATTCATTTTTAGCGGGGAGCTGACTTCTTTTGTCATAACCTTCCACCAGCCCTTGGGGGTAAAGGGTAGCTCTGCAGGGGACTCCCTCCCTCCTTTACTCGAGTCCACCCTTCTCTTTGGACATTGGTGCCTTGCACACACCTGTGTTCCTTCCTGAGGAAAATGACAACTTGGCTGCCTCCTTGGCCTGTGTCTGGGAAACCTGGATCCCCCCTGGAATGGAAGGTGGCCTGGGAAGCAGAAAGTCAAGGGTCAGGTGGTCCTGGGCTTTTCAAGGCATAACTTTGGGTGGTTTAATTGTTCAGAGCCCATTTCTCTTACCCATACATGGTAGGGCTAGTAGGAGTCTGAACTGGGACTGTGCATGTAACATAACCAAGCCTGCAGCTGGCCCTCAGTGGATGTTCATCCATCATGCCCCTGATAACTCAGGGTGAGCAAATAGCCCCTCGGTGAAGCAGGTGCTCCTGTGCTTGATATCTTGTCTGACACATGTGGCCATGAGGCAAGCAATGTCTCCCACTGTTACTGCCAGCGAGACAGGTTGGAAAGAGGAAGTGACTTCCCGAGAGTCAGGATGAAGCCCTCTGACTCCTAGGCCCGCCCTCTTCATGGTTTCATATTTTACAGGAGTCCTAGAGGAAAGGACATCTATATTTTAATGAGTATTAAATAGCCAGATTCTATAACCAAAGGCTGGCACAAGAAGATTAAATCAAGGAGCAAAAAGCCATTGCAGAGGACAGCACTCTGTATGATACCTGCTCTTGGCACCCTATGGGGCTGGGAGGCAGAAGCCTCTAGACACATTGGGTGTCCTCATTGCAGTGGTCCCAGGCCAGCTGCTTTCGGGAGGGGGCTGGTTGGCAGCCAACAGAGGGACTTCCAGGAGGGCAGTGGAAGTCTTGGTAGCCCTTTGGGGGGGTGTTTCTAGGCTCTAGAGCCAGAACTTCTCCCTAACACTTACTGTCTTTTCTTTCCAGGCATCAGGTCCTTTACTCTCAGCAGGAAACATTTCTCATCCAGGAGCATAGCAGGATTTGGGTGAAGGCAGACTTTTCTTTAGCTTTCCCCTTGACATTTCTTAACCTCATCTGTAAGCAAGGCATGCAAACCGAGAGGACTCCTGCAGGGCTCTTGGAGGACTCCCAGGCAGTGTGCCCTGCTTAGTTTGCACTGAGGCCAAGGCATTTGGTGGCCACCAGGTCACATCTCAAAACGGGCACTGTCTGGGGGAAATGATTCAACAAACCTTATTTATCTGGTTGTTCGTCCCTGGTGTCTGGGCTTACCGGGTTCTTCACCTTGGAGATGGTTATAGGGAAGGATAGAGGAGCAAGTGTTTAAAGATCTACTTGTTAATATTCTTCTAATATTACTGTGTACGCATCCGCCCTGCCCCATTCTATTGACCTGAGCACCTGGCATTCTAAAGTATCTCTGTTAACTCCCCCAGTTGGTCTGGCCAAGGAGTACTCGGCACGCTTGGTTCCAGAAACAGAATACCCTGCCGGCTGGTGATGGTAAAGGTAGAGGCGGGGTTTTGTAGGGGCACAGCTGGCAGGCTCCCAGGCTCCCAGAGCAGGAGGTGAGATCCAGCTGGCCCTCCCAGGGACCTGCACTGAGATGTGAGGGCCATTTCTCGTTATTTCTGAATATCTGCCTTATTGTCCTGCTCTTCCCTGCAAACCAGTGTTCTAGGATCATCAGCAGCATCTCGATTCCATCATGACTCAGGTCAGCCATGGTGCCAATTTGCCTCCTACTTCCTGTGACCTCGGAGCTCAGATCCACACAGCGTCTCAGGCCCCAACTCCGGGTTTCTGGGAGAGTGAATCTGATTGGCCCATCTTAGGTCAAGAGGTCACACCAGGCCAGTGAGCTGTTGGCAGGGATTGTGGGATCCGCTGGTGCAGCAACACTATGGTGCCCACACTATCTCAGGAGCTGGAGTGGGACCTATTCCCTTAGAAGGCAGTGCCTGGCATTCCTGTTCTCTCACTTGTTGACCTCCCCTTTGCTTTGTAGGGATCTGTTACTAATTCTTCCCATCTGGAGCAAATTATGGACTTTCATGCACAGGCTGTTATGCTAAATCAGCATGAAAATGGGTTTGAGAGAGACCAAATGTGCTGGGTAAGGCATGGTCACCAAGTCTGTAGGTGGTGGCGCAGCCCACATTTCAGTTGATTTTGTCTGTGTGGCCTCCAGAAGTTAAAATCCTGTTAGGGGTTATTCTGCACGAATGTTTCCCCTGCTGTGAGGTTAGTCTGTCTATTTCTTTCCTATGCAGGATCTATGGCTCAGAGAGGTGATTTGCCTTGGACCACAGAGCAGCTTGACAATAGGGTTGGAATTAGACACCAGGCCTTCTAGGGGCCCTGAAGAGCCTGAAAATGGTCTTAAACCTTGACCTAGGAATCTCATATTTGGGCATCTGCCCTAAAGAAATAATAAAGCATGAGCACAGACATGTTCGTTGCTGTATTATTTAGAATATTGAAATATAGAATAATGAAAAGAATATGGAAATAACATATATGTCCAACATTGGGGGCATGATGAAGTAAATGATGATGTATCTACTTGATGGAATATTTATACCATCATCAAAAATGGCCTTTATGAAAGATGTCAAGTAATGCAGATACATGTGTTTGATATCAAAAGCCAGGATTCCAAACTGCATTGACAATATGACCACTTGATAAATCACTCTAAATAATGCATGAAAACATACCTGGAAAATGCCAACAGGGATTGTCTGTGGGTGGCTTTTTTCTCTTCTGTGTCTCAGATGTTCTTTAAGAAGCATGTGTTACGTTTACGGTAGGAAACCTCCCAGTTTTTAAATAAGAAGTGAAAAGCCTCTGTAGTCTGAGGTGAAGCAAATGCCTGTGATACGATGTTGCAGCGTTTCCTTTAACCGAGCCTGTTTGCTCTTCTGTGAGATACAGATAGTAAGGGCTGGCTGCCTCATGGGGCTGATGTGACGATTAAAGAGAGCTGTGACACTCTCTTGTGTCAGACATGAACACTGTGGCACACGGGAGGTGCCCAGGAAATGTCAGATGAGTCCACATCAGGGCTACTTCGGAGGGTGGTGCAGCCCCAGCGTGACCTGCACCTGGACCTGCGTCCCATATTGATGTTGGCTTCCCCTGTCCCTTGTGCCAACTCAACCTCACCACTCTTAACTCACAACCATCCCCTCAATTTGCAGGGACCTTCCCCCAACAGGGTTTTGTTTTTTTTTCTCGAGGGGCTTAGGTGACCCTGCAGAGACACCCTGAGGAGGCTGTGGAGGGAGGCTGGCATGTGGTGGGCAGGAGGGCCGTGACCTTGGCACAGTCAGTGCCCGGGCTGAGGATGTGGGAGATATGCTTTCTGTCCTCTTGGGCACTTTCCTGAGCAGGCCAGGGAGAGCAAACATGGAGCAAGTAGGTGATGCTGCCCTGGAGGCATTTATTGGTGCCCTGAAATTACATATGTATTCTGTACTTCCCCAGGGATGCCCCCATTGAGGGTGGGCTGGAGCAGCACTCACACCTCTTCAGAAGAGAGCACACCCCCTTCCCCAACCCCACTGCAGAAGTGAACCTGCCCCATGACCTCCTTCACTGCCTCACTCTCCCAGGGCCTCATGAAAGGTCTCAGGGACTGCAATCATCATAGTAACGGTTAGAAAGAATGGAAGGTTGTTGTGTGCCAGGCTCATGCTGAGCAACTTACAGATATACCTGATTTCATCATCAGAACACTCTACGAGGTCAGCACTTTCCGAATTTTACAGATAAAGAAATGCAAGCTCAGCGGGTATGTGACACATCCAAGGGGCTAAGCCAAATGTGAACCCCAGTCTGTCTGACAATAAAGCTCATCCTTACATACCACCCCTAGCCTGCCTCACCCATCCACCCCCTCCACCCATCCACCCATCTGTCCATCCACCTAGTTATCAACCACTGCCCTTCACCTCCCATCTACCTTCCCACCATCTACCAACCCATCAGTCAACCCACCCATCTCTCTCCCTACTCCTGACCCATCCCTCCATCCCCCATCTCCTCCCATCCATTCTCCCATCCAGCACTCCCCACCCACTCACCACCTGCCTATCCATCCACTCTCCCACCCCCACCCATCAACCCTCCCCCTCCCACGTACGCATCTACCAACCTACCTATAAACCCAGATACCCTTCTATCTCCCAACTCCTCCCCACCTTCCTCCACCCCTGTATTCGCTCCTGCTCACCTTCCATCTTCTACTCACCCACCCACTGATCCAATAGTTCCTGAGGGCCTCCTGTGGGCCAGGCTCTGTGTTAGGTACTGTGAACCCTTGGAGTGATGTCTAGGTAAGATGGATGAGTGTGGCCCTGCCTCTTAGGAGGTGACAGGTCTGTCATCAGTGCTCTTTGAGAGCAGCCTGCCACCCTCTGACCTATCAGCAGATTGGAGTGGGTGGGGGCAGGTGCTGCACTGGCTGGACCTATATCTCCTTCCGGCGGGGGGGCAGGTATACCCTGGTGGGGGGTTACCTAGGTTTGGAGGTCAGCTCCGTCACCTGACAGTGAACCCTCAGAGGATGTGGAGATGTTGTTTCCATGGACATACACAGGTGTTAAGTTGAAGGTTAGAGGGATATGCTGGAAACCTGATTGCTTCTTACAGCAGCAAAACTCAGTCTTCACCAGGTTCAGGTGGGGAGCAGGGTGTCCGCCCACCACGCATGCCGCCTCCTTGGCCTCCAATCTGGGGAGGATCTCTGCTGCCGTGCAGCTCTGCTCTTGCTGATCCCCTCGTCATCCAGAAGCTGCTTCTGGAAACCCAGTTCCTCTGGGCTTCCTTTTAGCCTTGAAACCAATATGTGTCCCAACAAGATTGACCTTTTGTGTCTCTGCTGGGCCTGGAAGGGGTGGGGGTGGGTGATTAAGGGCAGCCCAGGGCATTTATTTCCCCTTATTTATATCCCTGCTGTAAGGACCACCATAACTCATTAACAGGGCCCTGGTGGTTGGAGAGGCGTGGATATGAGATTCACAGGAGCCCTGCTGAAGAATGCCTGACCCTATCGACCCTGTCTCAAGCTGGGTTTAATTAAACTGTCAGCACTGGTCAGAAGAACAAAGCTTCCCTTCCCGTCTTGGTCCCCAGCCCCCATCAGAGGCAGGAGGGCATTCTCTGCTGAAATGAAGAGCTGTTAAAAATGGATCTGTTTTGCCTCTGAGGGAAATTACCCAAGGCAAGAAGGTGACCTCGCTATTGTGACGCATCCATGCCAGGCAGCAGAACTGCAGAACTGAGCCAGCCATGCCCCGAGACACCAGCACACGAGAACGGGGCTCCCAGCCGCCCCTCCCCAGCCAGAGCCTCCTTCCTGCCAGAGTCCTCTGGGGACTCCTTGAGATGGCGGTCCATCACTCCTTAGACTTCCCTTTCCCAGAAAGGAATTTCACTAGCTTTGTCCTTCAAGATATTGAGATGTTCCTGGCATTAATGGTAAAAAGGAGCTTCCTTGGTTAAACAATTTGGGGAAGAGCTGGGCCAAGCAGAGTCCTTCGTCAAGGACTATTCAGCCCATTTAACACGCTAATGTGCGCCATACAGCTCCCAGGGCAGATGTGGAATGTTGCGTCTCCCAAACATATCTGACTGTGAACCTCAAAAAATTTATTTTTTCGGGGAATACCTTTTAACATCAGCCTAGTATTAAGTAACTTGCGGAAGTCTCAGACAGTAAGAATCAGAGCTGAGATTCGAACCCAGGCCCACCTGACCCCAAACCCACATACTTACCTTCAAACTGCCAGTCCTTGAACTAGAGTATGATTAAGAGTTGTCTCAGTGGGGAGTTTATTAAAATTCAGATTCCCAGGGTCACACTCAGAGATTCTGAGTCAGTCAGTGTGGAAGGGCCCAAGAATCTGCATCATCAAACCTCTCTTTATCTGGCTCGTGCTTGAGAAGCCTTGCTCCCCGTCAGGCATGGTGAGTCTTAGGAGGGGCTTCCTGTTGGGTAGAGCTCCTCTTTGCTTCTGCCCCGCCCGGTTCAATGTGAGAGCCATGCTAAGTAAGGGAAGGCCCCAAGCGCAGACGCTTCACCTCCTGCAGCTACACAGAGAACAATTTGGGGATTATGAGTTGGCAATTATGGAGCACTCTGGATTCTCGAAGTGCTTTCCAATCATTAAATCTGCGCCTGCTGTCAAGGCTCAAGTGAAAGAGGCGAGCGTCCCACTGGGCCGGCACGGGAGTCTCCGGGAAGAGGGCGGCCGGCCTCAGATTGACATCTGCTCGCCAGAGCGGGCTGATGCGCCCAGCATGGATGAATGTCCTAGACACAGCCCTGGTGCCTGGCTGTGGGCTTTGAATCCAGCTCTGCCCCTGCTGGCTAAGAACCACACAGGGTTTTACAAATTTGGACAGCCAAGGGAGCCCGGGGCCTGAAGGAGGGCCACGGGGGGGTGGCGAGCGGTCAGTGGGTCATCCCGAGAGAATGCCTGGCAAACGCGGTGTGCCCTGCACTTACAGGGGCTCAAAGGCATGAAAAGCCACTGGTCCTCTCCTACAGCATTACAAAAATTGGTGTGAGACAAACGGAATTCGTAACCATTGGGAAGATTCTGAATAGAGAGGCGTGCGTGCAGGAACGGGCTCTTGTGAATAACTTTTAGGGAGGTGAGGATTTTAGAAAAATCATTTCAAAAGTTACACAAATATTATTTGTCAATTAAAACATATTAAAAATAAAATTTCTTTGAAAGCATACGATTTTAAAATAAAAATTATGAAAATAATTTTGCTAGAAAGTGAACATTTGAAAAATAGCGAAAAGCAAAGAATGATAGGAGATAAGGGATTTAGTTTTCTAGTTAAGGCATTTAAAGGTGATTGAGCTAACATGCAAAATTTTAAAAAAATAAAGTTTTAGGCCAGGCATGGTGGCTCACGCTTATAATCCCAACACTTTGGGAGGCTGAGATGGGAGAATTGCTTGTGGCCAGGAGTTCGAGGCCAGCCTGGGCAGCATAGGCTCTACAAAAAATAAGAAAAAATAGCTAGGCATGGTGATGTGCACCTGTAGTCCCAGCTACTCAGGAGGCTGAGGTGTGAGGATCGCTTGAGCCCAGGAGTTTGAGGTTATAATGAGTTATGACTGTGCCACTGCACTCCAGTCTGGGTGACAGAGCGAGACCCTGCCTCAGGAAAAAAAAAAAAAAGCTTAGTACTAAAGCAATATGTAATTATTATAATGATAGTTACTGTTTGTTAAGCACTCATGTGCCAAAAACTTTATGTGCATTTTCTCATTTTAATTGTCATGGTCCTATGCAATGGGTGCTATTATTTTCCCATTTTTATAGGCAGGAGAATTGAGGGCAGGTTAAGTAAATTGGTTGCATAGCTAGTTGTTGGCAGATCCAGGCTTGGAGTACAGGAAGTGCTACCCAGAGGGTGTGCTCTTCTTCACCATGCTGTACACCCTTTTCATTGTAGAAAATGGGAGAAAATAGAGAAACAGCAAGAAGAAAGAGACTGCTCACGAGTCTTCTGGGAAGGTGGGTTTCAAGGTATCGAAGGGTATGGGAGACACAGGAGGGTGAAGAGGAAGAACTGGACTCCAGTGGAAGGAGCAGCTGTGCAGACACAGGGGTGGGAATGCAGTTCCCTGTGAGCAGGGGCCCCACAGTTCTAGAGTGTTGTGTGAGCTCAGCCTGGAAGGGAGTGTAGATGGGCTCTAGACCTAGAAATGTTCTAGAATGAAGAGTTTGGATGGGTAATAGGAAGAGGAAGCCATGGAGTATTCTTGAAGAGTGGGGCGACTTAGTGGAGAGTGAGCCTCAGTCGCCCCCCACAAAGGCCTCCTTCCCCCCCCTCCCAGCTCTCTGAACCTGAGCCATGAACAAGAGGGACAGATGGGCCACCTCTGCCTCACCTGGGTCTCCCACAGGTTGCCTGAAATGCCACCTTCCCATCACAGCTTCTCAGTTTCTCCCTCCCCAGAAAAAATTGGTTGTTGCCTCCCCAGTGCCCTCTTTTTTTTCCTTTGTAACACTTTTTTAAAATCATGGTACAATATACATAATATTTATCATTTCAGCTATTTGTAAGTGCACAATTTAGTGGCATTAAATACATTCACGATGTTGTGTAACCATCATCACTATCTATACCCAAAATGTTTTCAACATCCCCAATATAAACTCTGTACCCATTGAGCAATAGCTCCTCATCCCCCTCCCTGCAGCTCCTGGCTACTTCTCTTCTGGTTCTAAAACTTTGCCTGTTCTCAGTACATCACAGACATGGAATCATACAGGATTTGCCCTTCTGTGACTGGCTTATTTCACTTAACATAGCACTTTTGAGGTCCATCCACGTTGCGGCACATATCAAAATGTCATTTTTTTTTAATGGCTGGATAATATTCCACTGTTTGGATAGACCACATTTTGTTGATCCATTCAGCTGTTGATGGACAGTAGGTTACCTCCACCTCTCAGTGCCCTTTTAGCAGTTGCTTGAGCCTCTGTCAGAGCCCCCACAATGCTCCTCATAGCTCTTTGCCTTCTCCACCAGAGAAGGCAATGCCTTTTCCACCAGATTGGACAGAGGCTCAGGCAGGAGTCGTTCTTGTTTCCCCAGCACAAGTGGGGTTAGCAGGCTGGCAAGTGTGGTTTCTTTCTGGTGGCAGACACTGTCCGAAGGCTGAAAAAAGGGGCGCCGCCCATTTCTTGCTGTCTGATTTCAGGGCTTGGGGCTCTATGGGTCTGTGCTGGGCTCCAGCTTCATGGATTTTGTAGACTCAGAACTTTCCAGCTGACTTCTGTTTTACTTGACCTGTGGTTGGCCTGGACTTGTGGTCCAGAAACATGAAGGCAGTTATTTAGGGTTTAGTGCTGGCTTGCAGGATAAATAAAATCTACTGGGAGGTGTTCAGTGGGGGGGGCTGGGGTACCTCTCTGTGTGGGTAGTCACAGAGCCCTAAAGAAGGCCCCTGTTTCCTGGGAGGCAGGGAAAGCTTGAGGAGGGAGTCAAGGGAGAAGGGGATCCAAGAGGAAGCATGGTCCTTTCAGTGGGTAGAGACGGGCATGAGTTGGTGCCAGGCTGGACTCAGGGATGCAGTGATGACTTGTACATGGTAGGTTTTGACCAACTCAATTTTTGGTTAGGATGGGCCAGGACTCACCACCTCCTAGTTAGACCCTTCCCTTAAGCCGTGACCCAGGTTTGTATTTGTAATTTTTAGCCAGGCATCAGTGGATCTTGAGGAGCTCAAAGAAGTAACGATGGGGTTCCTCAAGCTCTTTGCAGTGTGTGCCCTAAGGCAAAATGTGATCACTTCAATGTAGTCTTTGATTTGGGGCTGGAATCCTATAGTTTGGAATCAGTTTGGTGGTGCAACACTGGCTCTCTGATGCTAATGAGAAACCCTGGCTCACAGTTGATTAATCAGCTCTTGAGTAATGCAAATATGGCAAGATACATTATTAACCAATATAATAGCTCAGATCTTTCAAATGTTGGGTTTGGGGTGGGGTGGGAAAAGTATCAAAAGGCATCTTTTTGGTGACATGGCCGGGAATTACTGTCTTGTGCGTTTGGGCCTGTTCCTGCCCCACCTCCTCCATCCCATGCTGTAGGGCAAGGAGCCCTGGGCTCCTCACTGCCGCAGTCTGTCTGGCTTTGGCCCCAGTGTTTATGTGGAGCATCTTGGAGAAGCCTTATCTTTGTCTCAGAGGAGGTCTGAGTGTCTCCTGCTCTTGCAGGAGCTTTGGAGTAGAGAGAGGGGGATAAAGGGAAGGTAAGGAACTGATAACCCCATACCCAAGTCTTAATCTCTGGCTCTTTTTCCCTCAGTCTTCTCGGGTCCAGCCACATGCTGACCTTTATCTGGCCATTTGTTGGAGCTGATGAGTGGCCTGTCACGAGTGGACCCTCACATGGATCCTGCATACGAGAGTGGACTACAGCCCGGCAGAGAGGGGTCAGGCTTCTCACATCAGAATTGTGCCTGACCAGAGCCTGTTGAGGTGGATGCTCATCTGAAAGGAAGTGCTTTCCATGTAGGAAAAATGGACAGCATGAAAATAGGTCAGGCACAGTGGCTCACGCCTGTAATCCCAGCACTTTGGGAGGCTAAGGAGGGTGGGTCGCGAGGTCAGGAGTTCGAGACCATCCCGGCCAACAGGGCGAAACCCTGTCTCTACTAATAATACAAAAATTAGCCGGGTGTGATGGCAGGCGCCTGTAGTCCTAGCTACTTGGGAGGCTGAGGCGGGAGAATTGCTTGAACCCGGGACCGCACCATTGCACTCCAGCCTGGGTGACAGAGTGAGACTCTGTCTCAAAATAATAATAATAATAGTAATAATAACAATAATACTGTACATCATTTAATAATAATACTGTACATGCCCCCACATACCACCCCAGCCCAGGAGCACCCCAAAGGCAGCTCTGCTGGCTCTTCCAGTTGGAAGTTAGGTTCCTTGGCATTGAGTCCTCTCTTTTCCTCCAGTGATCCTGGGTACTGATTATCTGTGGGGCTCTGGACAAGTTACCTAACCTCTCTGTGTCTATTTCCTCATCTGTAAAGTGTTGGGGGATATTATGAAGATTGGGGGTGATTGTATGGAGCATGTAGTGCAGGTATTGTGATTATGATCATCACCCAAACCATTGCAAGTGATAGAGGGGTAGGTGGACATGTCCTGTCCTGCCGCATTGCTTGGATGCTGAGGACAATTTGCTGTCCTAGAAGTTCTCACAAGTTGGTTTTGGCTGGGGGGTTGCTGGCTCCCGCTTCATCCTGGCTTCAGTGGGAGGTTGCAGGCTGGGCCTGGGAGCCTGCAGGTCACCTCCCTGCTTGTCTCTGACTTAGCGGGGCCTGCCCTCAGTTCCACTGCCTGTCTTCTCTGTGGGGGACAGAGCTCCCCTTTGCATCTTGCCTCAGTGCACTCAGGATTTGGCAGGCAGCTTAGCCTGCCGCCTGAGAGCTTTACTCCTGAAGTCTCTCCTTTCTTTGGTTTATAGACTGAAAATGGGGTAGTGACTTCATACACTGGAAGAAGAATGGCTACAGCCTCTTTCTCTGAATGCATTTCCCAAGAGTTGGCTTTAAATGTAGAGTTCTTCATTAGATTAACTTGGCATGAATATTAACATGAATTAGAACTTACTACCCTTAAATTCTTGATCTATAACAGAGCAAGATTTGAAGAAATAAACCCCTGGATACAGTGCCTTACCTTTTTCATGAATTCTTAACTGGAATAGATCTCTGCTTAATCTAATCTTTTTTTTTTTTTGAGATGGAGTCTCACTCTGTCGCCTAGACTGGAGTGCAATGGTGCTATCTCGGCTCACTGCAACCTCCACCTCCCGGGTTCAAGAGATTCTTGTGCCTCAGCCTCCTGAGTACCTGGGACCACAGGCACCCGCCACCACGCCCAGCTAATTTTTGGATTTTTAGTAGAGACGGGGTTTCGCCATGTTGGCCAGGCTGGTCTTGAACTCCTGACCTCAGGTGATTCGCCCACCTCAGCCTCCCAAAGTGCTGGGATTACAGGTGTGAGCCACTGCGCTCAGCCTGTTTAATCTAATCTTAACTTTAACATTGAACCTCTGAGCATCAAAAGTCCTTCCTAGAACATACATACAGTATCGTTACTTTGGGACTTCAGGTTATCTTGGCATTAGAAGTTCGTGGAGGCAGCAGAGGTTGTTGTACGTAAATGAAGCATTAATGTTCATATTCACAAAGACTCTTCAGCATTCCCTGATGTATCTGCAACTCGGTTCTGCTCCACTGAAACCCAAACCCCATCCCTCCTTTTTTTCCAGTTCTAGGCTGTCCTACCTCTCATCAATAGTGGCTTTTCTAAAATTGTGATAAAAACACATAAAGCTTACTGTCTTAACTCTTTTTAAGTGTCCAGTTTAGTAGTGTTAAATATGTTCACATTCATGTTAAACAGATCTCCAGAACTTTGTCATTTTGCAAAACTGAAAGTCTATTCCCTTCTCCCCACAGCCTCAGGTAGGTACCATTCTATTTTCTGTGTCTATGAATTTGACTACTTTAGATACCTCATATGAATGGAATCACATGGCATTTGTCTTTTTGTGCCTGCCTTATTTCACTTAACATCATGTCCTCAAGGTTCATCTGTGCTATAGCATGCGCCAGGACTTCTTTACATTTTAAGGCTGGATAGTATGCCATTATATGTATACCCCACATTTTGGTTATCCATTCATCTGTGATGGACAGCTGGGTTACTGCTACCTCTTAGATATTGTGAATAGTGCTGCTATGAACATGGGTATACAAGTACCTCTTTGAGACCCTGCTTTCAATTCTTTTGGATATACACCCAGAGTGGAATGACTGGATCATATGGCAGTTCTATTTTTAATTTTTTGAGTAAGTGTCATACTGCTTTCCATAGCAGCTGTACCATTTCACATTCCCACCATCAGTGCATAAGGATTCCAATTTCTCCACATCCTTGCCAACACTTGTTATTTTCTCTTTTTTTTTAACAGTAGCCATCCTAATGAGGTGATATGTCATCATGGTTTTGATTTGCATTTCTCTGATGACTAGTTTGCGCATCTTAGTTGTGTTGAGCACAACATGATTAGTTATGTTGGTTATTTGCGTATCATCTTTGGAGAAATTTCTATTCAAGTCTTTTGCCTACTATTTAATTGGGTTGTTTGATTTTTTTTGTTGTTAAGTTGCAGCAGTTCTTTGTATATTCTAGATAGTAACCCCTTATCAGAGATATGATTTGCAAATATTTTATTCCATTCCATAAGTTGCCTTTCCATTCTTTTGACTGTGTCCTTTGACAAACATGGTTTTAAGTTTGATGTAGTCTCATTTGTCTATTTTGCTTTTGTTTTCTATGCTTTCGGTGTCATATCCAAGAAAGTACTGCCAAGTCCAATGTCATGAAGCTTTCCCCTTATGTTTTCTTTTAGGTGTTTTAGTTTTAGGTCTTACATTTAGGTCTTTGATCCATTTTGAATTAATTTTTGTATATGGTATCAGATAAGGGTCCAACTTCATTCTTTTGCATGGGGATATTCAGTTTTCCCAGCATCATTTGTTGAAGAGACTGTCTTTTCCTCATTAAATGATCTTGACACCCTTGTCCACATATACTTGCAAGAGTTTGTTTTTGGGCTGTCTATTCTATTCCATTGGTCTATTTGTCTGTCTTTATGCCAGTACCACATTCTTTTGATTACTGTAGCTTTGTAGTAAGTTTTGAAATCGGGAGGTATGAGTCTTCCAACTTTGTTTTTTTTTAAGAAGAGAGATCTGGTTTGGCAGTATTTGTTGTGAAAGGGCCGATGACTTCAAGCTAAGGTTAAGTCAAGAGTATGTTAAGAGGCCAGGCATGGTGTCTCATGCCTGTAATCCCAGCACTTTGGGAGGCCCACGTGGGAGGATTGCTTGAGTCCAGGAGTTAGAGACCAGCCAAGGACCAGAGATCAGTGAGACCCTTACTCTATAAAAACAAAAAAATTCGCTGGGTGTGGTGGTACACACCTGTAGTCCCAACTACTGGGAGGCTGGAGGGCTGAAGCAGGAGGATTGCTTGAGCCCAGGAGTTTGGGGATGCAGTGAACCATGAGCATGCCACTGCATTTCAACCTGCATGACTTAGTGAGACCCTGTCTAGTACAATACAATACAATACAGTACAATACAATACAGTACGATACAATACGATACGATACGATACGATACGATACAATACAGTACAATACAATACAGTACAATACAATACGATACGATACGATACGATACAATACGATACAATGCAATGCAATACAATACAATGCAATACAGTGCATTAAGGTGGCTAAAAGAGTATAGTCTCAGTTTGAATTAATAGAGGCAATGTGTCCTCTCCAGGGGAGGGCAGTCCTGTTCTAGTCTGTGCTGATTCAAGCATATCCAGAGAACAGTGTTCAGAACCAGGATCTGTTTTATCGCGTGTGCTTGTGTGGAGGTCTCTGAACATGCTTGGAGGAGGGTGGCTAACACTGGGAGCCATCTGGAAACCATTTCATATGGGATAGAGTCAAGGGGCCTGGGGCTGTTTGGTGCGATGAAAAGAAAATGTAGAGGAACCCTGAGAGTAATTTTCAAATCTATGTGAAGGGCTGTCATGAGGACAAGGAAGCAGATTTGTTCTAGAAGCTGGGTCCAGGGGTGGAAGTGGATGTTGTTCTGCACGAGGCAGGCTTCCTAGACACGAGCTGGCTGCTGAAGGGTGGGCTGCTGTGCTTGTCACCTCATTCCTGGAAGAGTTCAGGGAGGGGCTGAATCCGCATCTGCCAGAACTGCGTGCTGGAGCTGTCGTCGGGAGCCAGGGTCTGATAGCCTCGGGGTGCTTTTACATGCAGAGCCTCCGACAAGGGAGCCGTGGAGGACTTGCGAGTAGGGAAGAAGCCGACCCAAGCGGTGTTTCGGATGGTTAATCTGCTCACAGACACACGCAACTGGCAGCTGGTGGGTGCCTGGAAGTCCCCTAGCCTGAGCCTCAGTGTTGGAAGCCATCCCCTCTAGCAAAGTGGTTCCAGTGAGCTGTGTAACAAAATATTTACCAGACCCCAGATTCTGGCCCACATTTCAGAGTCAAATTTGGAACAATAAAAATCGACAAATCGCTTTGGAAGTGATGTCTGATTTGTAAAGAGACACAGGAGGTTTATCCCTGGGCAAAACCAGAGGTGCCGAGGAGCCCGTTCTCCCCTGGGCTGCCCCCACCCAGCCATCGCCCGCTGAGCAATGACTCATTTCCCCCTTTGAAGTCCACGTAGTTGTCTTTGGGGCCCTGGTGTTTGTACCCCTCTGCTCCTTCAACAAAGGCCCTTCTGTCGGCCGATCGCGGAGGCCAAGCAGGGAAGGGTTAGAAAGGAAGGTATCGACTGAATACCAATAAGGAGGGGAAGTGTGTTTATGGAGAATGAGGGGCTCCAGGCAACTTGGGGGCCCACTCGTGCTGTGCAAACACAGCGGAGAATTCCCTTTGGCGGGTTTGTTTTACTAAAGGCTCTGGGGCCCAAGGAGGGCGGTGGGAGGGGAACAGGAGAGAGGGAGGAAATATTTCACAATTCGAAGTTGAAGCTTAGCCCCTTGTTGGGGAGGGGCCGGCCTGAGAGCTGCAGGGTAACAAAGAGGCAGTGTGGGCTGGTGACAGTTAGGGGAAAACACATGGCAACTAATGGGGTAGTAATGGGTAGGGAGGTAACCTGGGAAAAGCTGGTACGAGGAACGCTGGCACATAAATTCTGGTGGCGAGACACCCGCCTTGGCAGGGAGACAGGGGCCACTCTTTCACCCTCCCCATGGTCAGAGCCAGAGATGTTCCCACTCCCAGGAACATGGTCAGGGTGAGGGATGGCGGGAAGAGGAAAAGCCATGCTGGGGTTTCATCACCCTGCAAGGCCCCTGGAAAGACAGAGAGGAAGAGGGGAGCTTCAGGCTAAGTGCCAGAAATCAGCACAAAGCAGAGGCTTCTGTTGCTGCTGCCTACCCCATTCATAGTGAGGGGCGATGGGCACCTTGCTGAGACCCCGTGGTTGGACCCCCAAGGACACCCACCTTGTGAGAGGCTTTGCCGATTTCGGGAGTCCCCAGCTGTTCAGCTGGAGCCAAGGGCCCAGTGCCCTGTGTGCACACTGACATGCAGTGCCCTTGTAGGGGACCCAAAGATAGGGTTTTCCTATTCATCCAGGCCCCCGGAACTCTGCACGCCATTTCTAGGAGAATCCTTTGGACATGTCAGCTCTCAGAGGGGACAGTATTTATTACCTGGGGGTTTTTGGAGGAAGCCATTTAGCAGTTTGGATTTGGACGTTTACAGCTTCCATGAGGTTCCCCAAACAACCAGTGGTGTCCCAGAGTTCAGGATAGTGTGCTTGTTGACAGGGGTTTTGGTACCCTGTCTGTCACAGAGCAACTATTTCTTGATCAAGTTGATAATACTCTTCTCTTAGAAACCAAAACAAAAAAGCAAAGCCACTTTTTATGTATTTCCCTATCTTTGTGTGTGTGACCAGCTCTCCTCTCCACAGTGCTTAGGAAACATTTAGGAAAGAAGAGAATGGGGATGCTCCGTTTGAGGGGAGCACACTGAGAGCCTCTTTCTCCTCCAAGGCTACTGGCCCTGGGATTGTGAATCCTTAATGTGATTCCTGGTTGATGTTTGCAAAGTAGCAGCTAGTCTTAGACTCCTGAGTACTTCCAGTTTCCCATGGTGAGTGTCCCTCCTGAAGGTAACTGAATTCTCGAGATGGCCCCCAGCCTGCTGCCTGGCTGAGAGGCGGCCCTCCTTTCCAGCCTCACTCCCGCTGACTTGGCCGTGGGGACCCTGGGCTCTGCTTCCCTCTCCGGATGCATGGATGCATTCATTCACCCGACCAACTCATTACAAGCCTGCTGCCTGCAGTCATTTGTCTGGCACAGGGAATATCAGGATGGATTAGATATGGTCTTGGGCTTAGGCAGAGTGTTGACTGGTGGTGCTGCGGGTTGCTGATTCTCAAGAGGGTGATGTAAGCTGTGAGAATTTGATGGCTGGTTGGCAGCCTGGCTTTTTCCCTCCTGGTTCCCATCCATGAAATGAAAAAACACTGGAATGTAAAAGGAAACAAATAGTGAAACATTGTATTTCACAGGCACAGATGCACACATATCAATTATACTGTTATGCTGTTCCAGCATAATCGCCTTCCTCATCTTCCTCTGTCTCAGACATATTCAAATTTGGTCACCACACCTGGGTGTCTGAATGTCTTGTCCTTCTAAAGGTAACTAGAAAAAAAAAAAAACAGTTTCCTACAAATCACAACTGCGTTTATAGGAAACAAAGGACAGGAAATAATTTTGAGCAGATCCTTACGGGAAACTTGTGTAAGCAAGGCCTGGAACTCATGTATTGATGATTTTTAATAGCATCTTTCCCAGCCAGCTGGACATGGCATGAGACTTCAGTCATCCCGAAGGGAAGGCCGTGGACAACTGGTCATTTGAACATTGACCACAGACCGTGGTGACCGTCCCCGGCCTCCCTGCAAGAGTGCATCCCTCGCTGATAAGCGCCATCTGTTGATAGTGGAGGTGAATGCAGGTGTCAGCTGTACATTGCGGAAGGCACAGGTGACCCGGAGGCCCGTAAGTGGGGAGGCCACTGTGCAGCTTCCATCTGGACTTCGCATGTAATATTCTCTGGTGCTACCCAAATATAATTGGCCACTGGTGTACTTGGTAGATTGGTTCCGCAATCAGCCCTTCGGAACCCGCGTATGTAAAATGCCAGCCCTCGGTATATGCAGGTTTCATAACCTGCAAACACTGTATTTCCCATCTGCCTCTGGCTGAAAAAAATCCAATATAAGTGGACCCAGGCAGTTCAAACCCATGTTGTTCAAGGATCAACTGTAATCTTAATCGGGAATCAGGCACAACAGGGAAGTTGAGTTTAGACTCTGGAATCCAATAGCTCTGCTACTCACCGGCTCGGGGACCTGGCAAGTTGCTTAATCTTGTTTAGACTCAGTTTTCTTATGTGGAAACAGGGCATAGCAAGAACCAATCTAAATTGTTGAGCACAGATTAAATGAGATGATGCTGTTAATGGGGCCCAACATGTGGTAAACCATCAAGAAACATTAAGCAACCAGCCTGGGCAACATGACAAAACCCCGTCTCTACAGAAAATACAAAAATTAGCTGGGGATGGTGGGGCACACCTGTAATCCCAGCTACTTTGGAGGCTGAGGTGGGAGGATCACTTGAGCCTGGGCAGGTTGAGGCTGCAGTGAGCCGAGATTATGTCCCTGAACTCCAGCCTGGGCATAGAGTGAGACCTTGTCTAAAAGAAAGAAAGAAGGAAAGAAGGAGAGAAAGAAAGAGAGACAGAGAGAAAGAAAGGAAGGAAGGAAGGAAAAGAAACATTAAGCTTGTATTTTTCTTGATAGTTAAGTCAGAGTCCCTCTAACAGTAGAAAATATGGGGAACAAAATAAAACAATTACATTTCCAGCATCTTAATCCTCATCCTGTATTTAGAATATGTTAGAGCAAAATTTTCCAGATGTGGTTTTCTGATTATTTGTAGATATTTTTCCCCCCAAACAAAGAGAATCAGGCAACCAAATGTGGCTGAGATTCTGGAATTTTGGTCTGGATATCAAGCATGTGGAATTCATTCTAGCAAGAGAGGAGTGTGCCTCGAAGATGTCTCTCTCCAAAGTGCTTCAGTTAATAGCTAATCTTTCCAGACTATATAAAGGATTTCCTTTATTATTTAGGAAGAGGAAAACATTATTTTTAAAGAAATAAAATAAAATAAAAATGGTTGTTTTTAATGCTGATAAAAGGATTGTGGTCAAATCTGCAAACAGCTTCCTTTTTCTTTTATTTGACCTCACTGCAGGCCTGCTTGGTGTGAAGTCCAGGTTGGAGGGATGCTTGCTGGTTTTTCCAGCTCATTTAACTCCAAGAGCATCGGTCTTTGTTGAGGGTGAGACCTTGACAGTTATCCGTTTTGACTCTAACAGGGAGGACTTGTCCCTGTTCAATCTGTTCTGATCTCCTGTCTCCATTGTTAATATCAGCTCACATCCAGAAGGGACCTAGGTTGAGAGGTGTTCCTGGTGACCCGGCCACTGCCCCCAGGCATGTCTCATCATGCCACAAGGACACAGTGTTGCCTCCTACACACCGACAGTATGCCTTCAAATCTTGCAAGCTCTGTAATTAGGAGCTTCGTTAAACGTGGAAGGATCACTCATTTCTGCCCATTTCCTGGCTTTCAGGGAGGACCCAGTCATGCTCATCAGTACTCTATAAAACGCCGGGCAGAGATGGTTTGTTTTTTATTTTCGTGTAAGGAGATGGGTTGTTTGTTTGTTGTGGGGGCAGGAGCCTGAAGCTTTTTGTTGTGTTTTACTTTGTTTTGTTTTTTGATGGGGGATTTCTAAAAGTAAGGATACAAAAAGATTACTATGACACAATTTACAAAATTATAATAGCATATGGACACATTGTTGGTGACCTACTCACACTGTAGAAGAGGCCAATGCAAGTGAGTGGCCTTGAAATATAAGTTTCCTTAACTTCATGGTAAAGCCACTTAAAAAAATAACTTTATTTTTAAAGAACAGTTTTAGGTTCACAGCAACACCAAACGGAAGGTACGGAGATTCCCCAAACACCCCCTGCCCTCCCACGGGTACAGCCTCCCCCAGCAGAGTGGTGCACCTATTACAGTGGATGAGGGGACAAGGTGACACAGCATCACCCAAGGCCAGAGTTGACACAAGCGTTCACTCTTGGTACTGTACATTCTATAAGGACTTATAGTGACTTTAGAATATGGTTTTATGAGTGTGTTGCCATTCTTTATTTATCACCAATGCCAAATGCAGATGCTGACATCTCAAGTTAGTCAGCCCGAGGGCCCCATCCTAATGTTAAATTCCATCATCACCCCAAGGACCCCGGAATGCAGGAGCCCACCCAGGGGTCCCAGGTGCCTTTCCAACCACCACCCCTTCCTTATCCCTCCCCAGGGCACAGTGTGTCAGCTCCTGGGCATTTTTCTATGGAGCAGGTAAAATAGAATGATCTCCTCCTATGCCCAAGAGAAGTGGTTTTAACAGGGGACCCACTCCCCGACCTGGTCTCTGTCATTGTCCTTTTCGGAAACGGGACCATCCGTGGCTGTTTACATCCCCTTCTGCAGCCCCTCCTCCACTTGACTGAGCAGCCCCGCTGGGGAGAGACCCAAGTACAGCATCCAGTCAGAGTGCCCTGAGGGCTGGGGAGCGCCTGAGCTGTGGGTACTCACTGCAGCCCCCTGGGGTTACCTCTCCAGGCCTCAGGCGGCCCAGCGGGAAGCTGCTTCCACCCCGGCTTCCTCACTATTGCTCGGCCTCCAGTTCCCAGGACGCTGAGCTTGCCCCACTTCCCCTTGTGATTCCAGGTTTTTGTGGATTTCTGCTTGTTGCTTTCTACCTCCCAAAGGAATACTGTTCTGTTGCCCTGGCTCTTCAAGTCTGTGTTCTCTTGAAGGGGCCTCCATTCTAGGGAGGAGGGTAGAACTGCATGTCCCTTCCCTCCTCTTTCAGTGCGACGCTGATGGAGTTGCGCAGTGAGTGGACACCGAGCCTAAGTATTTTAGAACCATGTTAAATGGCCGAACTGTTATGGACAGATGAAGACGCAGGCACGTGGTCAGGCGATGGGGAAGGGAGCATGCACCACTGGCTCCCCAGCCTGCTTGGCTGTGCCTGCTGGGTCCCGTTCGTGAAGCCCGTGCCTTCGACTCTGCAGGCACGGGGCTTTCCCCAGGCTGGGCCCGTAGGCCTCTGGCTTTTCCTACGTCAGATATTTACTTTTTCATTTGTAACACACTCAACAAATATTTCTGTTTCTGCCTCATTCTGGTCTCTGGGGGTATCATGGTGAGAAAAAAGGCTGTGGTCTCTGCTTTTCAGAGCTGGTGGGTCCTGTTGGGGATGTGAGTCAATGTGAGCTGCAGGAGAGGAGACCCCTCATTTGGTGACTTGCCCAGGTTGCACAGTGAGTGGGTTAGTAGCTGGGAGGGAGGTTCATCCAAGGGCCTGCCTGATGGCAAAGCCCGCGTCCTCATCTCTCCTCTAGAACCACGTGATCAAACTGTAATGCTGGCCCCAAAAAATCAAAGGGGAAGAGAATGTCACTTCCACAGGCAAAAGGTGACAATGGAAGTCCCCCAAACGGAAGTCTGAACACCTTGAATCAGCTCTGGGGGAATGAAATCCAGACTTGGGCCTGGCGTGGAGGGATGCCTGCTGAGGGAGAGGAGAGCCAGGGATGGGCTCAGAGAGAATTTTGTCCTATGAAGAGGCGCTCACAGCACCCAGGTGGGAGAGATCTGCAGCTCGGGCTTAGGGTGGGCAGGTGGGCTCTGAGGCCCCCACCCTCAGGCTTGAATGGAGACTCGGCCGGCATAAGTGGTCTGCTCCTACCCAGGGGCGCAGAGAGAACAGGCCGCCCTTTCCCAAACTGTGTGTGCTTTTCCCAGGGGCCATTGTTCCTGGTTGCCAGGAAACCGCGGCCTTCAGGTGTCACCCGGGAGACTGGGGCCTGGGTATTTGGGTTTAGGTCAGGCACAATAACGCCTGTAGAATGAGATGGCGTCCCCAAGACCTCCTCAGTCATTTGTCACGCAACTGTGGCTGTGACTGTGGGGACACAAAGGCTGTGGGAGGAGGTGGGTGGCACAGGATGGGGTGAGCTAATGATCTCCCACCCAGAGCAGAGCAAACACACCTCTTTGGGGAGAGGAAGTGAGGCCGCCCCAGCCTCTTGAGATGGCAGAAGACCTGCAAGGAATCTGACCGAGGTTCAGGGCTGCCCGCTGGGAGGTGGGGGCTCACCAGCCCTCAGGCCTGATAGCGCCCTAGGAAACACACAGCACCTTTAGTGGGGTGTCTGCTAGATAGCCCAGCAGCACAGTCATAGCAAAGAAACAATCCAAATCCAATAGCAAGGGTATACGGCTGTCCAGAAATGATGGCAAATCAGAGTGACCCAGGGGACAAGACGGTGAGCCAGGGGATACAGGACCTGGGGGTGGTGCTGGAGTGAGTTTTTAGCAGGCCTATGAAACATCCAGATCCTTCCCTCCCCAAACCCTTCAGCACAGCTTCTCATGAATGTGATTCCAAGCAAATAGAAGGAGATGGATGATATGTCATTATATGTAATCTACTTGCAAAATAGTCCTCGTTTCACTTTTATTTTATTAAAAAAATTTAAATTGTGGTGAAATACACATAACATAAAATTTACCATCATAATGATTTTTCAGTGTACTGTTCAGTAATGTTAAGTTCGCATCGTTGTGGACCCGATCTCCAGAACATTTTGACTTCATAAAACTGAAACTCTATTGCCATTAAATGACAACTCCCATTGCCCCACCTGCCAGTCCCTGGCAGCCACCATTCTACTTTCTGTCTCTATAAATTTGACAGCTCCAGGTACCTCATAGAAGTGGAATCATCCAGTGTTTGTCTTAAAAAGAAATTCTTTAAAAAATATTAGAGATGGGGTCTCCCTATGTTGCCCAGGCTGGTTTCACACTCCTGGGCTCAAGCCATCTTCCCACCTTGGCCTCCCAAAGGCTGGGATTATAGGTGTGAGCCACCGCGCCTGGCCCAGTGTGTATCTTTTTATGACTGGCTTATTTCACTTAGCGTAATGTCCTCAAGGCTCATCCCTGTTGTAGCATGTGTCAGGATTTCCTTTTTTTTTAAGCTGAATAATATTCCATTGTCTGTACACATTTTGTTCATCCATTCAACTGTGGATGGACGCTGGGGTGGCTCCCACTCTCTGGCTCTTGTGATAAAGCTGCCATGAGCATGCAACTTCCCAATTTCCAGGCTCACCTGAATTTACTTTATGACTGGGGGACGTTAGCTGGTGACTGTTTTCATCTAAACCTCAGGAGGGCCTGCCTTGGACGTGGGGCCGCCAGTGATCCATTTCATGCCCTCCAAAGATGTTCATCTTTGGCTGTTCCCTTCTGCCTGACAATGTAGGCTGTAGCTGTGCTCCCTCTTGTGAAGAAGGCCTCCATCCAGGCAGGGAAGGGGATGGGTTAGGAGCCAGGAGTGCTGGCCCCACCGGCCCTGGAGATTGAGGCAGGTCTACAAGGTATAATATCTCAGAGGCACAGGAAACTCCAGCGTCCTGGCACATGTGCAGGGCGCCTAGTAGTAACTGGACCCTCCAAAGGTGGGGGAATACACAATGAAAAATGGGGGTGGCTGACCCCTGGAAATGCTGGGGCCCTTGGCATTTTAGATTCTGTCAGAGTTTAGGGACAGGGCCCAGGGCTCAGAAGAGGGTGGTGGCAATGGGCTGATGACTGGGTTGGCAACCTGGGATGGGAGCCAAGGTGGCAATCAGCTGGACAACTTGGGTACCAGGTCTTGGCCATTGGACTGTGGACAGGCACCTGTTGCATGGGGGCAGTTCTGAAGGTGGTTTGAGGCTCAGGGAACCAAGAGGACTCTCAGACATCGGAGCTGGGAAGGGTCACCGTGGGAAAGAATGAGTGCTGCAATCCTAAAATCTGTCACCTGGTGGGGAGGGGAGAGACTGAGATTGAAGGGGAACCTCAAGTTGGCTTTGTCTGGGACCCTGGGTTACCTGAGCCTGCAGAGGGGCCAGACTGAAGCCTGCAGGGGCCAGGGTCTGGGAAGACAAAGGAGGAGGCTGTGGCTGGCAGAGGGGCACCTCAGTTTGCAGTGCCTAGAACCTGAACCTTGAAGGCAGGGTTCTGCAGGAGTTTGGACACCCCAGGGGTCCAGGGCAGTGAGCCTGGGGCATGCAGCCACAGGGCTTCAATGGGGCATCGTCCCGGAGCTTCATTTCTACTTTAAACATTTGGGGGATGGACAGTTAGCTGATTAAAAACAGTTCTACATATTTCACTTATACAGCTGTTAAAGGAGTGGACTTGGGGGCCGGGCTGGGTTCCAAGCCCAGCTCTGCCACATGGGCACGTTGCCTAACCTCTTTCTGCTTTAGTGTTCTCATTGGCAGCATGCGGATACTTAGTCCCCACGCATAGGCTGGGTTTAGCAAATGCAGTGATACACACAAAGAGCTCCGCACGGTGCCTGAAACTTGGCATGTCTCAGTTTATGTTTGTGGCTGTTATTATCATGACTACCGGAAAACAAATGGGGCATTAAGTAGTAAAATGCAGAATTGGCTAGAACATTTAAGATAAAACAAGAGACCTTCAGGAAGTTCTGTGCTTGGGGCAGCTGGGCTCCGGTCCTCTGCCTTTAAGGTGGTGGAGCCATTTGGGAAACCTCACAGCCTCCAGAGGGTGGAACTCACATCTGCTGTTCACAGGGGTCTCTAGGGCCTGGCTGGTAGCGGGGTGTCAATACGTGCTTGTGAATGCGGTGAGTGTGTTGTTGGCCATACCCAGCATGGCTGGCAGAGGCATGGGCCTGTGTGCCTGTAGTACTCCTGGTCACTCCCCACCCTTGGTCCAGGGCTGGGTGGGCGCAGCCTGAAGAAAGGCCTTATTTGTGGCTTCACATCCACCAGAGGCTGTCAGCGCCCAGGCGAATTTGTTTGAATTAGCTGCTTCAATGGGCCTGTTTTTGATGACAGTGTGTGTGGTGAGAGATGCCGGCAGAATTTTAAAGGGCATTAGAGGCGTCCCATGGGCCCTGGATGGACAGCTGTGCAGGAAGGGGAAGGCTGTTTCTGGCCTGTGTGGCTCTTTAGGGCAGAAGGAAGTGCCCTCCTTTGGTGCCGACTGACAGGGAAGGGCGGGATCACACTGTCCACAATGCCCTTGCTCGGCCTGCTCCATGCTGTCGGTCTCACCTGGCAGGGTGTGCTTGGGCCCCACAGGCTCTGTTCTATGTCCTGGCCACCACAGTTTCATGACCAAGATTGAGAATGTCCATGTGGCCGAGGTCCTGCCCACTCAGGGAACCGTGGACTCTTTAGGGGTCCAGATCACAGAGCATGTTCCCTGAGAAAATCTAGGGAAGAAGAAAGGAGGACAGACATGTTCGCAGACATTCAGACCATGGACCGAATGGCAACCCCCTCCCCCATCAAAAACAATAGCGGTGCTGGTGTGGTGTTTTTATGCGCCTCGTGATGTTCTAAATGCTTAACACATATTAGCTCATTTAATCCTCCCAGTAGCCCTACGAAGTATAAGTGCAGCTATCCTTATTTTACAGATGGGGAAACTGAGGCACAGAGAGGTTAAGTAACTTGCTCAGTATCACACACTTAGAAAGAAGAAGAGCCAGGACTTGAACCTAGGCAGTCAGGCTCCAGAGTCCAGCCCCTGGCAATCACCATTCTACTTTCTGTTTCCGTGAATTTGACCGTGCTGGGTACCTTGGATAAGTGAGATCATACAATATTTGTCCTTTTGCGACTGGCTTATTTCACGAGGCATAATGTCATCAAGTTTCATCCACATTGTGGCATATGTCAGAATGTCCTTCCTTTTTAAGGCTGAATAATATTCCACATTAAATACCACGTTTGTTATCCATTTATCCGTGGATGAACACTGAGGCTGCTTCCACCTTTTGGCTGTTGTGAATAATACTTCCATGAATGAAGGCGTACAAGTATCTGTTTGAGTCCCTGTACATTCCTCTTCGGTATGTACCCAGAAGTGGAATTGCTGGATCATGTGGTGATTCTATGTTTAATTTTTGAGAAATCACCATACCAGCTAGACTTTTTAATACCAGTAAATCCCTGTATCTGAGCACATGCTTGATTTAGGATTTAGAAATTTTGTTCATCAGCCCACTCAGGGTGCTGTCCCAAACCTCCCCTTTCCCTGAACTTGGCTCCTGTTCCTGGCGGCGGAGAGGCTGCCCTGCCAGAAGAGGTCGTTTCCTTCTGTTTTCCCTCTTCTCTTTGCCTTCACCCACTTTGAGATCTAGGAGCAATGCCAGGGCCTGAGAACCGGGTGAGTAGTTGTGGGTTTTGTGGAGAGGGACCGCCTTGTTCTTGAGAGAGCGTCTGGCTGGGGGCAGGAAGGGGGCTGAGTGTGTGTTGGCTGTGAAGGCTCCATCAGCAGCAAACGTGGGTGGGGTTGGGGGAACAGGGCTGTGTCCACATTGTTTTCACTCCATGCCCGGTACCCGATGGTGAGGTGCTCAGGACCTGTGGGCAGGATGAGGGAGTGAAGACAGCAGAGCTGGGGCTGTGGAGTACTAGTCGAGGATGCCCGCTTGGAAGGCTGGTGAGATGGGCCACGGGTCCTCCCAGGGCAGGGGAGGGAAGGTATGGCGGAGCAGCATGGAAATGACCCTCTCTCCCCTGGTTCAGGCCATTCTGCAGTTTCGATTCCTCATCTTAGAATAAGGAGTTGCGCTAGATGCTCTAGCTGCAACAGTCCACGTCTAGTAACAGTGAACATTTGTGGGTCCTAACTGAGATCAGGCACTGTGATGGGTACTTTACATGGGTTACTGAACTTAATCCTCACAACACACTATGAGGAACTTATATTAGCTTCTTTTTTTTTTTTTTTTGAGACACAGTCCTGCTGTCAGTGGCATGACCTCAGCTCACTGCAACCTCTGCCCCAGAGGTTCAAGTGATTCTCTTGCCTCAGCCTCCCAAGTAGCTGGGATTACAGGCACACATCACCACACCCGACTAATTTTTGTATTTTTAGTAGAGACGGGGTTTCGCTATGTTGCTCAGGCTGGTCTCGAACTCCTGACCTCACGTGATCCGCCCACCTAGGTCTCCCAAAGTGTTGGGATAACAGACGTGAGCCACCGCACCCGGCCATATTAGCTTCTTTAACGTAAGTGAAAACTGAGGCACAGGGAGGTTGTGCAATTTCCCCAGGGACACAGAGCAGGAAGCAGAGAAGCTGGGACTGAATGGATTCAGTCCGAGCCTCACTTTGGATTTGCTCCTCTACCACACTGCACTTTACAAAATAAAATAGCTAACTTTTCTTTCCTAAGATTTTTTTTTGTCTTAGTTTTCCAGGGCAGATATTTAAGGAACACGGAAGGAATGGGGCTTATTGCTTGTTCTGCGGCCGGAAGGCTGGAGGGCCTGAACATCATTGAGTATGATCCTAAGTGAGATCTTTTCTCCCTCCGGCAGGATCTGGTGGAGGCCGGAATTCATCACAGCAAACACATCCTCTCCTTTCCTCTTCATCTTGCTCTTGCACAAACAAGAAACCTCAGTCACGATTCCAGCTGGGCATCCTCTGTCTCTTAGCAACCACTGCCAGCCCAGGCTTTGGGTTCTGGGCTCCAGGCATGCCTTTCTTTGCTGCAATACTTTCTGTGGATCCTGCACACACAATGCAGGTTGTGGGCATCAGGGCAGGAGGGGCCTGTTAAACTCCTGCTCCCAGAGCCCGAGGGAGGTGGGGAAGACCCATTCTGGGAAGTTAACTTTGTGGGAGTGAGCTGGTGGGGTGTCTCCTGGTGGACGTTCACAGCTCTTTGCTGAAGAGGAGTGGGATTTGGGGAGAGTGTGAGCATGCACACGTGCGCTTCTAGCCACGGTGGGGGCATCGTGCCAGGAGACAGATGAACACTCCTGCTTGTCCTGCTGGGCCCATCTTTATGATTACCCACATTTGTTCAAAAGGTTTGTGTCTCAAATGTGATGAAGAGCCCCCTGGGACTCCCTGGCTCAGGCTTGCAGGGAAGGGGAGGGACAGGGCCCTGGGACTGTAGAGTTCTGGTGAGAGGAAGCAGCGTGGATGGAGGAGGGGAGAAGAGGGCCAGGGCTGAGGCCAGCCTCACTTACAAGAGGCAGAGGGGCCGAGGAAGGGCGGGAAGAAGGCGTCAATGCAAGGCCCGAGAGCAGGGGGCTCGGTGGTGCATTTGTTCCCTGACCCTGCATGGTGGGTTCCCAGGGGCTTCTTGGAGGCCAGTGTGGGAGCTGGGTCTGTTCTGAGTGGCTGCTTGTCAATTCATGAAAAAGCTTTGCCTCTGGGTTTTCTACCTCTCCTCCCCAAAGAATCATTGCTTTAATCATATATGAACTGGAAAGAACCTGAGAGAGGTTCTAATTCACATCCTGTCTTTGCAGATGAGGACAGTGAGGCCCGAAGAGGTGGCAGGAGTTCCCTGGAGTCATAGCTGGGTGGGAGCAGAGCTGGGAGCCGCCCCAAGGCTGCTGGTTTCTCCGCTGTGCTTTCTTACTTTGCTGGAGTCCTCCCTGCACACTGGTTGGTGCTGAAGCCACCATGTGACTACGCATGATCCCTGAAGCTCTAGTGAGTGTTTCTTCGTAGAGTGGAACTTGCACACATAGAGGTGAGGTCTTGGAGGCTGTTTGGCTCATCTCTGTGCCCAGAGGACGTGGTTCCTGATGAGGTCCTTGCTAGTCAGGCTGCTTCTGCACATCTTGAGTGACCCGGCACTGTTCAGGAGAGATCCTGAGTTCATTTCCTAAGGAGGGAGTGAGCTGTGTCTTCCTTGCATCTGGTAGGTACTGCATAGACATTGTCCTAACTTAACGGACAGCATAGGGCTGGAAGAGCCCTTTTCTCTTTTAAGCTATAAGGCTTGGCTGATGAGTCTGATTGGTTTGGATACTTTACAGAAATGTCAGACTGGAAACCAACTTCAAAACCTTTTTTTTTTTTTTGAGACGGAGTCTCGCTCTGTCGCCCAGGCTGGAGTGCAATGGCGTGATCTCGGCTCACTGCAAACTCTGCCTCCCAGGTTCACGCCATTCTCCTGCCTCAGTAGCTGGGATTACAGGCGCCCGCCACCATGCCCGGCTAATTTTTTTTGTTTTTTTTTTAGTAGAGACGGGGTTTCACCATGTTAGCCAGGATGGTCTCGATCTCCTGCCCTTGTGATCCACCCGCCTCAGCCTCCCAAAGTGCTGGGATTACAGGCATGAGCCACCGTGCCCAGCCTTCAAAACCTTTAAAGCCTGAGAATGGCGTAGATGGGAGGAGTGTTTGGCCGTATGTTGTATCTGGAAAAAGGTGAATTCTGTGCATGCTCAGGGAGATGAGAAGGGCAGGAAGTGCCAGGCGAGGGTCACAGGTCTTGGCTTGAGCCTTGGCTCTGTCTCTTGTTGCTGTGAGTCTTGAGCAAGTCACACCCATACATGGGACTGAGGGGCTTCCTCTGGAAAGTTCTTCCAGATCTAACAGCCTGTGAGCTCTCAGGACCTGCCCGAGACCAGCCACTCATTCATGTATTCCACAAATGTTTGCTGAGTGCCCAGCTAGGCATCAGTGAGGTTGGGGAATGCCTCCTGCCCCAGCTGTAAGGTGGAGCTTATGGGCTGGTGTTGGAATCTGTCAGTCAACAAGAAAACCCTTGTGCATCCCTCAGACCTGCTCTTTGAGAGCCAGTCTCTGGTCTTGAAGTTGGTTCATCAGGTAAAATGTATCAGTGAAGAAGTCTGGTTCCTGGGAAGCAAGGTGGTGATGAGTCTTTAAAAGCCTCATCTCCACCATCCTGAACCTCTCAGGAAAAGGCCATTTTGGACTCTGCCACTTTTGGTGGCTCCTGAAACTCCTCTGGGGATGAATGTGGTGTGTTACTCTAAAAAGCAGTGGGCGCTGCATCCGATTCATTGTTCACCCCGTGGGGTCTTCGTCTCTAAGAGACACCCATGTCCCACGTGTCCCATGTGCACGTTCACGTCTGTTACAGTTTATAGCCCTCTCTCATATCAGCTACATCAAATGTTCACACAACCAAGGTGCTTTCTGTGTAAGCGAAACAGAACCTTCACATCGGAAAGTTATTAAAAATCTAATACCTAGTTTAAAAAATTAAATAAGACGGAGACATATAAAATGAAAATAAGTCTCTGTCCTATTCCAGATCTCGACGTCCCCTTCCCAGAGACAGCTACTAAAATAGCTTCATGTGGAGGCTTCCTGAAATGTTCTCTGCATATGAAAACACAGATATTCTCTCTCTCTTTCTTCAGAATGGGAGCTTACCTGTTTATTTTCCTCCTGTAGAGCTAAGAGACCACTGTATATCAGCACATATACAGCTGGTGTTCCTGTTCTTAGCACCACAGACTCAGACTCTTGTTTTTTTTGTTTTTTTTTGTTTTTGTTTTGAGACAGTCTCACTCTGTCGCCCAGGCTGGAGCTCAGTGGTGCGATCTCAGCTCACCGAAACCTCTGCCTCCTGGTTTCAAATGATTCTCCTTCCTCAGCCTCCCGAGTAGCTGGGATTACAGGCATGCACCACCAAGCCCATCTAATTTTTGTATTTTCAGTAGAGACAGGGTTTCGCTATGTTGGCCAGGCTGGTCTCTAACTCCTGACCTCAGGTGATCCGCCCGCCTCAGCCTCCCAAAGTGCTGGGATTACAGGCATGAGCCACTGCGCCCGGCCTACTTTTTTTTTTTTTTTTTTTTGACACAGGGTCTCGCTTTGTCACCCAGGCTGGAGTGCAGTGGTGTGATCTTGGCTCACTGTAACCTCCTCCTCCTGAGCTCAAGCGATTCTCCCATCTCAGCCTCCTGAGTAGGGTACCACAGGCGTGCACCACCAGGCCTGGCTAATTTTTGTATTTTTTGTACAGACAGGATTTCTGCCATGTTGCCCAGGCTCACACAGTCTTATTATGTGTATTTCATGGAGGGACATTACATTGTTTTCAGTCTTATAAACATTGTTACAAGGAAACGTCCTTGTTTGTCTGACTCTGTGTTCTCATATGGCAAGATCAGTAGGACCCACTCCTAGAAATGGAGGTGGTAAGTCAAAGAAAAGATGCATTTTACATTATGATGCCTATTGCCTAGTTGCTGTTTAGAAAAGCTGTTCCATCTTCACAGTATACAAGAAGCTCTGTTTCTCCACACCTCCAGTATTGAACATTCTTGACATTTTTCACTTTGCCAGTTTGATGGGCTGAAATACATCTTGTTTTAACTTGTATTTATTTAATTATGAGTGTGGTTAAGCATCCCATTTTAATGCTTTTAAGGCCATTTGTGTTCCTTTTCTGTTAAACTACCTGTTTGAATCCTTTGCCTATTTCTCTATTCCATCTTCATTTTATTAAGAGTACACTGAAGCTCAGAAAGGTTAAGCAACGTACGTTGGGTCGCACAGCGGGTAAGTGGCAGAGCTGAGACTAGAACCTAATTTTCCCTCTCCTGGTTTAGTGATTCTTCTAATGTCCATGCTGCTTCTCTGTCCAAGGGCTGGACTAGGTATACCTAGTGCTCCTGGGTGGGGAAGGGACCCCATTCTGTGTATTCCCAAGGGTCCCATTGGCCCTGAGTGGAACATGGGGGTACCTTCAAGACTGTCTGCAAAGCTCAGCCCTCTCAGGCTGGAATTGATTCTTAAAGTGCTTCTAAGTCTTGTCTCCCCCTGGGAAGCCGGGTGCGCACCCCAGTGTACATTTGCTCCTAGGTGGTTAGAGGTTTACCCTGCAGCCTCCGCAGAGGAGATCCAGCTGGCATTATTGTTTGTACCCATGAATTATTGATAAGGCATGAAATGGCCTCAACCTTGGAATAGCAAAGCTCGAGGGAGGGCAGCTACCGTGCTGAGGAGGAGCATGGAGCTGACAGACCCCCCTCCCTGGGGCCCAACCTTCTCTGGGCTAAAGAACACTTTTGAATGTCCAAAGGCTTCATAGTCTTCCTCTCCCCTGCCCTGCCAGGTTTTGGTTGGATTTTGAGCATGTGTCATTTAAGAAAATGTGCAGGGACAAGAGCTACCTTGAATTTCCTACCATTTTTCATATTTAGATTGTTTAAAAATTTATAAGGTTATGCATACTCATGATAAAATTCAAATATCCCAGAGCTGTATCATGCAGAAAGTGAACTCCTGTGTGGTCTCACCCCCGAGGCTTCCGCTGCATAATGCTGTTAAGTGGGTTTGTTTTTCACTCATCCCCTGAGCCTACATACATGTGAAGAGAGTACTGTTTATTCAGGCAACACTGTCTGATGGAGGGATTTGAGGACTCCTTGGAACACATCCTACTCCACGTGATGGCTGGTCCCTCTGCTTGAGAGCTGAGGCTTTGTGGCTTTGCCGTGGACCCTTGTTCTTGTGTTTCAGTTGCCAGCTGTTGAATCTTGTGACTGGGTCACTGCACTATGTTTCTACTCTGTCTCCAGTTTTTTTTTTTTTTTTCAGACAGAGTCTCACCCTGTCGCCTAGGCTGGAGTGCAGTGATGCAATCTGAGCTCACTGCAACCTCCGCCTCCGAGGTTCAAGTGATTCTCCTGCCTCAGCCTCTCGAGTAGCTGGGATTACAGGCGCCTGCCACCATGCCCAGCTAATTTTTGTATTTTTAGTAGAGACGGTGTTTTGACATGTTGGCCAGGCTGGTCTCAAAGTGATCTTGACCTCAAGTGATCCACCTGCCTCAGCCTCCCAAAGTGCTGGGATTACAGGCTTGAGCCACTGTCTCCAAATTTGCCTGTCTCCAAATTTGCCTAGCATTGGGCTTGTTCTGAAATTGTTTGAGGACGGTTCAGACATTCTGGAGGAAAGGAATGGCCCAGTCTCCCCATGCATAGCATTATTTGCCAAATGAAGGGAGGTTGCTCTACTTCTTCTCTTGCTAGATGGCTTACAATTTTACATTCCACAGGAATTTTGAAGGAATCTATTGTTTTGCAAAACTGTGGCGTGCTGATAAAAGGTGTCAGATTTTTAGGGAAAAGCTACTTGACATGTGTGACTTTTTGGCAATCCCTTTAGGGAAGGCCGGGCATTGACTTCAGAAGATCACGTCTTTGGGAAGAGCATGACAAGATCTGTGACGTGCGGCAACTGTCACTGCAGTTCCCTAAGCCTCAGTTTCTTCATCTGTAAAGTGGGGATGGTAATAGCATCTCTGTTTTGGGGATATTGGTTGGGTTCTTTGAAGGGTGTTTGAAGGCCCCCTGTGCAGGGCTGGCCTCCACAAACATTAGCCCCTTTTCCTTCCTGGATAAATGACATCTGTTGATGAGGACAAGTTGAGGGGCCTGGAGATGCTGGAGGGGATGAGCCTCAAGGTAGAGACAGGTGAAATAGACAGGTGAAATATAGAGCTGCTGAGCAGGTGAGGCACAAACTTGGAGTCTGTCTGAAGAACTCAGAGAAGAAGCA
Source organism: Homo sapiens (assembly GCF_000001405.40). Classification (NCBI taxonomy): domain Eukaryota; kingdom Metazoa; phylum Chordata; class Mammalia; order Primates; family Hominidae; genus Homo; species Homo sapiens. Next base: position 97,122,823 of record NC_000010.11, on the reverse strand, counting down.
GCTCTAGGACGGACTTTCTAAGCCAGATCTAGTTTGCTGGCACTGGCAAGCAGCTTCTGGACAAGGAGCTCCCAGGAAGCATCACTGGCATTTGGCAAACATTTGTTGAATGAATACAAGGGCTGCCCTGATGCTCTCTGAGCTCCTCTCAGATGTGCCTTCCTCACACTCCACTCTGGGCTTGTACACATTGTTCTCTTGGCCCGGAGTATGTACCTCCCTGGACAGATGCACATGCACTTGTGTAACACACTCACACACACTCACATACACATCATCCAGGCCATGTCTGTCATCCTCCGGGTCTCAGCTGAAACACCACTTACCCAGCAAGGCTTCCCTCCTCACCTCGTGGGCTGGATGGGGTTCCTCTGCCACCTGCTCTCGACACCGTGGCTTCACCTTTTCGTAACAGGAGTCTGTTTCCCTTGGAGAGCTGGGGTGCACATCTGTGTTCCCTGTGTCTGCAATACCCAGCATGGCCCTTGCTATCTATTAGATATTCAGTAAATGTTTGTTGAATGAATGAGGCAAGAATCATCTTCCCTTCTGATTATTGTTTACTTGAAAACAGGGTTTCAGTTGCCTACAATGGAGTTGTGGGAACCTGTTGGTACTCATCTCAAGACATGGGAGACCCCATCTTCCATGTTGCTGGAATCCTTATCTCTGTAGCAGCCTCCCTCTCAGAAATGTAGTTGGCTCTGTCCTCACGAGGGAGCTGGAGAAGTAGACACTGGAGTCAGAATGTCTGGCTTCAAGTCGAGGTTCTGTAACTTACTAACTGGATGACTGCGGGCAGTGGCTCAATCTTTCTACACCTTGTTCTCCCATCTGTAAAATGTGTTTGTTAATTCCTGTGTTACTTGCCTGATAAGATTTTATGGATTAAATGAGATAATCCAGGAATATATTATAGCAATGATCAGGTAGCGCGTGCTCAATAAGTAGAATTTGTTCTTGCCGTTAAGCCATATGTGTCCATCCTGTCAAGAATGTGGCATCGGTAAAGCAATGGGGTTGAGCGGGACTATAGCTGATGAGGCAGGAATGGGCAGATGAAATGGAGCCAAGGTAAGAACTACACGTCTGAGAGGTCCTGCAGAGGAAGGCAGGAGGGAAATTGGATGTAGCAAGAAGGCAAGGGGTGGGCTTGCAGAATCACGCTGCACTTAGCCCGAGGGTTTTCTGGTGTGTGATTAGGACTTGGGTTCGGATCTTGGCTCCGCTACTTGACATGATGCATTATTTTGGGTGAGTTACTTCATCTCTCTGAGCCTCAGTTTCCTAATCTGTAAATAGGTTAATAATGGTGACCTCGCAGAATTACTGAAGGCTTAAATAAGAGACTGTATGAACGGCACTTCCACAGGCCCTGGTGCATAGTCGGGGTGCATTTGTGTTTAAGAAGGGAAAGCTGGTGGGGCTCTGCACATGTTTGAAGGGATGGCAGCTCTAAGAGCAGAGTAGACAGATCAGCTCGTCCTGGTGAGAGATTTCCCAAGTCTGCAGAAGGGAGGGGGTAAGCCGACTGCCTTCAGCGTGGCTTCTCAGGGTGACACCACTTATTGTGTAATTATGGAACAATGTGCATAAAAGTGAAAATGTGGGTCCAGATGGCAGGCCTTCCATGCTGTTGAGAGGCAGAGCTAATGAACTTAACAAATCACTGATAATTAATTTTCAGAAGCCAAAGGAAACTGGGGAGCAATGAATAGGTCTACAGAAGGAGAGAATGCAAAGTAGTGCCAACTGTCAGCCTGGAGAGAGGTGTGAGATGCTGGCACTTCCAGGCCAGGGAGACCGTCTTGACATCTAATAGTTTTGGTGGGACAGAACCGGGAGAGAGAAGGCGGTCCAGGTAATATAGTAATAGTCATGACAATATTAGCCAAGCTTGAATGAACCCTTCTATGTGGCAGGAACCATTGTAAGCATTTTATTTGGATCGGCTCTCATTTCAGGCAGCTTCTCCCGTAGGGTAGGGAGAGAGAGTCAGAGTCCAGTGGGTGATAGGGGCCTTTGTCTTACTACCATGGAGCAATGAGGCAAAGTGATGAGAATAGCTAATATTTACTGAGCACTTGCTGTGTGCCAAGCACTGTGCTGAACTCTTCCGGAGGTGTCGGCCGCTTAGCATCATCAACATCCTAGGAGGAGGCACAGAGAGGGTGGGTGACTTAGCCTGCACCCTCAGCAGGATGCAAAGCCTGTGAAAATGTGGAGCCAGGAAGGACTGCGCCGCCGCTCAGAGCCGCCCGTGCACACGGTGTGAAGCAGCATTGCGAGTCAGGAAACTGCGTTTCGGCTCCAGTACCCCGACACAAGTCCTTGAGCCTGCCCGGAGTTTTGTTTCTTTAACTGTGAAATGGGAGCAGTGGATTTGAATCAGGAGGACACACACTTTTCAGACAACAGTCCTGTGTATTCAAGTAAATCTCACAGGGCACCGGAGATGTAAAGCAGACATTGGAAAGGAGGGTGGGGTCTGCTCACTTGCGGCCCCTCCTTTCTCACAGAGCCCCAAAGCCATTTGGGTCTCATTTGGGCAGCTGGGGATGAGCTCAGCAGTCACAGGGAAGTGGCTGTGGGGAGCGGGCCTGGCACACTGTCTTCTTGCCCAACCCTGGGCTGAATCTGACCCTGCACCTTACTAGCTGTGCAGTCCTAGGCAACTAGTTTAACCTCTCTGAGTCCTGTTTTGCTAAACTGTAAAATGGAGCTAAAACTTCTTTGGGTATTCATAAGGATTAAATGTCATAATGTTGTAAAACTCTTAGCTCTATGGATGGTGCCCAATAAAGGCTCAACTAGAAGGTAACTGACAGATAAATGTTTGTTAAATGGATAAGTACTTTTGAATCTATATACATATACATATATATATATATATATATATATATATATATACCCCTTTGGAAAAAAAATATGTATTTCCTCCTAAACTTTCAAGACTAAGTGAGGAAGAATTGGAAGCCCCAGGAAGATGGGCCAATCTGCCAACATTGGGCATATTTGCTCCAGGTGAGAACGAAGGGACTGATCTAGCTGATGGGGTGAAATGTTTGAGTCCCTTTGTCTTCCTCGCTGGCTGCCAACACAGAGTGGGCGTCCACCGGGACCCTCCCCACCGCTGCTGAGCCACCTCCTGCCTGTCTCTGGGGGTCAGATGCAAAGCCAGGGAGGATGGGTGAACCCAAGGCGCCGTCTCCTGAGTCCTCCCAGACCCTCCCGATGACCTCCTCGCACCGCCCCGTCGCAACCCACCTTCTGTTCACGGCCCATCAGCTGGCTTTCTCCCTGACTGCGCTCGGATTTGAGCCATTGTGAATTCATGTTTCCAGATTAATTAGCAAGGCCCCATGTCAGATGCTAACTGGAACCCAGATGTCTGCTTGGTTCCTGCATCAAATCATTTTGTCCCTGTAATTGAAGAACACGGAGGCAGCAGCCAGGCTGGCCAGACCCACTAGCTTCCCCCGCCCCTTTCCATTAAAAGAGAAATAAACCCACTTCCCACCTGGGAGGATCGGGGAAGGGGGATCTGCCCACCATTTCTGTGCCAGCCAATAGGATGGCGATGAGTTGACCCCTGACCTTCCTGTGAGGGTGGGGTTCCCTGAGGAGTTTCCCATGGGTTTACAGGAAGGTAAGAGGGGTGGTGAGGACGGAGAATTCTTCCTAATTTTGACTTTAGCCAGACACCCGTTTCCCAAGCTAGAACACTGCCCCTCCAGGGGAACACAAGAGACCCCAGGCAGTGCCTGCCTGAATGGCCCATCGCTGCTGGGCTGCGTGGAAACTTCCAGCTTCGGGGTCACGTTGTGCATGCCTGAGTGAAACAGACATGTCAGAGCAGGGATGTATTTCCGTTTCTCTCCAAGCCATATGTTGTGCATGTGTGTGTATGCCTTTTGTTTTTTAGCTATAATTTATTGGGCACTTACTATATCCCAGTCGTCATGGCTAACATTTTATATGTACTGTCTCATTTAATCCCCACAGCAATCCTATAAGAGAGGATTCTTTTATCCCCATTTTTTCTGGTGAGGAAATTATGTATAGTTCAGAGAGGTTAAGTAACTTGCCCAAGGTTACGTGGCTAGTGTGTGACAGAGTTGGGTTTGAATCATTCGGTATGTCTTTTAAGTGGAAGCAGCAGTTACAGGAAAGATGAGCCATGTTTCCTTCCCCCTTAATAATGTGTGTTCTCCTGGGCAGAAGAGGTGAGAACAGGTTTGGTCATACCTTCGCCTTTTCTATTGAAGGTCAGAACCTGCGACGGCCATTTTGGAGATAGAGGAGCGCTTTGATGGGTGGCACAGAAGATGCCAAGGGAGGCCAAGAGATGCATGGGCTGGAGTCTGGAGTGTGCCCGAAGCCTGCAGAAAGCCCTTAAAAGTGGGGAGTGGGCTCTAACTCCATGGCTAGGTCAGTGCCCCAAGTCCTGCTGCGCCAAGAAGTGGAGGACAAAGTCCTGAAGGCCCTGAGTTCTTTGGGAAGTTCATGGGCATCCCAAAACTGAGGGTTCAAACCCAGCTCCAGCTTACGCAGCCTGTGACCTCGGGCTGCTCGTGTCACCTTTTTGAGTCTCAATTTCCCCATCAGCAAAATGGGCCTAAAACCTTCTTATACCATATAGTCCTTGTAAAGCTGCACTGAGTATTATGTGATATTCAGGCCCTCAGGAAATGTGAGCGTACTGTGATGGGGCCAGACACCTCAGAACGTCTCAATTTAATAAAGTAGAATCTTAAATAGTAAATGCAAAGATTTGGAATAGCCATGCTCAAACACTAGAGAATGAGGAAGCTGTTTATTAAAAAATGTAGATTTCAGAGCCTTACCCCTGACCTTCTTATTGAGAATCTGAGGCTGGAACCAGAACTCTGCATTTTGACAGATCCCCCTGGGGTTTCTGAAATGTATTCATTGAGCTTTCATTCTGAGACACATTTACAGAACATTCAAATATAAGAGCCGGCAGTGACTTCAGAGGTCTTTTAGGCCCCTCCATTCACAGAGAAGGAACTCAGGTTGTAACTCGGAAATGAGTTGTCCTCAGGGAGAGCCAGAAGTGGATCTTAGTTCACTGATTTTTCAAAATAGTTGCTGGTAACTGAGTGACTTGCATGTGCGTCACTTGCATGGCCCAAGCCTCATGGACTTTTTCAGACTCAGCAACCGAAGAGATTATTTATATACTCTCAAATTCTACCCTTCCAATTTACCCCTGGTACACTGTCACCAGGTGGCAGTAGTATGCTATAGAGCCTCAAGGGTTGTTCCTGGAAATCCACACCCTTGTGGATTTATAACCTTGAATAGTCATATTCCTTTTTTTAGTTGTTAACATGAAGACAAACACCTTTATTATGCTAGCTAAATGCAAGCAAACATCAAGCAAATATCGACATGGAGAGTATGTTTGGAGCAAATTTTCCAAGCAAATAAGTTATTAGAGACAGGAAGCTATCTTTCCTTATAATTATTTAATAGACGTTGTTCTTAGTCCTTCATCTCCCTGTAATTTTTTTTAATTTACCTGCTTTGCTCTTTGGACACCCACTTCACATGCTTTATTCTCAGATCTTTCAGGGTTGGGCTCCTTGATGTCAGAACTCATGTCCCTGGAACTTCTCTTCATGTCAAGTGTTTTTCTAAGTCTCTGCTCGTAGAAACACAGAGAAAAAATTGCTTTTTTTTCTGATTTCATTTTCTCCTCTCTCTATGAAGCAAGGTATTGGCATGTCTCTGCCACCCACTGTAGTTAGGGATGGGGAGGGAGGGAGAGAAAACAGTGTTGGGTACTGACTGTGGACCAAGTTCCAAGCCATATGCTTTCCTGTTACCTCACAACAGTGGGCAGCAGAGTGTGTTGTCATTTCACAGACAGGTAACAAGCTGACGGGTGGAAGGAGGGGGTGGGCAGGAGTGAATCCCAGGTCTTTGGAGCTCCAGAGCCCATCCGTCCTCTCGTTTCCATGGTGGGCTGGGGATGGAGGGGATGTGGGCTGCCAGATGCTCCCCACTCCTACAGAGGAAGCCCAGATGCTCTGGGGTGAGGACCAGGCCTGGTGACAGGCTCTCCCACCCCCAGCCTGCACCAGAGAGGAGGCAGGAACACCTGGGCCCCTCTCCCTGGGGAGCCCGACTGCATGGCAGCTGCTTCGCTGGCATTCTTGAGAGTGTTAATTGGGCAGGATGCCCAGCCCCCAGCCCCACTGCCTCCTGAAATGAGCTGGACCAGGGACAGAAACCCCACTGCTCACCAGGCATAGAGGAGACAGGATGGGCTCCTGGTCAGCAGCTCAGGGAGGAGGCCCAGGATGCCGGGCTAGACCTGTGGGTAGGGGGTGCTCCTCATCAGCAGCCTCCACTCTTCCCTCCTCTGGGGAAGCTGGGAAAGCAGTGTTGACCCCAGGGCTCCGGACAGGCCCTAAGGAGGAAGAACCTGGAATCCTTGCAGTGGGCTTCGGCTAGCTCAGGAGATGGTCTTCTCTAGCTGGAGGGAGGAGGTGAAGTGGGGTGGGGATGAATTATTTGAATTATTATTTCTCTCTCTCTTCCTTCTCTTTCTCCTCTCCTACTGCTGCCTCCTCCTCCTCTTCCTCCTTCCTCATCATAATGAAGACTTATTCAGTACCTGTCTGACCCAGGCTGCCACCAGGACTCTCCATATATTATTTCATTCTCATCTTTCAACAGCCCGTGAAATGTATTTTGTTGATTCTACTTTTACATTAAGCTCAGAGAGGTCAGGCAACTTGCCCAAGGTCACACAGCAGGTGAACTGGCACAACCAAGGCTTGGATGAAGGTTTCACTCCAGAGCCTGTGCTCTGTCAACTCGGCCCCCTGCTTCTCATACTCTGCCCATCAAGGACAGAGCACTTTGATCTTATGGGAAGGTTCCCTTTATCCCTGGTACCCCAGTCCTCCTGGGAGGAGTCTATGTTTTCTTTGTTTTCAAAAGACTTGGAATCTGACACAGGCTTCCTTTCTGAGCCTTGGCTCCTCAGAAGGAAGGGCAGAGAAACACCATTTTCACAGTACAGTGAGAAGGCCGGGTGGCTCATAGGTGGCGACTGGATTTCTAGAGAAGGACCCAGGATGCCCAGGTGCCCAGTGCTGCAGTTGCTGTTGAGCCTCCCCTCAGCAATGACCCAGTGACAGAAAGATAGGAGGGACTCAGGGGTCAGGATGCCCAGGGCTCTTCCAGGCCTGGAAGACCTGGTCAGTGAGAGCCATCAGGGAGCTGAGGGCTGCTGGGAACACCTTTCTCAGACTGTGGTGCCTGGCTCCAGGCTTCTCATCTCCAGAGAACATTTGCAAACTTACAGGCACCCAGAATTGGCCCCCGGACCTGTGAGGGGTCAGTGAAGAAACTGGAGAGGTTTCAGGTCTCCAGAGCTGCTGAGAGGATTTGAAAGCATGGATGTGGGCCATGGGGATGAGTGGGCTTACTCTCTGTTCTCCAGAAGAAGCAGGATAAGTACCAGCAGGAAGGTCTCAGGGCAATTCCAAGGAATAGCAGGCTGGGAGTGGATGTTGAGCCTCAAGCATTAGTGAGCTCTCTGGCCCTGGGCGAGGTCAAGCAGAGCCCAGGTGGGCAATCTCTAAACCAACCTTACGGGGAAGCCAGGAAGGGGCCCCTGCACTGGGCCAGCCTTCAAACTACATGATCCAAATGTTTCCTTGAAGCTCACATGGCCTCTGATGTCGCAATGGGAAAGACCCTTTTGTGCTCTGCCAGGTCACTGCTATTTGCTGAGCATCTACTCTGACACCAGGCACTGATGGTGAACAAGACAGACAGCAGAGACTGTCATGGGTAATGGCAGGAATCGTCACAACAGCATGAGGTGCCATTTATCATGTGCTAAGGGTTTTCCATCATTATCTTATGGAATCCTCTCAACAACTTTATGAGGCTGGAATTATTATTATCCCCATTGTCATAGAGGAGAAAACTGAAATTCAGAGTAGCCAAGAATTTGCCCAACATCACACAGCTAGTGAGCGCTTGGATTTTTATTTTTATTTTTTGATTTGAGAAGGCTAGGGAGACGAGCTTCCTTAGGACTCTTCCTTGAGCTAAGGGATGACCCTAAGTATCCAGGTAGATGACTCCATCACCTACTTTGGACTTTTTATTTTTCTGTCTGAGACAGGGTCTCACTTTGTCACCAGGCTGGAGTGCAGTGGTGCAGTCATGGCTCACTGCAGCCTCAACCTCTTGGGCTCAACTGATCCTCCCACCTCAGGCTCCAGAGTAGCTGGGACTCTGGGACTACAAGTGTGCATCACCACACCCAATTAATTAAAAAATTTTTGTTGCCCAGGCTGGTCTTGTTTCCTAGGCTAGTCTTGAACTCCTGGCCTCAAATGATCCTCCTGCCTTGGCCTCCCAAAGTGCTGGGATTATAGGTGTGATCTGCTGCACCCAGCCTGTACTTTTGATCTTACTAGGAAGACTTCAGAATGTGCAATAATTCCCTCTGCTGTTTCTATGTTCACTTGGGCTCCCTTTCCACCGGCTGGCCTCCCTTAGGCAGGCCCCAGAGTGGGAGTCGGTGCTTCTGAGAGGACTCAGGGCCTCCGTGGCTGCTCCATGTTGAACCTAAGTGTTGCGGTGAATTGTCCTTTGCTCCCCTGGCTTGTAACATTACCACCATAGACAGTTACACTGTGACGTGGTCAGAAGCTGGGCAGGTGGGTGCTCCTTTGCTAGGTCCCTTGTCCTCACTTCCTGCCTTGCTAGGACAGTCCCTGAGTATCCTGAGGGGCTGGGAGAGCTGGAGTGGCTTCAGGCACCTGGTAGCGGGGTGGATGTCTTCCCCTCAATGCCTCACTCCCACCCCTGCCCCACCTGGGAGTGTAGTAAGACTCTCCATGTGACCGTGGGCATGTCTTTATACCAGGTCAGGCCACCCTTTGGAAGATCCATAAAATTCACCTTAAAAATCTTAAAAGAGGCCGGGCTCACGCCTGTAATCCCAGCACTTTGGGAGGCCGAGGCGAGCGTATCACCTGAGGTCAGGAGTTCGAGATCAGCCTGACTGACCAACATGGAGAAACCCTGTCTCTACTAAACATACAAAATTAGCTGGGCATGGTGGTGCATGCCTATAATCCCAGCTACTCAGGAGGCTGAGGCAGGAGAAACTCTTGAACCCAGGAGGCGGAGGTTGCAGTGAGCTAAGATCGCACCATTGCACTCCAGCCTGGGCAACAGGAGCAAAACTCCGTCAAAAAAAAAAAAAACCTAAAAGAAAAATGTTTGGGGCTGAGCATGGTGGCTCATGCCTGTCATCCCAGCACTTTGGGAGGCTGAGGTGGGTGGATCACCTGAGGTCAGGAGTTTAAGACAAGCCTGACCAGCATAGTGAAACCCCCTCTCTATTAAAAATACAAAATTAGCCGGGTGTGGTGGTACACGCCTGTAATCCCAGCTTCTTGGGAGGCTGAGGCAGGACAGTCGCTTGAACCTGGGAGGCAGAGGTTGCAGTGCCACTGCACTCCAGCCTGGGCAACAAGATTGAAACTCCATATCAAAAACAAAAACAGAAACAAAACCCAAAAAAAGAAAGAAAAATGTTCAGAAGAGCTGATTCAGATGGAAAATCCTTTGACGTTGCAAGAGGCTGTATATCAAATTATATATAATTATAATCAATTAATGCATCTTTGTAGATGATTAGAAAAAATGATCAGGGACACAAAAATGACCACTAAATTTGATATTGCTTTCCAAGATACCTTTCAGGTCTAAATTCCTCTGATTTCAAGATTCTAGTGGCATCCAATTGCTTATTTAAAACATTTAATAACTGGACGTGGTGGCTCATGCCTGTAATCCCAGCGCTTTGAAAGGCCGAGGTGGGAGGATTGCTTGAGCCCGGGAGTTTGAAACCAGCCTGAGCAACATGGTGAAACCCTGTCTCTACAAAAAATACAAACTTTAGCTGGGTACAGTGACATGTTCCTGTGGACCCAGCTGCTTGGGAGGCTGAGGTGGGAAGATTGCTTGAGCCAAGGGGCAGAGGTTGAAGAGATTGTGCCACTGCACTCCAGCCTGGGTGACAGAGTGAGACCCTGCCTCAAAAAAACAAAACAAAACAAAAAACAAATTAATAACAAATCATGGGCTTTGGAACCAAAGAGTTTTGGGTTACAGATTATGTGGTTTTGTTCCTGATACTGGACTTTTCTAAATCTCAATTGCCTCATCTGTGAAATGGGGATGGTAGTACCTCATAGTGTGGTTGTGAAGATCAAATTGGATAGTGCTGTGAAGGCTCAGCACAGGTCCTGCCCATGAGTGTGGATTATCTGTCCTGGCCCATTGCTTTATGTGGTCCTGGGACCTGAGGCCCAGGAGACACACACATTTATTTATAGCATGCTCTGAATTCATGTCTCCCAGCCTACAGGCTGTGGATGCGGAAAGGGGAGCTCAGAACCATGGGAGGATGGAGAAGAAAACAGAGAGAGCTGGTGCTGAGGGGTGAGTACCACAGGGCGCTCTGTCAGGGAGTGGTGGATGCCGAGGGGTGAGTATCACAGGGCGCTCTGTCAGGGAGTGGTGGAGCTTGGCAGTGAAGCTTGGCAGAGGCTCCCTAGAGGAGGGGGCATCACTGCTGGGCTCTGAGGGTCCAGGAGACCTTAGCTAGGCCAAGAGAGAGGTGACGAAGGGAAGGACAGGGGGAACAGCCTGTGTAGCCTTGGACAGCGAAGGGAACGTGATAAGTTTGAGAACCCGCAAATGGAGCCGAGCTGTCAGGTCAGGGTGCGGGTGTGAGTGGGAAGGGGCAAGCTCGGCACGTTCAGCCAGGACATGCCATTCTGCTGAGGGGCTTGGCTTTAATCCTGAAAGTGATGGGGAGCCTCTGGCAGATTTTAGGCAGCAGAGAGGCACAAATTCCCTCACAAACAGCATCCTGTGGTCCCTGGACACCCGAGTCTTATTTTCACGGTGTGTTAAATTGAAGACGATGAGTAACAGGGTGGTGGGCCATCTGGGTACGGATGTGAGCGCAGACAGAAGTGTGTGTTCATGGAAACGAGTGAACGCTCCCAGGTGAGCTGCAGCAGGCTCCAGCAGCAAAAGCCCTGTTTGTCTGACGCCAGGCGCTTCAGAGAATAGGCATTATCAAAGCAAAACATTTGGTTATAAATATTTATAAATATGTGTTGGATTGAATTGCACTTTGGTTCATTCACCATTTATGTCTATAAATATTTGAGAGGCTGCTTGGCATCATGGAAAGACGCAGTCTTTGTAGGCGTGGACAGACAGGGTATGTTTGGTTTCTCCGCGGCGGGAGCAGCTTGATGACCCTGGCCTTGTCACTTCACCTATCAGAGCTTTAGTTTCCACGGTTATAATGACACCCATCTTGCATAGTGGCTGTGAGAATTAGAATAATCTCTGTAGACTCTAGCGTGTGTAGATGACATGATGGACACTCAGTGAATACAGCTATTATTGTTGTTCATTTGTCTCTGTGGTTTTTAATGACTCGGACTCTTGGCTGGGCGTCTGAAGCATTTGGAGTCCCTTTTTGCCTTCAGATGTCCTTACCTATATTAGGGTCAGCCCTCTTTCTTTTCTTTTCTTCTTTTTTTTTTTGAGACAGAGTCTTGCTCTGACACCCAGGCTGGAGTGCAGTAGTGCGACCCCAGCTCACTGCAACCTCCGCCTCCCAGGTTCAAGCAATTCTCCTGCCTCAGCCTCCTGAGTAGCTGGGATTACAGGTGCCTGCCACCAGGCCTGGCTAATTTTTGTATTTTTAGTAGAGATGGGGTTTCACCATGTTGGCCAGCTGGTCTCAAACTCCTGACCTCAGGTGATTTATCCCAAAGTGCTGGGATTACAGGCATGAGCCACTGTGCCCAGCCAACCCTCTTTTTGAAAATAATGCTTTAGAAATGATTTTTTGATAACAAAAGAAAATTTAGAATGTGTCTTGATGTATATGTTAGTGGCAAAGCATAATAATAAAATGAGTATCCATGAATTCACCACCAAACTTAAGCAAAAGAACGTAGCAAAGCTGCAGGAAGGTCCCGTTCCCTCTCCAACCCAACCCCAGCCTCAGCTCCAGAGGGAACCTCTCTACTGACTTCTGTGTTTATAACTTCCTTGATTTCCTTTTTGGTGTTGCTACATAGATGTATATATGTAAGCCTTAGCTTAACTTTTGCTTATTCTCTAACTTTTTCATAAAGGAACCAAACTATGTATATTCCTTTGTAAGAGGCTGGTTTTATTTTTTATTTTTTTGGACTCAGTATTACATTTCTGAAATTCATCCATGATGATGTGGACTGTGGTTCATGCATTTTTCACTATTATGTGGCATTACCACGATTTGCCCACTTTCCTTTTGGTGTGTATTTGGATTGTTTTCAGGTTTTTCCGTGCAAATAATGCTTGGAACATCCTGGCAGGTGCTTCCTGGTGCACAGTTGGGAGAGCGTCTTCGGTGAATACCTGGGAGTGGAATTGCTAGGTCATGGGCACGTGCATCAACTCTACTTGGTCTTAGCAAATCATTTTGCAAATGTAAAGCCTATGAGGAGAGGCTCTGTCATCGGAACTGTTTTGATTAGGCATTGAGTGAAGGGCTGGCACCTCTATATGGTTTCAAGCCGTGGAATTGTTTCTGTTCCTTCTTCCCAGGCACAGAATGTCCTCATTCCATGACAGGCAGAGAAGGAGCCAGCAAATATTTTAAAAGTAAAATCTAGTTTCAGTGATTATTGGGTGGACAGTGGGTCAATGAATAAGGGATTGATCCTTTGCTCTGTTTGGGCCCTTCTGGGAAGGCATTAAGGGTCTGTCCTAACTACTGCCTGGGTGTGGTATATGAGTAAACTGAGCTGAATACAGTGTTCTTTCCCCCTCAATTTCTGGCCCATTTAATGGAGGTTTGCAAGAGAAGAGCCAGGAGGACTGGGCTGTGTCTGCCCGCTGGCTCAGCTTGCACCCAGCAGCTTGGCAGGGACTGAGAGGTTTGTCGGCGATGTTTCTCTTTAATGTGCTACAGAAGGGAAATGAGATGACTGATCAGGCACAAAAGCTGTGGAGAGCACACACGCCAGACCCGCCCCTCACCCCTCCTCTGTGCACCTGCCACTCCAAGGCTCAGGCAGCACTCTTCCAGTATTTACTTTGAAATGTTAATATCCAAACTCCATCGTTTCATCCCTTCCTCTCTGTTTGACAAGGCTAATGGGGTGAAGAGGGAAGATGGCAGAGTTAGAGAGAGCAAGAGATGCATGGAGCGGCAGGAACCCACAGCTTCTCGCTGGGAAAGTTTCCTGTCGGGATGTTTCCAGAACCTTCTTCTGATCACCTCTCCTCCCTGAGCATCTTGGAGGCAGTCCTTCTGCCCTACTTTCTTCCTTTAAGCACCTCTGGAGAGAGTAGCTGAGGTTGCAGATGGTCTCAGAGCACTCTCTACTCATTACAGATAGGAGTGCGGGCATCATTATCGCTAAAAACAAATCCATTGTATTTATTGTGACTTACTAAGTGTCAGGTATTGTGCTAAGCTCTTGAAATGTCTTTTCATCTATTTCTCACTGTAACTCTGTGAGGTTGGCTTTTTTTTTTTTCTTTTGCTTTTTGGTGGAGATGAGGTCTCTTTATGTTACCCAGGCTGGTCTTGAACTCCTGGCCTCAAGCGATCCTCCCACCTTGGCTTCCCAAAGTGCTGGGATTATAGGTGTGAGCCACCATGCCTGGCTTTTTATTTATTTTTTTAGATTGTAATTTTTATTTCATGTTTACAGATGAGGAAACCGAAGCTCAAGAAGTAAAGGAACTTGTCCTTTGTCGCTGCACTCCGACCCTGGGCCCATGTGTGATCTCAGGACCACTGAGTCCCGAGTGTGGCTTTTTTTTTTTTTTTTTTTTTTTTTTTTTTTGAGACTGAGACTCACTCTGTCACCAGGCTGGAGCGCAGTGGCGCGATCTTAGCTCACTGCAACCTCTGCCTACCAGGTTCAAGCGATTCTTCTGCCTCAGCCTCCCGACTAGCTGAGACTACAGGCACATGCCACCATGCCCAGCTAATTTTTGTATTTTTAGTAAAGACAGGGTTTCATCATGTTGGCCAGGATGGTCTTGATCTGCTGACCTTGTGATCTGCTGCCTTGGCCTCCCAAAGTGCTGGGATTACAGGCATGAGCCACCACACCTGGCCAAATGTGGCTCTTAACCACCAGCCGATGCCATGTTGGGCCTTTCGTGAGGGCCCTATTGGGTGGCTGCTCCACCATTGCCATGGGGGAGGTGGATATTGGGGTGTGCTGGGGGCACTGCAGACACACGGAGCCTGGGCCCTCTGGAACTCTCGATTTGGTGGAGGAAAAGGACAAGTTAAAAGCATGAAAGCTCACATTTTCTGCAAGAGCCAAGCGCTTCCTGGGAACTATTTTATTCACTCCTCAGCACTGTTACTCTCCTTTTTTCACAGAGGAGGAAACTGAGGCACGGAGAGGTGAAGTGATGTGGTTAAAGTGACAAAGGAAGTGGCAAAGCTGGCATGTAAACCCAGGCAGCAAGGAGAGCCTACCCTCCTACCCACCTCCCCTGCTGCACCTTCCAGAAGGTCCTCACAGAGGTGCCCACAGGGTGCTGATGCCACCCCAGGGGAGGGCACAACCAGCCCTACAGAGGAGGAGGATGGTAGGGGTCACAGGACTTCCTAAGGGAGGGAAGATGGGAAGAAAGGAGGGCAGCTCAGGCAGTGAACGCTGGGGCAGACACCCCGGGGCAGGGAAGAGCTGGGCACGTGTGTGTGTCTCTTAGGATTCTTTTTGCCCCCGGACCGGAGCCTCACCCCTTTCATCTCTCTTTGTGCAGCACTGCTGGTCCTGCCCACAGGTTAGCAACCCCTCGGTTTGTCTTCTCCTCCTTTGTGTGGGTGACATGGGCCTCGAGTGTGGTTGGTGGGCAGTGGGAGTGGCACCTCTCTGTCCCCAGCCCGGCTCCTGCTTGAGCTCCCCAGGAAGCTGGCCCCATGGGTTGGTTCCCTGTCTTCCACCCTACTCACAGCTCAAAGGGCAGCACGTGGGGGTGGGGCAGGGTCCTTGAGCCTTGGCAGGGCCTCAGCAAGGCAGGACCTGAGCTTTCCCAGCCGGACCTTTGGGGAAGCTGCTTGTGCATTTCCTTGCAATTTCCTTTTCCAAAAATTAGCTGGGCATGGTGGCATGTTTTTCTTTAGTATTCTTCAAGTAGTCCTCCATGGCTTAAAGAGAAAGGTCTTTGAGAACAGGAATTGGTCCATGACCAAAAGGGCTCCAGTGTCAAGGGGAATCAGCAGAGCTCTGGGGTCTCGTGTGATGCAGTTAAGATGCGAGGTTTCTGGGGAGAAGGGGAGGCCCAGGGAATAGAGGTGGCATCCCTTGACCAGCTGCCCTGCCTTACCCCGGGAGAGATGAGATGAGGGTTTTATTTAACAAAGGAGAGGGAGTGAGTCTTTACAAACTAAGCATAGAGTTAAAATAACAACACGTTACCGTTGACAAAGCATGTTGCCATGTGCCATTCCATCCAGCCTCAGCAGCACATGAGCCAGCTCAGGTGAGCATGTCTCCAGGAGGCCCCTGCAGCTGGGGTACTTCCCTCAGGTAGAGTGCTTTATCTTTTGTTTCCAACTTCTTCCTGATGGTATCCCTGTTGGGTACCTTTTCTGGCTTTGGGCCTGTGCCCTTGGCAAACATCCTGGAGGACCCTCAAGGCTCCCTCTTGCATTGTGACTGATAGCTCAGAGTCACTGCTGTACAGAAAGTTTAGATTACTGCCAGCTCTGAATGGATTACCCAGGATTACTGTGTGCCTTGACATTTATCAGCTGCTCCTCCGCTGGTTCCCCAGTCCTGGGACAGTGTTAGGATGCGTGTCGCTGCAGATGTGGCATTTCTCTCCCAAAGAGCATTATGCCTGTCAGTCCCTTGAGCTGGCATTTCCAGGGCAGGCTTACTCTAGGGTTCAGTTATCAAAGTATGAACTCTGCCAGCACAGCCCTCTCTGGACCTCTGGCCTGTCTGCTCAGGGGTAGAGCGGCGCAGCACAAAGATCATAGCCTTGGGGCTGATCCCTGGTCTGTAGATTCCTGTCTCCACCATGTGTGAATGACCTAACTGGGCAAGTTTAAAAAAAAAAAAACAACTTTAATTTGTTTCCTTATTTACAAATAAAGATTTCCCCCAAATAAGCCTACCTCCCAGGGTTATTGCAGGGACTAAATGAAATAACACTTGCGCTGCACTGGGCAATAAACACTAAGTACCGATTAGCTTCCTTCCTTTGCAGTCTGGCAGACCTGAGTCAGATGAGGCCTGATCAGGGGCTCAAATGATGCTACGAGGGCCCAGGCTTCATTCATTCATTCATTCATTCGTTCATTCATTCATTCATTCTCTCTGTCTCTCTCCCTCCCCTAGTCTCTTCCACATAGGCCTCATTTCTGATTTTCCCGTTCTTCATTCATGTCCCAAGATGTTTACAGCAGCTCCAGCTCTGACCTTGCCTTACCTCCAAGTCCCCCAGAAATGACGTTAACCTCTGCCTCAAAAGTCTCACACCATCATAATGGCTTTGATGGGATTCTGTTTCCATCTGGAACTAGACTCCATGGCCAGGCAAATGATGGGCTGGCCCTGGAGCTGGTCATCTCCACCTGACCACAAGACCAGAGTTGGGGAGGGGCGGATCTCCAGACAAAACTGGGGTTACCACTGGGAAGTCCCTGGGAAGTAGGGTGAGCAGAAGCTGCAGACAAAAACAAAACAAAACAAAAACCGGTGGATGCCCACCATGGGTACCATCTGCGGGACCTTCTTGCCTAGAGGTTCTGTCCCATATCCTGACCTCCTGCATGCCTTTCCTGGCATCCACCTGATGGTGCCCTTGGCGGAGGCCTCCGGACCAGATTCCGGGTATGGTTGTCTTTCTGGCTGGTCAATTTCTCTGTTTTGGTCTGGGCTGAGGCTAACCTGGTGAAATGGCTTGAAATGTTGTTACCTGTGGCCTCCAGAGGGGCCACGGCTAACAATGTCCATGTGTCCTGGCCCCATTTTCACCTCAAGTTCCTTAATTAAGACCCTGCGGAGATGCCCTGTGGTCCTGTGATTTATCCACATCTGGTTAGGCAGTCATCTTCTAGATTCTGACCCCGGTTTGATCTGCCATCTCTTCTGCCCGCTTCAGAAAATCATGTGTGAGTTCAGCAGTCTTTAATATGTTTTCTGTAAAGACAGGGATGGTGATTTATGTTCTCTGCTCTCATTACACCACGGTCACTGGAGGCCCCTGCGATGTAGCCAGAGTGCTCCCTGCCACTGACTTGGCAAGGAGGGCCTTGGGTTCCCTTTCATCTGGTTCTTGCTGCTCCTGGGGCCTCATTTATGTGTGCAAGGTGCCCTTTCTGCAGACGCAAGAGCTTGAGTGTGGCCAGGCAGCCCCGCTCAGCCTTTTTGTGTGTGTTTTTGAATCTCCTCATCTTCTTTATCATGACCTGTTTTTATCTTGTCAAATAACTTACCTGCATCTATGTTCAGAGACGGTGGTGAATGGAACTGAGTGGTCATCAGATTTATTTTTCCTGCTGACTTTTTTATGTTAAGGAAGGAGCATGCCCCCCTTCTTTCTATTTATAATTATCCTGGTCCCTAGGACACTGGAAGAAGCCAGCTCTGCCCCCTCAGCATCTTGGCTGAGTATCGGCCAGGTCTCTGTCACATGGAGGGGGCCAAATAGGAGTCGTGCATTTACTGGTGTTATTCAGCTGAATTTAAAAGTGGCCTACTCAGCACCGGGGCTAAGCCCCGCAGATAAGCTTGGTAGGTCACCATCTCACGGGTGGTGACAGGGGTGGGAGGTGGGGTTTCCTGGGGAGATGAGACCAGCGTCAAGGATGAGATATATCCATGAGTGACCCAGCATGCTTGGCCATCCGTGGGAGGCATGACATCCCTCTGGGGATGCATGAGGGATGAATTCATGGAGAAGGTGGCCTTTGAGATGGGTTGTGACGTTGGGTAGGACTTCAGGAGGTGCTGAGAGGAGGAAGGAACTTGCACAGGTGAAAGCAAAGACGAGGGAAGATGTGTGGATTCAGGGAGAGGGAGGCTGTAGCTGGGCACGTGTGGTGGGGTGGGGGCTGGAGGTGTGGATTGGGCCTTGTTACAGGGGCTTGCATCCAAGAGTGAAGGGTCTGGGATGTGTCAGTAGGCAGAGGGGTGTTATTGAAGGGTTCTGAGTGGGCACGTACATTTGCTTGTGTGTGGAGTGACCGGATAGAAACTGAGGTGTATAACAGTTGCTGATGTTAATTGAACACTTACTACATGCAAGGCATGTTCCTACTGCCTTACGTGCATCATTTTCTAAATGTAGGTCACTCTTCTGTTTGGAACCCTCTGATGGCTACTGCTTCATCACAGTGATATCCAAAGTCCCTACCCTTGACTACTTTTCCCCTTTCTCACTCCAGCGACCCTGGACTCCTTGCTTTTCCATGAACACTAAGCATATTCCTGCTTCTGGACCTTGGCACTGACTGTTCTCTGTGCCTAGAATACTCCTTCTCCCAGACACCCATGGGGCTCACTCCCTTCTTCCTTTAGGTCTTTGATCAAAGGCCTTCCCTGCCACCTAGAAAAAGGTAACTCCCACTCGGCACCCCCAGTGCTTTTACCCCTCACCTGCTTGATTCTTCTCTGTAGTACTCACCTCCACCCGCTACCCCACAGAATATGAGCTCCACGGGGCAGGGCTGTGTTCCTTGCTGTATCCCCGCCGCAGGAACAAGGCCACCTGATGCACAGGGGTGCTCAGCAGGTAGTTACTGCATGAGTGACTGTTCTGCAGTCTGCACTCCCGCCGTGGGAGTTGCCTGTCATCATCCTCATCTTGCAGACAAGGAAACCAAGTTGAAGGTCAAGTAACTGGCCAAGGTCACCTGCTGGGAATGGCTGGAGACTGCCTACCTCTGACCCTACCGTGTAACCACATCGCCTTGTCATGGTTGTGACTGGGCAACAACACTCACATCTCTGTCCTAGGGGCTGTGTGAGGTTTTTTTCCAGCTTTATTTTGAACAATGTTTTTGTTAGAAGGTACTTCATTCCCAGAGGGTTCATTAATTGAGGGCGTTGCACTTTGAAGAAATCGCTGTCTAACTTGGGTCTGGAAATCACACTGTGCGCTTTTCAGATGTGCTAAAATAAACGTTTAGAGAAGAAAAAAGGAGTCTGATTGTTGTAAAAATTAGGCAGTTTGGGGAGAGAGCTGGAAGCTTGTTAAAATCCTCACCAAGGGGCCTTGGAAGTCGTTACTAAGGAGACCAATGGTGGGTTCCTTTCTGGTTAGCCGGTGGGAGGGCCTCAGGAATTGCTTGGAAGCTGCTGCTGGGAAAAAGAGTGTTGGGGGTTTTCAGCAGATGTGTGGCCCCAACTCCAGCATGGCTTTGTCCTGATCTGTCCTGCTGCAAAGAGAGGGGAAGCAAGAGACCCTGTTTGGATCTTGGAGAAGGCCAGTGGCGTTACCTTACAGCAGCAGAAATGAGGAAGCACCCGACTCCCCATCTCATTGCCCCTCCCAGGCATGCAGCCAGCCCTCTCTTGGACTCCCTGATGTACTCGCACCTATCCCTGCTGAACGCTTGCTATTGGAGAGCTGCCCATACGGTCTCACCTGCATGAGTGAAGCTGCTCATCAGTTCTTCCGTGCACCAAGCCCAACCTGCTGTCCTGGGACTTGTAAACCCTGGTCACCTGGCCTAGATCTGCCTCCCTTAGAGTATTCAGAGAAGCAGTTAGCTTCCCCCTGTGCCCTTGATTTTGATGGTAGCTCAGACTCTGAGCACTTGCCAGGGACCTGGTGATTGCCAGCTTCTCACATTTAGGATCCATGCACATCCTTACATCACAGTGGAGATATGGAAACGAGTTCCAGAAAACTGACCGCACTTGGTCCTGGAGCTGCTAATGAAGAGTGGGCATACAGACCCAGGTTTGTGGGCCCCCAGGCCTTGTGCTCCCTGGACACTGTATATAAGCAGGTCTCCCAACCTGGTGGCTGCACTGTGACATCACACAACAGTGCACATTGAGCTTGCTGTCATCTACGACTCAGTACCCTGAGCTGCTGCTGAGCCAGGCCTCCCCCATCCACCCCGTGACACTATTACAGAGTGATCATGGCAGCATGTCACACACACATCCTGTGAAGGACAGTCTGCGATGGCCTCTGATGGTGTCCAGAGTGAGCTTTGGCAGTCTCTAAGGTTGTCACCTTTGCGTGTCCCTGCAGTGCCTCCCCGCAGTGCCTCACAGCTTTTTTTTTTCTTTTTTCTTTCTTTCTTTCTTTTTTTTTTTTTTTTGACGGAGTCTTACTCATTCTGTTGCCCAGACTGGAGTGTAATGGTGCAATCTTGGCTCATTGCAACCTCCGCCTCCTGGATTCAAGCGACTCTCCTGCTTCAGCCTCCTAAGTAGCTGGGACTACAGGTGCTCGCCGCCATGCTTGGGAATTTTTGTATTTTTAGTAGAGACAGGGTTTCACCACGTTGGCCAGGCTGGTCTTGAACTCCTGACCTCAGGTGATCTACCTGCCTCAGCCTCCCAAAGTGCTGGGATTACAGGCGTAAGCCACCGCGCCCGGCCACCTCACAGGTTTTAACGTGCATCTACATCACCCTGGGATCTTGTGTCAATGCAGGTCCTGATTCAGTAGGTTCAGGAGGAGCCTGATTCTGCTCGTCCAAGCTGCCAGGTGAGGCTGACCCTGCCGGTCCACGACCACCCTTTGAGAAGTGACATTTGATCCCAGGAAAATAGGGATCACCCTGAGGGCAGGATCCCAGCTGGGTTAGGAGCAATTAGTATTTTCCAAGATCCATGACACTCCTGAATTTAATGATAGTCCAGGCCAGTCCCAACAGTGATCAGACCATGGGAGAGATATTTAGTTTTACTGACTGTGACTCAAGAGGCGTTGTGGCTCAACACACCAGACATGCAAACTCATATCCACCCCCAGAGCAGGGCTGGTGCTGCCTGGTACAGGGGCCATGCTTTGGTTGCTCATAGCCAGTCCAGGCTGCTGTCTGAGGCCAGGAGGCATGTGCAGCACATCCTCCCTGGCACAGCTATCAGAGGAGGGCAGGCCCTAAACCCATAACCTGCTGACTGCAATGGCTCTGTGACACGACATTGCTCCCAGCAGCAAGGTGGGCGGGGGCGATGGGAAGAGCACCAGCTAACAAGCTGCGTGAGTCCAGAGAAGGCACTTGACCTCTCTGGGCTTTCTTGTCATCTGCCAGAAGAGAGGGTTGAACATGTTCATGTTTAAATTCCCCCAGGGTCTGATTTCCTTTGTGTGAGCACTCCGCCACTAGGGGTTCTTTGGCTGGCAAGAGAAACTAGAGAAGTTTTGCTTCCAGGAGGGGAGAGGTAAGTACAGCCTTCTGCTCCCCGAGAGGTTGTCCTGGGCGTGAGTGCAGCAGTGTTCTGGGTTGTCTGGGGAGGAGCGCTCCATCCAATAGGAAGAGGAGCCAGGAAGCTGGTTCTGGTGACTCCCTCTCTATTCTCCTCTGCAGACACTCCATCTGTGTCCCCAGGGGGGCCTATGACTCTCTTCCACCTGTATCTGGTCTCCTTGCGAGGCTTCTGAATGTGCCTTTGGGATTTACTCTCCCTCCCTAGTGCTGGGTGGCCTCCACAGTCCCCTTGGGGACACTGGCAACGTTAAGGGCTCAGTGCCAGCAGGAAGGGGTTCAGCTTCATTGATGCACAGAGAGGTCCATTCCCTTACTGTTTTCTGCTCTTGTAGGTGGGCAGACTATACCCATGGGGCCCAAACCGGCCTGCGTCTGCACCGTCCCTAGAAATACGCAGCAGCACTTTTCCTCCCCTCCCTGAGCAAGCCAGGGAGCCCTGTGGCTTCCAGGGCATTTGCCCTTGTGGTCACCTAAGGCCGAGGCAGCGGCGTACCAACGGGTGGCAGTGGGAGCCCCTCCTTGGTGGGGAGCAGTATTGTATCACTGACATGCCTTAAAATTGCCGATGTGTGATGCTAATGAAAATGAACTGACTTTTATTATTGGTTTTATTGTTATGGTCATTATTTTAATGAATGAATAACAATTATTGTTTCAATTTTTTTTTTTTTGAGACAGAGTCTCGCTGTTGCCCAGGCTGTAGTGCAGTGATGCGACTTGGCTCACTGCAGCCTCTGCCTCCCGGGTTAAAGTGATTCTCCTGCTTCAGCCTCCTGAGTAGCTGGGATTACAGGTGTGTGCCACCATGCCTGGCTAATTTTTTTTCTTTTTTTTGTATTTTTTGTAGAGACAGCGTTTCACCATGTTGGCCAGGCTGGACTTGAACTCCTGGCCTCAAGTGATCCTCCTGCCTTGGCCTCCCAAAGTGTTGAGATTACAGGCATGAGCCACTGCACCCGGCCAAAAATTTTATTATTGCTGTACAATCAATGCATCTCTTGCTGGCTGCACACAGGTGAACCACTCCTGCTGTGCCTTCCCTGCGGGGCTGATGGTCCCCTCATCCACTCCCTGCATGCCGGGTCCCAGCTCAGTGACTTGGGAAGGGGCGTATTCATGTCAAACATGTTTCTGAGTCAAAGTCTCTGTGCTGTATCAATCCAAGAGCCAGCAGGAAGGGTCTCCAACACTAGAACACTTCCTGACTCAAATCGTGTGACATCATGTCACTTATTGTCAATGGGGAGATGCCTGGATTCAAATATTATGTCTTCTAGGGTGATGGAAGTGAGAAAATTGGTTCTCTGGCCACACTCTAAGTATATATTGTCAGAAGATTTTAAATACAGATAAGACATTTAATTATTAAATGGCTTTTCAACGTGAGGCTCAAATGGAGCCTTCTAATTAGCTGTCAGTTCTGTCACAGCCATGACTAGTGTGCCCTGGGCTGGCTTCTCTCCTGATTTTCATGTATAAATTCCATTTCATGGTAACCAGACACTGCGGGGGCACTGCCCGGGGTCTCTGGCCTCCCCTGGGCGAGAAGGTACCATAGCTTCCCTCTCCTTCTGGGACTGCCTTTCCCTGCTCCTAGGTCAGGGCAGGGGACCATCAAGCTGGATTTACTCGAAAAGGATAAGTGAAAGGAAAGACTGGAAGCACCCCGCTCCCTGCACACCTGACACACACGTATGTACACATGCAGAGAAAGGGGGCCAGGCCACAGGCAGAGATGGACACTAGGTGAGCCAGCAGCAGCCAGAGACAGACAGATGGACACCTACCCAGATGTACAACAGATCCAGGAGCTTCTCCTCCTGTCCACTGCCTGCTGTCCCCCACCCCCCCAACCTGGAGTCTTTTTCTCTTTGTGCAATTTTGACTTTTAGAAACTCCGAGGTGGCTGCAGCCCCACTCAGCTGTGTTGAGCCTGCTGCTCTGGGTGGCCGACCTGAGGCAGGCCAGCCTGGTGCGGTGGTGCCTGTGCTGCCTGCATCTCTTCCTTGGGACTCTTCCTGAGATCTCAGGCCCTCCTGTGACTTCAGCCTTCCCTTTTCCCCAGGAATCCCCACATCAAGCCCTGGCCCCTCTCTTCGTCCTGTCTCACGTTCCCAATGGCCTGAGGGAGGGGCAGTCACAGCATCCCCCCAAACTGGACACCCCCCGCGCCTCCACTCCAACCTCCTGTTGCTATTCACGTTAATCATGGCAGCTAACAATGGTGAGGGGCACTGAGAACCAGGTGCTTGGCTGGGCAAGTCACACACGCTCGCTCCCTTGGTCCCCTAACATCCCTGCCTGAGGACCTGGTCTCATTTCCTGCTGCTTTATTGCTCAGGAAACTGGGGACAGGAGGGGCTGAGTGTCCTGTCCAGGGCCACTTGGTGAGGCCAACTCCAGAGTTCCTACTGACAGCCACGTGATACTCCTGCCCTCCATGCCCCCAGGCATTGTCCCTTTCTGGGGGAAGTCAGATCCCTCCATTTGGGAATTGGGAGCCCCATCACTGGTGCTTTAAGGACTATTGTGGCCTCGTGAGGGACTCTCCTCTGCCCTTCCCCTCTTCCAGACATCCTACTTGGTGCTAGGTGTCATCTTCCTGAGACACCACGCT
Organism: Homo sapiens; assembly: GCF_000001405.40. Classification (NCBI taxonomy): domain Eukaryota; kingdom Metazoa; phylum Chordata; class Mammalia; order Primates; family Hominidae; genus Homo; species Homo sapiens. The sequence continues at coordinate 97,098,686 of NC_000010.11, read as the reverse complement.
GATCCGCTCTTGTTTTCAAGTCTTCAGTGGTCCTGTGGCTGTGGGTTCAAGTTCCCCTCCCTTACATGGCATTCAAAGGCCTTGGGCACCTGCCCAGCCCAGGCACCTCCTAGCTTGTTTCTCTGTGCACACCACTTGGACCACCAGGCTCTTCAGTTCTAGCCCCAGCACACGCTGGGCTTCCTGCCTCTGCTCACCTACTCTGCCTCGCCAAGTCCTCACCGTACCCCTAGAAGCCCTCACGTCTCCCAGGTCCCTCCAGCCAAGGGGTGTCTTCTCTGACTGAAAACCTGGCCCCTGCCCCTCTCTGCCTAGCAGCTTGGCTTCATCCCAGTTACCACTTCCTCAGCCTGTCTTCCCCAGCTCTGAGTTGGGAGCAGCAGTAGGACTTTTGTGAACAGAAAATGGTACTCAGCACATGTCCGGCCCATAGCGAGAGCCCCAGAACTCTTAGCCCCCCGGGTCATCCCGGTCACTGTTTTCTCAGGATTCCTTAGGGCAGGGCTATGCCTGTGTGCACGTTCACATTCCCTGCACAACCCCACCACTGTCCCATCTGTGGAAGGCACTTGGGGAATAGTGGTTCCAGCTATGATGGTTCAAGGCTATTCATTTTGCCAGACCCTGGTAGCTGGCAGCGCAATCAGAATTTTGCAGATTGAACTATAAACTGGGCTTGCTGATTCATTTGAAATGGCAATATCAACATGATAACATTAACAAAATCGTTAGGCTGGTGATTGCAAATGTACGTGTGGAAGTGAAAGGAAGCACTCTGAACAAAGCAAACACAGCTTGCCATCTCTCTTTGTAGGGCATGGCAGAGAAGTACGAGGACTGATGGCTGCCCACAGATTGTGTATGGCTGGGGAAGGCCTTCCTGGAATAGTGGAAATAATGAGAAATTTAATATTTTGCCTGGGGCTGCAGATTGCAGACCAGGACATATAGCAGAGGGCTGCAGTATAGCAAACTGAACGAATGATCAGAGTGGAGTAAGTCAGGGAAGACTTCCTGGAGGGGGCTCCTTGAGACTTAAAAAACACCCACTACCAAAAGTTTTAGATTGTTTGCTTTTGTATTAGCATCCACATAGGGAAGGCAAGACGTCTTTGATAAAGAAAGAAATCTAAACTGTGGTTGTTCTTTCTATGCTTTTAACAGCTAGTTTTTCCTCCCACAGAAGCATCGTTCTCACCTCTAAACCCCCACCCCACCGCCACCGTCTTAATGAAGTGACCTTTTAGTGCATTGAGTTGGAAATGCTTTCTCTGTAAAAATTATTTCCTCCATGACCCAGGAGTAAATTATTTAGTGGTCTCTGAGACCTTCTACAAGTGAAGTTTCCAAATGAGCCAGATGCATTCCCATGAACTCTGACCTTGCTTAGCAGACATAAAACACAACAGTGAATCTCTCCTGAGACAGCAAAGCATCAAGGCACTCCATGCTCTGGGATCCTCTTTCTCAGGCCCATCAGCGTAGTAGCTGTAGGGATGAGATGTGGTTGCAGTGTTAGACGCAGGAGTGTGTGTGCAGGACGTGGAGGCGCTTGGGTGGGAGCCTGGCCTAGGCTAGGCGGGTGCTAGTGAGGAGCCCGGAGGCAGGGTCAGCCTCTTTTGGGGTGCCAGGCGCTGTGCACTCTCATCTTGCCTTCCTAGTATCCCTGAGAAAAAATGGGAGCTTTGGATGGTACAGAACTCCAGAGAGGAGCAGGAAGGCTGTACGTTTGGCAGACAGCTGGTTGGGCGGTTTAAATTTGTCCAAATGAGGATAAAGCCACCCAGGAGGGGCTTGTTGGTGGCTCTCATTAAATACAAAACTAAATGGGATTTAATTTTTCTGCCTCTATGAGTCTTTTCACACCCAGGCATTTCTAAATCACACCACGTGCCCTGATTCTTGAGAGAGAAAATGTGGTTACTAGAAGTGAGAAAACCGCTGGCCCCTGGGTTTTTCTGGGTTTGCTGGGGGAAGGGGGCTCTCCGCCTCCCCTCTCTCGGGGTCGAGCTGGGGCGGGTGGGCTGTGCTGTGGGCAGGTGGCGAAGCAGCCCTGCAAGAGGTGGGAGTGAGGAGCCGCTGACATTTCATTCCTGGCCCCTCCTGCTCGGGCTCCGTGAAGCCTTTTTAGCTTGGCTGCTGGAAGCTTCGAGCTGATAATCATGAGGGAGTGTAAATGTCAGCGGGCTCCCGGCTTCAATCAGAGCTGTTAAAAATAAGCCTGGCAAGGCAGCTCTGCCAGAGGTGCGCTCAGAGAGTGGTGGGGAGGGCAGGAGGGGTTGAGGGAACAGGGCGCTGGCGGGGGGGCTCGAGGGCGTGATGGCGAGAGGATGTCAAGCCTAGTTTCTGGCAAGTAGTGAGTGGGGGCAGGAAGCAGAGACAGACACGAAGGAAATACTTATTTTCTTTTCTCAGCCTTTTTTGTGATTAAAAAAACAAGTGACATCTCAAATTTCATTTGGAAAGGAAAAAGCAGAAGGCAGTGGTCTGGGTCCCTAAGCTCGGGCCGCAGCTGGCTGTTTTGTTTGCTGGGCTGAAATTCTAACGGTGCCTGAAATCAGAGTGCCTGGCACACCAGGGCAGAGGCAGGGGGTAGGGGGACAGCTGCCAGCCTCACTCAGGGTGAGAGATTCTTTCTCTGCTTGGCCACTGGGGAGGAAGCACAGCCCCAGGTGAGATCCGGGAGGGACCTTGCACCTCTCAACTCAAAGGGTGCCCTTGGCTGGCAGCATCAGCCTCCGGGGTAACACAGACTCTCAGGCCCACCCCAGACCTGCCCATCTGAACAAGTCCCCAGGGGATTTGTGTGCACATTAGTGGCTGGGAAACACTGCTTTAGAGATGATAGCGTCTGTGTCTTCAGATGGGGACGTGGAATTCCAGAGTGGCAGAGGGTCGCACCCAAGGTCACACACCTGGTGCAGGAAACGAGGGCCTCTGAACCGGGGTCTGGAGCATTTTTCCATCCACATGATGTCCGTCATAGAGCTGGGCACAGACGCAGGTTCAACAAGTGCAGCTGTTACTTCTCTTCCTGCTGCAGTATGGTGGCTTTTCTAACCAGGGGGAATAGCTTCAGGGACCAATCGGTATATCTGGGTGGACTTCAGTTCTCACTAAGAATCTCCCTGGCACGGGATTCAGTCCTATCCCTTTTTTCATTTGGGACATGCTAGCTTCTCCCCGCTTGTCCCAGAGTTGGCATCTGAAGCTGTGCAAGGAAGCAAGGTGCAAAATGGGTGTGGAAGGCCCTGGGAAGCCCCAAGAAGAGGGACCTTCCATGGGAAGTAGTGGTTGGTCCATAAGAATAGCATTAGGATGTGGTGAGGTCAGCAACTGGACTCTGGCTGGAAAGCATGGATGCAGTTTAATTGGGTTTCTTTCTCTCTCTTTTTTTTGTTTTTGAGAAGGAGTTTTGCTCTGTTGCCCAGGCTGGAGTGCACTGGAGCAATCTCTGCTCACTGCAACCTCCACCTTCCGGGTTCAACTAATTCTCCTGCTTTAGTCTCCCTAGTAGCTGGGACTACAGGTGCCCACTACCATGCCTGACTAACTTTTGTATTTTCAGTAGAGACGGGGTTTCACTATGTTGGCCAGGCTGGTCTTGAACTCCTGACCTCAGATGATCCACCTGCCTCGGCCTCTCAGAGTGCTGGGATTATAGGCATGAGCCACTGCACCTGGCCTATCTCTCTCTCTCTCTTTCTGGCAGTTGGGACAGGGGTAGGGTAGAGAATTAAAGTTGAGAATTAAAGCAGAGAATTACATCATTTATTGAGATGTGCTCATTTGCGTTTATTTGTTTAAAATAATTCCATAAATTGTAAAAGTTCTTCCTTCCACCCAAGGGGAGAAAAAACTGATAAGATGACATAAAGTAGTTTTAATTAATTGTAAAAAAATTCAAAGATATTCATGCCCTCATTCATTTTGTCATAGATTGATGCATTCCCCGACTTCTTACTAGACTCTGATTTCTCCCTAGGCACTGTGCTCGATGCTTATCACACCAGGCAATTTCTGGTCCTAGTGCTGCCGTCACCTGCTCCACACAGCTGCATTCCTCTTATGAATACTATTTAACCCAGGTGCCCAAACTCGACATTGTATCATTTTTTAGGGTGGAAACTCCTCCTGTCTTCCTAATTAGGGGCCACATGGCCTCACATAATCATCAATAAGGCTGAGACATCCTTAGGAGCATAGAATTTGGCTAGTTTTGGAGCCATACAGTCGGTGGAGGCATGGTGGGATCAGACAGCTATGCAGGGTCACTGTGTTCAGTTGCTCAGGATGTGCACTGCCCAAGGGTGCCACCTCTAAAGGACACCATTCTCATTATAGATGTAGATTTGCACATTTATTTAGACAATTTCCAAATAAATAGAAGTATCTTGAAGAAGGGATGCCTTTTTCTAATTCCCACAAAGGTCCCCTATGGCCTGGCAGTGGCCCTGGAGGTTCTGGTTCCAGCACGAGCTCTGGTACTAGCTGCCTTGAATTCTTCCCACAGGTCAACATGCTTTTTGGCCTTGGCCTTTCTTCTACGTAGGACACAGGAGGTCCTCTGGGGGCAGGGTGACCTAGCTGCCTTTCCAGAAGGTGAATGACAGTCTTAGCACTGGGTCAGCCCTTCCCTAGGTGGTTTTTGTCACCTTCTGAAAATGCCCATCTTTGCTGTTGCTAGTTTCTTTAGCACTCACTCACATTTCAGCCATTTCTTGTTTGTGTCCTAATTCTCCCTTGTCACCAGCCTAAGGGAAAGTGTGGCTGTGAGGGAGGCCCTATTCTCTTCATCTCAGGACTTTGCTTCTCTGCTGTGGTCAGGCCCACAGGTGCCTGCACATCCTCCACCTGCCTTAGCAAGACGGTGTTTCTGCAGATGGAGTGTTGGGTACTGCTAGCTCTGCTGGTCTTTCCTCAAAGGTGACTTCTGTGCCCGCTGGAATTGGGTTTGGCTCTACATAAGAGAAAAACTTTTCAAAAAGATGACTTAAACTAAGATATCGGAGTTTTTCTCTCACATTACAGTATGGCAGCTCCAGAGTCAGCTGGGAGTCAGAGTCCCAGGACCCCTCTATCTTTTGCTCCAACATTCTTAAGCTTTATCTTCCATCCTCAAGGTCACCTCATGGTTCAAGATGGCTGCTGGAGCTCCAGCCATCTCATATGGGCTTTAGGCAGGAAGAAGAAGGAAAGTAGTGAAGGAAGGGCACCTTTCCCAACTGAGTCAGCCTCCTTCAAAGAGATTTTTCTGGAAGTTTTTTTGTTCAGCAACTTCTACTTAAGCCTTGGCTACTCCAAGATGCAAGGGAAGTAGGAAATGTAATTTTTATCTGGGCACATGGGTGGCCACATCAAATCACAGTTCTTGTAAGAAGGAAAAAGGGGAGAATGGATTTTGGTTGGGAACACCTGGCAACCTCTGCCACATCTTGCTGCTTTTCCCCTTCCCCTATCCACTGCCCTCCCAGGGTCTCAAAAAAGCTGTTCTGGAGAGCTTTGCAACACAGGTTGTGTCTTCTGGCTGCCGCACTGCCCTCTTCTCACACCACCTTACAGTTTTTTTCTCTTTCCTCTGGTTTTCCCTCTGTTGCTTCTCCAGTGAATCCAGGGAGGGCAGTTTTTTGTACAGTGGTTAAGATGTGGATTAAGGCAGACCTGGTCCAGGTTGTAGACTGGACTCCCAGCTGTGTAACCTTAGGCAAATCACAGAACCTCTCTGAACCTCACTTTCCTCTTATGTGAAATGAAGCCAACAATAGTCCAGTGGCCTCATGGAGTTGTTGTGAGGAATAAATAGGGGAGGCATGCAGATCACTTAGCACGGAGCCTGGCACATTGCAAAGGACTCAGTAGGTGTTGGTTACTCCTATTTTTATTATCATTTTTGGGTCTTGCCCTTGGCATGGATTTTATAGGTATCACCAGCTGGTGGCATATTTCTTTTCTCTTAGACAATTCTCATCCAGTCAAGAAATATTTATTGAGCATCTACTATACACCAGTCTCTCTTCCAGAAGCTTGGAATAATTGGCAACACAGTAGGTAAGAATCCCTGCTTCAAGGAGGTGATATTTCATGGGGAGAGTCCCATTGTGCTGGGTGAGACCCTCTGGACCTTGGCTGCTCTTTTGCCACCAGAAATAGCATTCATGTAGGTATATAGGTCTCTGGGCCTTAGCCTCTCACACATGTTCTTATGGCTTCTGAGGCTTTCAGGTGCTTGACCTATGAGATACCCCAAAGGCTGACTTTTGAATCACATTGTTCTCATATTCACAAATCCTTGGGCCCACTTTAGCAGGCTAACCTATGCAAGTGCTTGGAGATGAGTGCATGTCTCTTCCCAGTTAATTCATTTGCTTCTAACTGGAGCCTTCTAGAGACAGTCTCTCAAAGCAGGATATGTGACATTTTTGGGAATCGGATGCACCATGCACATATGCACAATTTGCACATGGTTTTAGGGGCTGCATAGACCTTGGGCAGCCCACTCTTGAGGCCTCAGAGCCTCCAGGGGCCCCAGCTCAGAACCCTGCTTGACAATCTCAGCAGTGACCTGTGCCAGAGCTGCCTTGACAGCAAGCCTTCACAAATGTCACTGCGTGCTAGTCTTTCTTGCTCCTTGTGGGTGGCCTGGTTCGAGCAAAAACTTGAGATAAATGTAAGAAGATGAGGCAATGGTTAGCCGAAAACCTTCCTTTCTGCCAAGGTTGCCCTTTGTCCTTTACTAGTGTGTGAATTGTGAGCAAGACTTCTCGCCACTCCTGGCCTCAGAGTTAGTTCTGGCCTGTAAAAGACTGGAGCTTGTTTAGATCATTTCTAAGGCTCTTTTCAACTTGGGAACTGCAAGGGCACTTAGCCTATGGGCTTGGCATTGGACAGAGGGGGGTCCAAGCCCTGTTTGTGCTCCTACGAGCTCTGTGCACTTCAGCCAGCAACCTGACTTCTCTCAGCCTCGGTGTTCTCATTTGCAAAAGGAAGATAAAAACATGTTCAAAGTATGACTGTAAACGAGCTAGAAGTGTGACTGTCATACAAATATAAAGCGGTATGTGCCAAAAGTTTACATTTAATTCATGAATGAAGGGACCAGCAGGATGGTAAAGTTGTTTCAAGGAGAATTTGGGGGGCTGAGAGCTTATCATCAGTGAAAGACAGGGAACACTGAAATAAAACTACAAAGTTCAATACAAAATTGGTTAATGTTGGACATGGTTAATAAACTAAACCTTGAGGTTATTTTTTCTACCAGACAGTAATGATTTGCAACTCTACCACACAAAAATCTACAAGTTCGTGTGTAACTGCACAGAGGACAGACCCTAATCAGTAGTGGATAGTGAGACAAAGGTGAGTCCCCTAAGGAACCTGGCTCACTTCACGGAAAGACATGAGGAGAAGCCCCTCTCCAGGGGAGAAGATGGCAGGAGTGGTGCATGGAGCGTGTCTGAGCACATCCACACTAATTGGTTTTCAGATGCAGCTGCAAAGTTCATGTGAAATGGAAAAAATCAAATCTGTGCTTTGAATCCATAGCACTTGCCTTTTGCAAGAGGCAAATTCTCAGTATGGGGATAGGTGATAGAATGATATCAAACCGGAGTGAACAGAGTAGCTATCTTCTCAGCTGATGTCAACGAATGATCTCAAGTGTATCACAAAGTAGTTTTTCCTCCAGCACTGCCTGTGACATTGAACAAACCCCTCCTGGGGCAGTGAGGCAGGGGCAGATGTGCTCTGCCGCCATACTGAGAACCGGGGCTGCCCCAGGGGCTTGCTTGCCACCCCCTTCAGCACTAGCAGAGGGCCACTTTCATGGATGGAGCGTGGGCTTAGGAGGCAGCAGCCAGGGCCTGCCAGGGCCCAGCACCCGCTGGACGACTTGGGGCTTGCAATTTCACCTCTTCTGTGAAAGCGCCAAGGTGCAGAGCCTGGTGTGGTGCAAGCACTCAGTGAAGGGAGCTGTTGGTGGCACCCTCTTCCGCCCTTTTCCACCCTGTGGCAGCGCTCAGTGTCCTCATCTTAAAAATTTTACCTCTTAAGGCTGTTAAGAGGGTTGCTTCTTGCTTTCACTGCCCCCCCCAACACCCTATAATCCAGTTGCCTCCCAGAAACCAGTTCTCCTTATAAAATATCAGCCAGACCCTGCTGCTCTCCTGCTAATACACTCCAACTCACTTTGAGTCCAACTCACATCCCAGCCATGCCTCCGAGGCTCTCCGTGACCCAGTCCCTGCCTATGGCTCTAGCCACCACCTTCTTTCTATTCCCTGACACTTCCAGCTCTTGCCCACCTCACGGCCTTTGTGCCTGCTGGTTCCTCTGCCTGGGACGCTCTTCCCAGGACTCTGCTTGGCTGCTTGCTTCTTGTCACTTCGTTTCTCCCTTGACAGACAGGGAAGCCCACCAACCACGCGGGCTGCAGGGGCCCCTGCTTCCCACTCCCTCTCCATCCTGCTCCTGTTCTGTTTCCTTCACGGCACTCCTCCATCTCTGAAATCATGTGGGTGGTTTTTGGCTCCCCCACTGGGATGGAAGCATGGAGCTCCCTTGCCTTGGTTGCTGCTCTGCCTAAGCCCGTGGTCCGGCCCTGAGAATGGAGAGGGCCTGGATGAACAGCAGCGGCGAGGATGCTGGTGACAGACACATGTGCCAGCAGGGACTGAGCTGAATGCTTCACATGCTTACTTATTGAATCCCCACCACAGCTAGATACTGTTACTATTTGTTATTCCCATTTTATACAAGAAGAAAGAGAGGCACGGAGATGTTAGGGGACAAGCTCAGAGTCACCCAGCTAGTGAGAAGCAGAGCCAGGATTCAGCCCAGACAATCTGGCTCCAGAGTTTCTGCCCTTAACTGACATGTGAAATGCTTGTTGGATTTGTGATGTACGAGACAGAACATGAGCCATCCTCCCCGGTGAACCCCACCCCTCCACGATGACAGGCCGTCCCTGCTGGCCTTGATCCCTCAGCCTACTCCCCCAGCTGAAGCCTCCCTCCCCCAGCCATGAGTAAGGACAGGACACCTTCCACCGCCTCACAGGGATCTGATTCAGATAGGGCTGCAGCGGCCAGAATTCCATTCCCACCTCTGCCTGGGATTAGTCACACAGGACACATCCCCGTGGGCAGGTCACCTGCAGGCTTCACACTCATCTTCAGAGTCTGACACCTCCAGCCATGGGCAAATTATCTCTCTGCGCAGTCAGCCCAGAGAGACGGAGTAGCAGAGCCCTGGAGCCGAGGGCCCCAGCAGCCCCACGCTGCGTTCTTTTCATTTGCACCTTAGCTGGCTGTCAGGTGCGACAGGGACTCACTGCCACCCCTCACTGCTGCAAAAAGCGAAGTCCCAAGGCTTCCCAGCTCAGAGCCTCACCCCCAGTCGTGGGGGGCTTGGCCTCTCCCTGTGTCTTCCTGTCTGACTCTGTCTTTTTTTTCTTCTTTCACTTCTGTTTCTTTTGTATTCTGTTTTTGCACTTTTCTCTTCATTGGTCTCCTGGCTCTGGACTGCCTCCCTTTCTCTCTCTGTCTCAGATTCCCTTGCCTTTCCCCCAGATGCTGCACTGTGGTGGCACTGGCACCTGGGAGCTGGCTGCTGCTCCTGCAGGGCTTCAGCCATTGCTTTCCTGCAGTTTCTCCTTGCAGGGTGCTGCCCAGGAGTGCACCTGCAGGCTGGGCAAGTGGCCGGGGCTTCTGGCTTCTGTTTGGCCACTGCTCATCTGATAAACAAGTGTGATCCAGCCTCTTTCTTCCCTTGGTCTCTAGATCCTCCCCATGACAGCTCATGAGGATGAGGGGAGGGTTTTGGGTGGGGATGCTGACACCAAGTCACCAAAAGGTGTGGCAGACACAGTGCTTCATTCCTTTATGGACGTGGGCCCCTGCGATCCTGTCACCCACAGCCCTGGTTCCTGGCTTCTGAAGGTGCTCCCCTCACTCACTCCCCTTTCTTTTGTTTTCTTTCCTACCAAAAATGTTAGCAGGATGCAGAGATTTGGGCACATCCACACAGATGACACATAGGTGTCTTTGCTCAACTGTCTAAATTTAGTAGCAAACTTTCACCCATGCCATGTGTAACTCTTTCCTGTATAGTACGTTTAGCTGTATAAAAAAAGCTAATCCAGGGCGACCAGCAAAGCCCTCTCTGCCCAAAGCATTTCATTTACATTCCCAGACTGGTCAGATGTCACCAATGATAGACTAGCCTAAGCCAGAACTCCCCCTGACATACCACATAGAAATTAGGGCTGTCAGTCATTCACCACCTAGTATGAACTACTCTTCCAGGCCCAATATCCTCAACACCTAGTTAGCATCAGTCATCCTGGGGCATTGGAAATACTGTGAGAAAGGGGTGGAGAAAGAGGTGGCACCATAAGAGGGGCACTGGGTGGGAAAGGACAAAATGAGGGGTTTGAGGGACAGAGAAGATAGGGTTAGAGATCATACGTGTAGAATGAGGGCTCTCAACCCTGGCTGCCCTGTGGAATCCCCTGGAAGCTTTGAAAAATCCCAAAGCCCAGGCTCCCTCCCTGATCAATAAAATCAGAATCTCTGGGGTGGGTCCAGGCAACAGTATTTTTTAAGTTTCCCAGATAGTTCCAGTGTGCAGCTGAGTTTGAGAACCACTCTCTTATCCAGTGCTGTGCCACTCGAATGCACGCACAAATCGCCTTATTAAAGGCAGATTCTGATGCAGCAGGTCTCGGGGGCTGGGTGCGATTCTGCATTTCTGTCACTGCTGGTACAGCACATTTTCTTAGCAAACTTTGGGTAGCAAGGCTTTAGTTTACCTGGCTTGTTCTCCAACCTGGCTGTGTTCTCAAACAAAGAAAGATGAAAATGGGAAATATTGGCTGGGCTGATCAAGACTCCATCCCCCCAGCGCCCAGCTCTGGTAACTCTGAGTTGGAGCTCAAGCTTAGAGTGGAGGCCTCGGGCTCCCCAGGCTGGAATCAGATCTAGGGATGTTACTACCCCCTAGATACTCAGGACAGGAGCCGAGAGTGTGATCAGGAGGCTCAGGCAGAGAGCCGTGCTTTGAGGCGAGCCTTTGTGTGCACACTATTGGATCATGGCATGGCTGTGCTGGCTTGTAGGTACGGCCCAGGGCAGTGCTCTTCACTCATATTAGCGTGCCTTCCTCCAGGAAGCTGGCAGAGGGCAGATGCATCCTTCTCCACAGCTGTGCTGCCATCGTTATTATCAGGAGGCTTGAGACTTGCAGACATGCAATGTGACAAATGCAGGGATGGAGACGGGGGAGGGCCCTGGTGACCACGGGGAAAAGTGTTTGTTTGGGGGAACAGGGAGGCAAGCCGGAGGATGGTGAGAGGGGGCTGCAGGAGATGGTCAGAATTTCCTTCTGGGGCTGTGGACCTTCCACCCAACACTGTCACAAAGGCAGGCTGGGCCTGGTTCAGGGACCTTTGTCATTTGCTGGAGAACAGGCCCCCTGGAGGAATGACAGCTGTGTGTGGGGCTGGGCTGGGGGGTGGTGGCGGCAGGGGGCTTCATACACTTATCCAGTCCAGTCAATCTTCAAGGGGATTGGTACCTGTTTTTTTTTTTTTAATTGTTTTAATAGACCTTATTTTTTAGAGCAGTTTTAGGTTCACAGTAAAATTGGGCAGAAGCCACAGAGATTCCCAATTTACCCCATCCCCATTCCCTCACAAGCACAGCCTCCCCTGTTATCACATCCCCCACCAGAGCCGTACATTTGTCATAATCAATACATCTATGTTGACACATCATTATCACCTAGAGTGTGTAGTTTACAGTAGGGTTCACTCTTGGTGTTGCAGACTCTATGGGTCTGGACAAATGTCTAATGACATGGATACACTGTTGTAGTATCACACAGAGTGGTTCCCCTGCCCTAAAAGTCCTCTGTGCTCTGTGTATTCATCCATCTCTCACACCACCTGTTGGCATCCACTGATTTTTTTTTTACTCTCTCCATAATTTTGCCTTTTTCCAGAATGTCATACAGTTAGAATCATACAGTATATATCATTCTGGCTTCTTTCACTTAATCATATGCATTTCAGTTTGACTTGATAGTCCTTTCCTTTCCTTTCTTTTTTTTGGGAGGGTTGGAGTCTTGCTCTGTCACCCAGGCTGGAGTGCAGTGGCACGATCTCGGCTCACTGCAACCTCTGCCTCCTGGATTCAAGCGATTCTCTTGCCTCAGCCTCCCAAGTAGCTGGGACTACAGGCATGCACCACCATGCCTGGCTAATTTTTGTATTTTTTTTTTTTTAGTAGAGACAGAGTTTCACCATTTTGGCCAGGCTGGTCTAAAAGTCCTGACCTCAGGTGATCCACCCGCCTCAGCCTCCCAAAGTGCTGGGATTACAGGCGTGAGCCACCTCATCCGGCCAGCTCATTTCTTTTTATCACTGAATAATATTCCATTGTCTGGATGGTCCAGAGCTTACTCATCCATTCACCTACTAAAGGCCATTTTGGCTGCTTCCAAGTTTTAGCAGTTAGGAATAAAGCTGCCATAAACACCCATGTACAGATTTTTTGTGAACATAAGTTGTAACTCCTTTGGGTAACGCCAAGGAGCATGATCACTGGATCATATGGTGAGAGTATGCTTAGTGTTGTGAGGAACTGCCAAACCATCTTCTGAAGTGGCTGTACCATTTCATATCCTCACCAGCAAAGGACAAAAGTTCCTGTTGCCCCACATTCTTGCCACTGGCGTTGTCAGTGCTCTGGCTTTTGGCCACTCTAGAGTGGTGAAGGACCTGTTTGTTAATGTCAAAACATCGCAGACCCCTCCCAAGGGCTAGTTTTGACCTTTTTGGTACCCAAAGATAATCATCAAATATTGATGACATCCCACCTCCATGCTAGGCATAAAGTAAACATCCATGGCCCTTGCCCTTCTGTAACACAAGATTAAATGAAGGAGATAGATATTAATTACATAATTTCATAAATAATTGATTGATTAAAACTATGGTAAGTGCTGGCTGGGCACGGTGGCTCACGCCCATAATCCCAGCACTTTGGGAGGCTGAGGCGGGCGGATCACGGGGTCAGGAGTTTCAGACCAGCCTGACCAACATGGTGAAATCCCATCTCTACTAAAAATACAAAAATTAGCTGGGTGTGGTGGCATGCGCCTGTAATCCCAGCTACTCAGGAGGCTGAGGCAGGAGAATCACTTGAACCTGGGGGGCAGAGGTTGCAGTGAGCCAAGATTGTGCCACTGTCCTCCAGCCTGGGTGACAGTGCGAGACTCCATCTCAAAAACAAAAAAAAAAAAAGTACATGCTAAGAAGAAAAAGCATGGGTACAGTAGTTAGGAAGTGACCAAGGAAATACATCATGTTTTTGAAGAAGACCTTAGGAGTCCAGCAGTGCCTTTGAGTCTCTATCTTACTTGTCCACAAGGGCATCTGCACCCACATGGGAGGTATAAGAAAAGTAACGCTGGGCGTGGTGGCTCACACCTGTAATCCCAGCACTTTGGGAGGCAAAGGAGGGTGGATCACGAGGTCAGGAGATTGAGACCATCCTGGCTAACACGGTGAAAACCTGTCTCTACTAAAAATACAAAAAATTAGCCGGGTGTGGTAGCAGGTGCCTGTAGTCCCAGCTACTTGGGAGGCTGAGGCAGGAGAATGGCATGAACCTGGGAGGTGGAGCTTGCAGTGAGCCAAGATCACACTACTGCACTCCAGCCTGGGCGACAGAGTGAGACTCTGTTTCAAAAAAAAAAAAAAAAAGGAAAGAAAAGTAACAGTGGCCGGGTGCAGTGGCTCATGCCTATAGTCCTAGCACTTTGGGAGGCCAAGGCAGGCAGATCACTTGAGGCCAAGAGGTTGAGAACAGTATGGCCAACATAGCAAAACCCTGTCTCTACTAAAAATACAAAAAATTAGCCAAGCGTGGTGGCACTCGCCTGCAATCCCAGCTACTCGGGAGGCTGAGGCATGAGAATTGCTTGAACTCAGGAGGTGGAGATTGCAGTGAGTTGAGATCGAGCCATTGCACTCCAGCCTGGGTGACAGAGCAAGACTCTGTCTCACAAGAAAAGAAAAGAAAAGAAAAGAGAAGAAAAGAAAATAAAAGAAAAGGAAAGAAAAGAAAAGAAATAGCAAGAGCTCCTATTTATTGGGCCTTAAACCACCAGCTATGACTGTTACTTTCTCCCATTTTACAGATATGGAAAATAAGGCTCCCAGAGGTAAAGCCCATGGTGTTTAACCCTCATTCACTCTACACACAGTGCTAGGGGTGCATGAGGATACCCAGATATTGCAACAGCTCTGTGGCCTTTGTGGCTCTGCAGCCCAGGTGGGGACCCCTGGTCTAGGGATGGAGAGAATGAGGCAGGCAGCAGGGTGCCTGGCAGCACCAACCCTTCCCTGGGGGAGAGCATGGCTGTGGGAGCTATTCTCTAGAAGTTGGAGAAAATTTCCACCCCTTCTAGAGAAGCAGGAGTTGGGCCAAATTGGATGCTAAGATGAAGGCTCCTGAGCCCTGAACAGTTTCTGATATTCACAATGGTGGTCAGAGCCACCCACCCTCTGCCTGTCTCCCCCAGAATTTGGCTGCAGCCACCAGACCAGGAGGTGTAGTTGCCCTCTATGTTCAGGTTTTGCAGAGCTGGCCGTCACTTCCACAACTAGATGAAGACTGGGGCCAGGAGCCCTGGTGTCACTCCTGCTGAGGGCTCCTGGGTGGTGGCCCAGAGGTGTGCCAAAGACTGTGAGAAGTCAGGGGCTGATGGCCTTGGATCCCCCCTCCAAGCTGCTCCCACCACACTCTTCATTCTCGGAGACCTCAAGGAAGCAGTGTCAAATGCAGCTGCATGTCTGTAAGGGACTTCTGAACGAAGCCTCTCACCACAAGATTCCAATGCCTGCCTCTTTGCCTTTCAAACCTACAGGGGTTTGGAAGGAGTGACAGTTCCTGAGACACTCATAGGAATTCTGGGAGGCAAGAAGTCCCCAGGCAATGTTCATCGCAGACAGGGGCTGACATTCCACACTCTCTGCAGCACGGCCGCTCAGGGAAAACATGTGAACCGTATGCCATTTTTGATGAGGATATGTCTAGAATTTATTATACAAGCATCTAAGTTCTAAAACAGAGGGCTCTGAACATAATTTCACCTTTCCTTGATGACTCAATGTCAACATTATGAATGTTCACGATCGCACTCTGCTTTCCAGGCTTTCACCTCCTCCCTCCAAGTTCATCCATCAAGTGTCACTGCCGACATACATACACTTCCAGAAGCCTCCCCACACACTTGCCCGTCAGTTTGAAGATTCTAATGTGCTGTGCCTGTGTAGCATAATGGGTTAGCTTGTGGGTTCTGCAGTTAGGCAGGTTGGGAAAGTTACTATGCCTCAGTTACATTATCTGGAAAATAGGCATGATCAGAGTACTTTTAATAAAATAGGCTTTGGCCAGGTGCAGTATCTCATGCCTGTAATCCCAGCACTTTGGGAGGCTGAGGTGGGAGCATCGCTTGAGGCCAGGAGTTCAAGACCAGCCTGGGCAACATAGTGAGACCCCTTTGCTACAAATAAATAAATAAATAAATAAAAATATTTAGCTGAGCATGGTGGGGGTGTGCCCAGAGTCCTAGCTACTCTGCAGGCTGAGGCAGAAGAATTGCTTGAGCCCAGGATTGCCTGAGCCCAGGCTGCAGTGAGCTACAATTATGCCACTGGACTCCAGCCTGGGTGACAGAGTAAGACCCTGTCTCTATAAACAACAAACAAACAAACAGTAGACTTTCTTTTTTTAGAGCAGTTTCAGGTTCACAGCAAAATTGAGCAGAAAGCCCAGAGAGTTTTCATTTACTCCCTGCCCCCTCCCACACACATTCTCTCTGACTATTAACGTCCCACACCAGAGTGGTGAGAGCATGTGTCTCATGAGGTTGTTTTAAGAACTAAATGAGGCTGGGCGTGGTGGCTCACTCCTGTAATCCCAGCACTTTGGGAGGCCGAGGAGGGCAGATCACAAGGTCAGGAGATCGAGGCCATCCTGGCTAACACGGTGAAACCTCATCCCTACTAAAAATACAAAGAATTAGCTGGGCATGGTGGCGGGCGCCTGTAGTCCCAGCTACTTGGGAGGCTGAGGCAGGAGAATGACGTGAACCCAGAAGGCGGAGCTTCCAGTGAGCCGAGATCATGCCACTGCACTCCAGCCTGGGCAACAGAGCGAGACTCCTCTCAAAAAATAAATAAATAAATAAAATAAAAAATAAAAGAATTAGATGAGATCATGTATATAACACATATAAAATACCTAGCACAGTGCCAGGCACATAGTAAATGCACGATAAATGTTGCCACCACCACTATCATCACCACCACCACCACCACTAATAACAATCGTGTGTCACACAAGAGCCAGTCACAATCATTCATGTCTTAGGAGTAAAGTGAACAGTTTTTGTGCAAAGATTTGGATTATGTCTAAATGCCCTCTCAGCACCTCTCTGTGCTTGCATCTGTGTTCAGGCAGGCAGCGGGGAGGTCTGACTTCTGGAGAAGTGGAAACTGGGGAAGGATTCAGCTTCACCCCATATAGAAGTAGCTTAGTGATGTGCACTGCAGTCAGCACATGCCTCTCCTAGGAGTCTAAGGGTGGGTCCCTTGAGGCTCATAGAGGAGCTATCCTGTCTTTCTGGGTGTGTGTTATGGATCAGACTCTCTGTAGGCTTTGGAGAAAGAAGAGCTGAGTAGACAAGGTTTGATGTGTGGGCCAGATGGGTCAGGTTGAAGGTGGCTGGGATCCAAGGTGAGTCTTTAGCCCTGAGCAGAGGAAGAGCCGCCGGATGGATTCAGGACCACGGACAGCTCCCCAGACAGCGACTCCTTGTGGTTCCTCGTAGCTCCTCTGGGCTTTTGTTGTGGCCACCTGCAGATGACCCTCAGCCAACTGGAAACCTTCCTTGCTCCTGTTAACAGTCAGGGCTCTGTGTTTCTGCCTGCCTGGAAAGTTGTTAGGGTCTTATTCCCTTTGAGCATCCCTGTCTGTGCATGTGGAGGGGGCCTCAGGGGCTGCAGATATCCTGGGGAAGCTGACCTCTTGCTATTCCAATCCCTCCAGCCCCTTCTTTCTTCTGAGAAACTCCTGAGGCCAAGACTGACAGGGTGTGACAGCCCCGTAGAAGACTGAGGTGTGGAAGAATGGGGCATGGTCTTTTTGGTAGAGAAGTGGACCCCATTTCCCCTGAGGAAGAGGGAATGGAAATGCCCCAGGGACCCAGTGGTGCTCTGCTGGCCTCCTTGGTGGGCTGCTCCTGATATGACTTCAAGTCAGACGTCAGTCTTGACATTAGCTGTCCTGCCACGTTGGTGGGGCTCCCAGCTTCTCCCTGGAGAAGCTTGGATTCACAGCCCCTCTGCCCTGGTCACTTCTCTGAGCAGAGCCCCTTCCCCCAGCACAGCCTGGGTTATACTTGCCCAGCCCTGTCACTCCTCTCCTCAGTTCTCTCTCTTTTCAAACCACATTAAATCCTGCCTTTCCCAGCCCCAGGCCCACCCCTGGTCCTCAACCGGGAGAACCCAAAGAGTCTGCCCCTCAGAGTCTGGATGAGCTTTCCTGAGAAAAGTGATGCGTGTGAAGGGTGGCCTGCCTGTTGCGTAGACTGTGCATTCTTCAAAATACCCTAAAACCCACCTGGCTTGAGCCAGTCCAGCAAAGAGCAGCGTAGTAGGTGGTGGCACTGACCCTGCAGAACGACTTCTCCTGAGATCAGGTACCAGGCCATAAGCCCGGGCTGGGAGCATGTGAGTAATTGCCCTGTGAAATGCATTGCTGTGACAGAAGCAGACCAATTTGCCAAATGCCATTTTTGCTAAAAGCCAATTTGCCCCAAAAGTCAATTCATGGAATGGCCAATTTGTCAAATGACCAATACGTCAAATTGATTTATTTCTTTTAACTATTTGGTGTGAGTTGACTGGTTTGCATTTTGTCTTTATTACAGCAGTTTAAGAACTGTTCCATTTGTCTCTGCCCCAGCTCCGGGTGTTTGAACTATAGTGAACCCGCCCCAGCCTCTTCCTACAGAGGAATGGTGGAGCTTGGAGTCTTCCTACAGGAAGTGGCTGGGGTGGGGCAATCTGACTGTCCTTAAAAGGCTATTGTGAAGGGAAATGGGAAACTGCCCAACTAAAACCAAACTGTTAAAGGAAACAAAGAAATTTAGCAAATTGATCCTTTGCAGAATTAGCTGACCTGTGACTTAGCTTCATGTGACTTGGAAGGTGTGGCTGAGTGTTCTTGGGCCCCCGCTGGGGATGCTAGTGAGGGTATTGCTTTTCTCTCTCACAGTCATCTCTATTTTTTGGCAGGGGGTAGCAGGGAGCTCCTTGCAGGAAACGATGTCCTGTGATCATCCCTTTATAAAGACTTGTAGGAGGCCTCTGTGCTTGGTTTTAGACCCAGGAAAGGCCACTCTGCTCCCAAGCTGTTTTATCCATAGACTTGCTAAATTGTGTAAGATACCATTCCCCGAAGTCCCCCTAGGCTGTGAGAAGCCCGGGGCCCATTGGTAGCAGATGCAAAGGGCTTTGCAGGCTGCACCTCTCTTTTGTTTGATATTTCTACCTATTTCTGTCTTTATTCTTTTTACTTCTTTGATTTCTGTTTTCTCTATTTTACAACATACCCTCATTGCTTCCTGCAACAAGGCAGAGAAGGCATTTGGACCTACTCTGAAGGCTATTCCATTGGCCTATTTCCCATACTCCAGCCCTGGCTCTCCCAGATCCTTGCTCCTGTAGTTCTACCCCATGACCTGGAAGTCTTGTCCCAGAGCAGGGTGCTGTGCCTGTTCTCCAGGAAGACACAGAACCTGAACCGGTATTGCTGTACTAGAGACTCTGGAAGATGCAGCATCTTCACCTGGCACAGTCAGATACTCACATCTGCACAGTGCCCATTTTCCCATTTCCGCCTCTGTGTCTGTTGGAAGCTGGCCCCAGTCCCTCCTCACTGTTGGCTGGGGATTGTTTCTGCCACACTGTCCTCCGTGCAGTTTCCTCTCAGCCTGGGAATCTTCCCACTGCTTAAAATTGTGAGCCTGGCTTCTTGGAGTATTTGTCACTTGGCAGATTTTTTCTGCATTTGTCTCCTCCAGCAGGGACTGGAGAGGGAGGGCACTGGCATTTGTTGAATGCCTACAAAGCACCAGGTGCTGGAATCAGTGCTTCCCATGTTACTTTTTAAAACTTTTAATTGAAGTATAACATATATTCTGAAAAGTGTGCCAGTGAGTATACAGCTCACCACATTTTCTCAAAGTGAACACACTCATGTAACCAGCACCAGATCAAAAAGTAAAACATCATGAGTTCCTAGAAGCCTCCTGTACCTCCTTCCAGCCACAAATCCCTGCACCCCCCATCCCGACTAACTACAATCCTGGCTTCCAACAGCATAGATTAGTTTTGCCTATTTTGAGCTTTATATAAGTGGTACATATGGTATTTAATCCTCGCAACTCAGCAAGAGGGAGATGTGATTAACCCTCCTCTACCCATGAGTAACCAGACTCAGAGAGGTTAAGTAACTTGCCCAAGGTCACACAGGCAGTAAATGGTAGGGCTTGGAGTCAAGCCCAGGGTTTTCTGGCTCCAAAGCTCATGTCCTTTTCTCTATACATCAATTCTTTGTCCTCCTGCACCACCTCCCCTGCCCCCACCATTGTGTGTCTGGCCTGGGAACTTCTGAAGTCGCTGGTCCTAACTGTTCCTTGTAGGTGCCTGGGACAGGAGCCTTGCCTCTCATACTCCCCGGTGCATTCCCGCCCAGGACTAGCAGGTCACCAGGGGCCTCCAAGGTCTCCGCGCCCAGCACCTGGTGTTGAGTAAGCCCGGAGGCCTCGCCCTGGTGTTCACATGCAGAGGGGCCTGCATTCCTCTGCCTGCTTCATTCACCCTCGTTGCCTGCTGCTGTGCCCTTGCCTTAGTGGCTGGGACTCATGTCTGCCACTTGCAGTAGGTAGAGTTGAAGAGGACGAAGCTAGTTGTGTCTTCTGTGTGCCCCTGAGCCTCTCACTGCTTAGTGGGACTCTAGCCTCTGAGCTGCTGTTCCTTGGCAGGGCTGAACTTTCACTTCAAAGCAGGGCTGCCTTGTGGGATGTGCCCCTGATATCTCTGTTGGGGGAACGCATGCTCAGTAGCTGCATAGCAAACAGCCGGGTTCAAGGAAATGTTACCCTGGGTGCTTTTATGTTGCGGCCATTCAAGGCTGCTTAATGTCTCTGCCTGATGAGGTTTCTGCAACATTAACTCTGGTGGTGGTGGAGGGAGAAGGAGGGGGCTGCCACAGGAGGGTTTGTGGCTTCGCGGTGGGCAGGGAAGGGGCGCACCTCTCCAGCTGATGGGACCTGGCACATGTTGGGTGCTCAGTAAATGTGGGTGGGATGAATAAGGGCAGAGCTCAGACCCCACCATCCACAGTGTCAGGCCCCCAAACCACCTGCAGGAACTTGGACATCAGGAATTCCCTGGGACCATGTTGGCTGTTCCACATTTTATTTTATTTATTTATTTTTTAAATTTTTGAGATAGGGTCTCACTCTGTTGCCCAGACTGGAGTGAAGTGGCATGATCACAGCTTACTGCAGCTTCCACCTCCTTGGCTTGACAATCCTCCCAACTCAGCCTCCTGAGTAGCTGAGACCACAGACACACTAACACACCTGGCTAATTATTTAAAAACATTTTTGTGGAGACCAGGTCTTGCTATGTTGCCCAGGTTGCCTCAAATTCCTAGGCTCCAGTGATCCTCTTGCTTCGGCCTCCCAAAGTGCTGGGATTACAAGCATGAGCCACTGTGCCCAGACTGTAGTTCGATAATTGAAAAAAAATCTCCAGACCTCACAGAGCATGTGTGAGCTTTAATTCCGTGAATCTTATCATTCTCTTAGGAGTGGAAGAGGTGGTAAAGGAGAGGGAGCAGTCATTTCTTCAGTCAGAGTCACAGAGCTGTACCACTCAGGATTTAGTAGCGGCAGTTGGAAGCCTCACGGACAATACAACTGATTGTCACCCACCGTGTGCCAGTCTCCTCTTACAAACTTATGTTACAGAAAAGGAAACTGAGGCCCAAAGAGGCATCAGTTGGTGCTGAGCTTCGTTTTGAATCCAGGCTGCAGGGCTCTGCTCCCAGACTAGCTACTGCGCCCTGAGACTTCCTTTAGGGAAACTCGCTGATCTGATGACCCTGCCATCTGCTCCAGCTGGTCTGGCTCAAGGCAGTCAGGGTTGCAGAGAAGGGGAGCAGGAGAGCACCCAGGATTAGGAAGGGGAACTTGCCACTCAAAGGACCGCAGCCAAGCCTAGTGGAGGTGGCAAAGGCAGCTCCCAGGATCTATCCTGTCCTGTGTGATTTTTTTTTTTAAGAGATGGAGTCTCACTCTGTCACCCAAGTTGGAGTGCAGTGTCATGATCATAGCTCACTGTAACCTTGAACTCTTAGGCTCAAACAATCCTCCTGCCTTAGCCTCCGAGTAGCTAGGACTACAGGCAGACATCACCATGTCTCGCTGATTTTGTTAGCTGTTTGGAGAGATGGGCTCTCACTCACTATGTTGCCCATGATGATCTCAAACTGGCCTCAAGCCATCCTCCCACCTCAGCCTGCCAAAGTGCTGAAATTATAGGTGTGAGCCACGGCCCCCGGTTCCGTCCTGTATTTTCACAAGACAGAGAAGTAGAGGACCAGATTAAAGGAAACTGGGCTTGTGGCAGGCGGGACCCACTCCCCCTTCACTGCACCAGTGTGGTCTCTTTGACACCACTGCTGGGTCTGCTTTGCACCCTGGCCCTGGCCCCTACCTGAGCTTGAACTTCTGGAGAAGATGAAACAAACAGATTCACACTGAGAATTAGCTGACTGATAAGCTTTCTACTTGCATCTTCTGGGAGCACCTGAGGTTTGTGAGTGGACAAAGCCCTGGCCTCTGGGTTGAGGCCCAAGGCAGCACAATGCAGGTTCTTATCATCGAATGCTCTCCAGAACCCACCTTGAAGGTGAATTAGACCTAGTCCCTGACCTGGAGACAGGCGTGCACACATGCAGTATGCACACAGGGTAGATCTGGGGCACTTGAGTGTTGTTTCATGGGCTGGAGAGAGCAGGCAGGGAGGGGTACTTGCAGAATTAATTCCCCTTCTACGTGGGAGGCATAGGATCTAAAGGGAGGTGTGAAGAACCGGCAGAGACAAAGGCGGGATGGTCCAGCGAGATCCCAGGAGCATCTCTGAGCAGCATGTGCATCCCAGCGTCCCACCCATGGGTATTGATAGCCTCCCTCCTGCCAAGCCATCCTGCAGCAGGGCCCTGGAGCACAGACAGTCCTTAGGAGTCTGTCTCCCATTCCCTGGCCTGAGCAGGGAGCCAGGGCTGGGACTCCTGACCTCCTGGCAATGCTGGAGATGCCAAGTCTTCCTCTGCTGTGAGTGCTGGAGCTGATTCACCAGGGAGCCCCACACCTGCTCCTCACCCGTGCCCTCAGGCATCTTCCATGCAAATTGGCAGAAATGCAGGAAGGGCCTGTGGGACAAATGTAGTGGCTGGTCCCTGCCCCCCACCAGCCCTGTGGGTGCCTTTTCTGTTCCTCAGGAAGGCGGGCCTTGGTGAGCTGCAGCTGAGGGGTTGGTAGCTGCTCTTCCCTCTCTCCACTCACTAGGGGTGTCTGTGTCTAAGTCTCCCCACCTCAGCCCCCAAAGAATAGGAGTTGGCACCTCCAACCCTTGCTTTGAAATGCTAACCAGTACAGAGGTTATAATCTGGTTTGCTTTGGCTCCAGCTGGGGACATTAAAACATTTTACACCTTTCCTCTGCTGGAGGCAGCACTTCTCAGACTTCAGTGTGCACCTGAGACACTGAGGGATCCTGACTCAGGAGGTGGGACCCAGAAAATCTGCTTTTCTATCAAACTTCCCGGGGATGACGATGCTGCCAATCCACCAGGTGCCAGGGACTCACTTGCTGAGTTATCTGCAGTGGAATCCCGGGCAGCCACTTATTGATAACAGTCGTGTGAGGCTGCCCCGTGCTGGCACCAGCTACCAGTGGGCACGCTGAGTGTGTGACACACACAGCATGTAATCCCATCCTCCCAGCATCCCTGGGAGGTCAGTATTGTTGCAGATGTTGGGAACTAACTGTGGTCCTGCCAGAGGTCATGGAGTGGGTTGGCGGCCTTGAGCCTCAGCCTCCTGACTCCCAGGCCCTGACCCTCCCTCCTCCTCCCTACAGAGCCCAAAAGGCAATTATTAAAGTGTGGGCAATGGCAGCCAACTCTGCCAGTCCTGGCTGAGGCCCCACACTCAGCTGTGGTTAAGCCATATGATAATTATTCCCATTTTACCATGAGAAGACTGAGGCTTGGGGGTTAGAAGATGTGCATGAGGCCAGAGCCTGAGTCCTTAATCCAACCATCTTCTGACAAGGATCTAAGCCCCCAGATGAGGTGCCCTGGTACCCTTGGGGTGCCCTGGTTCAAGGTAACCACTCGGGCTGCAGGGGGCCGAGGGGACAGGCCAGGCTGCCCAGAGCTTCCATGTGGCATGAAAGGCAGACAAAGTAAGGCCTGTGCCCTGCAGTGGCGCCCGAGTGGGCAGCAAGAACCCAGAGCCCAGTCCAGCCTTGGCAGGTGCCCAGCAGCCCTCTGTGTACTCCCACCCCTGCCCCCACTGCTAATCCCCTTAGAGGCTGGTCTGCCAGCAGGGACCAATCAGGTTAGAGCGTGAAGGCAGATTAGCAGCCAGAACATGGGGTCTTGACCTCAGCTTCCCCAACCCCTGCCTCCTCCAGCCCTGGGAGAGGATGGGGGGATTGGCAGAGTGTGCAGAAGGAGGGGCAGCCAGAGCAGGGTGCCTGGGGATGGTGCCAAGTCAGGGTGTGGGCCTGGCGGCCCCCTTGTCTTCAGGGGCGGGCGGCCGACTGGGGTTGCCCGATGCTTCCAGGCCAAGTGGGGGCTGCTCTTGGTGGAGCTTGCCTCCTGGGGTGCTTGATCTTGGCAATGGGGTTCATGCTTTGTCTGCAGGGCCCTTGCCTTGAGCTGGTGTGAACTTGGAACCACTTGAGGGTGTTGGTTGTTAATATCCTGAAGGATGTGTGAAGGGAAGAGGTGCGATTGTTACATCATCCACAATAACAAGTGCTTGCTCGTGCCTGCCTTCCCCTTCTGAGCCTGCATCTCACTGGGTCTGCAGCCTGGTTAGGCAGAGCAGGTACAAGTGGCCGCAGCATAGGTGGGGAGCTGTGGTCTCTCGCCATGCACAGCCAGCCTGTCTGGCCCTGAGCTCCTGCCTCTCCCTTGGCCAGTCCTAACTACTTGTTTTGGCCGGGAAAACGGAGAGGGATTAGAGCAGAGGACTCATGTAAGGATCCATTTTAGTTCATTCAGCTAAAAATTACTAAGTCTCTGCAATGTGCCAGGATATAAGGGAAAGTGAAGGAGAGTGTCTGCTGGGAGGTTATGGTCTGGAGAGGGAGATGGACGTTCACCAGAGTCAGTACTTCATCACATTCGGTGCACCTGTATTTTATTACAAGCCTGGGTTGTGCCGAAAAGTAAAAGTGGGGGTGCTAGGAGCCTGTTGCAGATAGAGCAGCTGACTCAGGCTCAGGGGAGGTGTTTGTAGACTGAGGTGTGAAGGATAAATAGCGTTTCCTGGGTGAAGGTGAGGGAAGAGTATCCCAGGCAGAAGCCACAGCAAGTACACAGGTCCTGTGGATGTCAGGAGGGGTCTGGGAAACTGGAGGAATGTCAGCAGAGGTGAGGGAGTAGGCAGCGGCACCTCTCCCATCAGATCCTGCAACATAAGTGCCGCTTTCCATCCCCATGTTGCAGATGAGAAAACTGGGGCCAGAGAGGTTACATGACTTGCCCGAGACCACACGATTTAAGTGAGTGGAGCCAAGTCTCCCCTGTGACACCCAGCTGTGGGCTTTGTCCTCAGCACCCTGGCCTCTCCGTGAGTGCTCCCTGGACCAGCATCCCCGCATCCCCCAGGTGCTTGTCAGAAGTCTGGGACCTTGTCCCGCCCTTCAGCTTCTGCCCCAGCCCTGTATCTCCCCAGCGCTGTCCTGGGTCTGACTCTGGGGATCTGTCATGGTGCCCTCGTCACTGTCCTGCCCCTGCCCTCCTTCTGAACCCCTGTCTGGCTCCGCTTCCCCGGGCTGGGACAGGCCCTGGCTGCCCTGGGCTTGGCTGTTTGTCCTTCCAGTCGCAGATCCCGCCCGCTTCCAGGACGGCAGTTCTCAGGGTGTCTCATTCTGCCCAGACACATCCTGGCCATCTCCTCACTTCAGGGCGTTTGACAAGGCCGCGTGGGAGGAGGACGGGCAGCAATGACTGGGTCTGAGGAAGATGAAGGTGGCCCAGAGCTCCCGGAAAACTGATGGGGAAAGGCTTAGGTGGTGCTTTTGGGGGGTTTCCACACAGACCAGGGGCAGAAGACATGATAAACTTTATTTCAAAGGGATTTGGGAAAGATGAGACAAGTATTGGCAAGGTAGGAAGTCAGTTGGAGCAAAAAGAAAAAAAAAGAGAATAGCTTTGTTCTGCTAGTTTGCGATGTGGTTGAGGCATCCAGGTCCAGGGAAGGCTTCTGGCGCCCCCTCGTGGGAAAGCTTGAAACAACAGAGCCTTAGGGTTGCTTAGGCTGTGCTTCGGGCAGGGACAACAGCCCGCATTTCTTGAATGCTGCTAAATGGAGGTTGTGATTCAGAAGCTTAAGTACATCAATTCACAATCTTCTCCAAAGTCCCACGTGGTAGTTATTTTACAAATAGGACACCTGAAGCTCTCAGGTGCAGAACTTCTCGAGGTCCATGGTTGGTCAATAGCAGAAGCAGGAGTTGAACCTGGTCCTTCTCTCTACAGGTGCAGGCTCCTTCTACCACCCGCTTTGCTGCCATCAGGCTGCATTTTCCTGAGGCTTCCAAGGTTCACCTGTTTTCCTCTGGCCTCTCCTGGGGCCCCAAATTCACTTTCCTGTCTTCATTTAAACGATGAGGGCTGGTTCCGGCTGTGGGCTGACTGGCCAGGGTGGGACAGTTCCACACCCAGCTTTGGGCCATCTCTTATCTCTTGATGGCCGTTGGCATCACCTGCTGCCTGCCTGCCTGGGGGCTGTGTCTTTCCTCTTTAAGCTTTGGTGCCCCAGAACAAAGCCTGAAAGATGGTCAGAGCTGGGCACAGTGCCCGTGCCTTTAGTCCCAGCTACTTGGGAGGCTGAGGAGGGAGGATCACTTGAACCCAGGAGTTTGAGACCAGCCTGGACAACATAGTGAGACCCTGTCTCTACAAAAATATTTTTTAAAAAATTAGCCAGGCATGGTAGCATGCGCCTGTAGTCCCAGCTACTCAGGAAGCTGAGAGAGGAAAATCACCTGAGCCCAGGATTTCAACAGTGCAGTGAGCTGTGATTGAGTGACTGCACTCCAGCCTGAGTGACAGAGTGAGATGCTGTCTCTAAATAAATAAACAAAATAATTAAAAAGATGGTCATATCACAGCCCTCTCTGTTCTATCCCATCACTCTCCCCGGCCTGTGTGAGGCTTCTCCCAGCTGACACTTGCTTCCCAGAGCCTCTGCTCCTCCCCAGTCATACCAGGCTCTCTCATGCCCCAGCGTCTTTGCATAGACTGGGCCTACCTGGAGTCTGCCTCTGCCTTCTTCCTCTTCCCTACTTAGTTCCTGGTGTGAGTCCTTATAGAAATGCATTTGCTGAATTGTACTTTGATGCTATTATAAGAAACAGACACTCAAACCCCATTAATTATAAGGATCTAGTGTTATTGATTAGGCTACACTGTCATTTTTAATAAACACCCCTGGGAAAATTCTTGCCTCATCTGAGTGCCACACCAGCTGTACTCCTGAGAAGCTGATCCTTTTAGACTTATACGTGTCCCGTGGGCGCTGTGAGCTGACTGGCTCTCCTTTCACGCTGGCTTTCAGTGAGAAAGCTCAGAGCCCCGCTCAGCCCAGCCTGGCATGTGGTCACATGGTGCATGCATTCTTAGTACCCGCCATTGATTCCTCCTCTTCTCTGTGCCTCATTTTTCACTCTTGCTCTCTTGCTGTTTTGAAAATCCCTATAAGCCACCTTAAAGGCTTTCTAGAACAAGGTTGGGTCTAAATCGATAAGCAAATCAATACGAATAAAAAAACCTTCCTTGCAGGGTTGTGGTGAGGATTAAATGGAATAATGAATGGATGTGAGTGCCGGCCCAGCGTTCCTTCCCAGGCTTGGCCAAAGGGTGAGTGGTCGGCTGGGCTGAGATGAGGGTCCCACTGGAGGTCCCGCCTTCCTGACTCTGTGGACGTCCTCAGGCCACCACTCCTTCCTGCCTCCATCTGGCTCTTAATGCACATGCTCTCATCTCCCTGAGTCCCTGTGGGTCAGCAAAGGTGGCAGGCTGTGTCTGTCTTCTCCCCAGACCCCGTCTTTCAGTAGGTGTATGGCCAGCAACTTTCCTCACCTCCTTTCTGGGACCCCAAATCCTCTAAAGAAGCAACCACCTCACTTGATGTGTGTCTTAGTCTGTTCCAGCTGCTATAACAAAATATTGTATTGGGAGGCTGAGGTGGGTGAATCACTTGAGGCCAGGAGTTTGAGACCAGCCTGAGCAACAAAATGAGACCCTGTCTCCACCCGTAGAGCATCTGTAGTCCCAGCGCATCTGTAGTCCCAGCTACTCAGAAGGCTGAGGTGGGGAGGATCGCTTGAGCCCAGGAGTTCAAGGTGACAGTGTGCTATGATTGTGCCACTGCAGTCTGGCCTGGGTGACAGCAAGACCTTGTCTCTAAAAAAACAAAAACAAAATGCCGTAGACCAAGTGGCTTATAAACAGCAGAAATTTATTTCTCACAGTTCTAGAGGTGGGAAGTCCAAGATCAAGGTATTGGCAGATTTGGCGTGTGGTGAAGGCTGCTTCCGGCTTCATAGACAGTGCCTTCTAGCTGTGTCCTCACACGGAGGAAGGGGCAAGGCAGCTCTCTGCGGTCTCTTTCATAAGGGCACTAATCCTATTATAAGGATGGAGCTCACATGACCTATCACCTCCCAAAGTCCTCACCTCCTAATACCATCACATTGGAGATTAGGTTTCAACCTATGCCTTTTTTGAGAGGAAACGATAATTCAGACCATAGCAATGTGTCTTGCAGGCATGTGGTTGGGTCTGCACTGGTGAAGAGCTTAGAAATCTTCTGCTCCAGCCTATGAATTGGACAAATGAGGAAACTGAGGCCCCCAAAAAGAAGTGATGTAGCCAAGTCTCTAACATGATTTCAGCCCATTAACCTGGAGCCTAAGCATGCCCCTCCCTTCCTTAGGGTCATGCCTCAAAGCAACGCTGGATGAGTCATCAATTGTGCGTAACCAATGACTTCAAAACACTGCGGCTTTCAAGAACAAACAATAAACATCTCACAGTCTCTGTAGGTGGCTGGGTGGTTCTGGCTTGGGGTTTTTCATGAGATTGCATCACAATGTTGGGGGGTTGTGTCATCTGAAGGCTTGGCTGGGGCTGGAGAATGCACTTCCTTGATGGCTGGCTCACAGGCTGGCAAGCCTGTGCCTGCTGTTGGCGAGAGGCCTCGGTTCCTCTCCATGTGGGCCTCCCCAGAGAGCTGCTTGAGTGTCCTTATGACCTGGGTTGGGTTCTCCCAGAGAGGGCAAACCCAGAAGGAACAAGGAGGGAGCTACAGTGTCTTTTATGATCTAGTCTCGGAGGTTATCCATTACCGTTTCCATCATATGTGGTTCTTCAGAAGTAAGTTACTGAGTCCTGCCCACATTCAGGAGGAAGAGAATGAGCCTCTGTCTTTTGAAGGGAGGAATGTCAAAGAATTTGTGGATGTCTTTTAACTACCACAACCTCCCACGTACACACACCAGTCATACGAAACCACATGAGATTCCCCCAGCCTGCCTTGTTCCTTCCTGTCTCTGGGTTTCTGCACATGCTGTTACCGCTGCTTAGAACACCCTTTCCTCATTTTCCATTTCTGTCTGGGACACATCAACTCTTTAAGATCCGGTCAGAGATCACCTCTCCTCCCTCCAGCGGACTTGTTCACTCACTTCTCTGCACTCTCCCATCTCTTTGGCAGTACTGCTCCTCCAGCCATTGTTGAAAGCTGGCATGTACACCCCATGAAAGCAAGTCTTTGGGGGTCCCCAGCAGACCATCAGCTTTCAGTACACATTTCTGGGGTGAAGGATTGAAGGTCCACTCACTGGTTTCCCATCTGTGCCCTCTTCTGGGCATGAGTGCTCTAGGGTGGACCATGCACCTGTGGTTAGCTCTGCATCCACAAGCCCAGCCCGGTCACTGGTGCCTGTGGGCACTCCATCAAGGTGAGTTTGGTTTCATGTTGGGCTCCCATGTCAGCCTGGGCTCCTGGTTACTGAGGAACTCGCATGACCATGAGCTCCAGTGTGGGCAGTCTGTTGTTTACCTGTGTGGCCTGTACAGCCCTGCTCTAAATCCAGTAATTTCCCTGCCAGCCCACTCTGCCCAGTGGCAGCATCCCACTTAGGAAGATGGAGAGAACAAGTCCACAAGTCCACAGACCAGGAGAACCATCAAGCCATTAGGGCAGGCACCACCAGGGTAGCAATTTCTTATATGAAGCAGAGACACTAAGAAGAGGATGTGGCAGCCAAGGAACTCTCTAGGCAAGGAAGAGATGATAACAAGGATTAGGCAGGCAAAGACTGAAATGAGCCTCTCAAGACATATGGGGCTGGGGGAGTTGCTGCATAAAGACAGGCATCGGGGAGTAGGCCACTGGGGGCCCTCTGGGGAGTAGCCTAAATGGGCGGAATCTGGGGAATGTCTCCAGGAATACTGACAGACTACACTGGGGAGCTGGCGATATGGCACAAGTAACCAAGATCGAAGATGAAAGATGCCATGGGGAGAGCAGGAAGGGAAGGTGGGGCCGGGCGAGTGCGGGAGGAGGAAGCTTCCCCCACAAGAAGGGGAGATGCCTCAGGGATAGCAGGTGGGACGGCTCTGGAGGAGGGACAGCTGTGTCTGTGCTGCAGGCTTGAACCATCTCCCCTCCAGGAGATGGGGCCTACATCCAGGAGAGAGAGAGCAATAGAGAGCAAGAACGAGGGGCACTGATGGTGCCAAGGCCCCTTCAGACACGGGTGCCTGGCTGCTTTTCTAAAGGCTGTGAGGGGACAGGACAGAGGGGCTGGGTTTGGGGGAGGGAGCACATAGATGTTGGTGCCCACTCTGTGGGGACGGGAAGGCAATTGCTTTGCCAGGCTTTCATTTTTCCCATTTTGTACATGAGGAAACTGGGCTCGGGAGGGGAAGGGTGCCTTGCAGATGTATGGCCAGGAGGGGGAGGGCCAGGCCTCGAACCCCAGGCTCCTCCCTCCAGCTGCAAGTCCCCAGCCCAGAGAAGGGGAGGTAGCTGGGGACTGAGCTCCCTCCAGGACAGGGTGCATCTCTCCAGTTCCATCATTCATTCATTCATTCATTCATTCAACAAATGCTTGGCGAGTGGCTGATGTGGGCCAGGCACTGTCCTAGGTGCTGGGGTGCAGCAGCAGCTGGTCCAGTGCCTTCTCACAGTTCTAGTAGGCAGTAGGAGCCCACCTGCCTCCTACCTTTCTGACTCAGGGCTCTGTGCACACCGTTGGGTTTCTCACCAGGGAAACCCAGACAGGGCAGCGGCGGCCTTGACAGTTCAAGGGGCGGTGTGCGGCGGGGCAGGGGGCTGTGGGCTGTGTTCTCGGACCCTGTGGGGTGAGGGGCTGAAAGGAAGGGCACCGTCAAAGCCCACGGGCCTGGCCCAGGAGGAGGAGGTGGGGCTGTGGAACTGCCTGGCACTGGGGCCTATGTCAGGACGGTCTGCCGCTGGTTGTTCACCTTCAGGACCCCGGTGTGTCTGGGGCAAGGCTCTGGGGCAGGGAGCCCGGGTCCAACCAGGTCAGTTACTTCACATCTCAGAGCTCAGCTCCCTCCTCTGTGAAATGGGCGCAATGGCAGTTCCTACCCCCAGGGCTGCCGCACAAGCCAGGGCTCTGGGACCTGAATGCCTGGGTTCAAATTCTGGAGCCACCACCCACCAGCTGGGTTACCTTGAAGAAGTTGCTTAGCTTCTCTGAGCCTCCCTTTTCTCCTTTGTATAATGGGGATGGTGATAGTATCCACGCCACGCTCCTGGGAAGTACTCAGGCAGTGCTGGCCTGGGGGGAGTGTGGCTGTGAGTAGGAAGAGCTGACCTGGAAAGGGGCGTTTGCACACGTCTGTGGATGCCAGGGAGGCTGCTGAGAGGGAAGAGAGGCAGGTGGACAGGTCAGAGGCCCGGCCCTGACAGGGAGTGGAGGAAGGGCCCCAAAGCTGGCCTGGCAGTCACTGAGGCTGAGGATTTGCAGTCCTGACAGCGCCCCCTCCCCTCGCAGCAGGGCGTTCATGGGGAGGTGTGAAGTCCTCAGTGATCCCAGCCCCTTGCGTGCTCCTGACTCCCTGTGGCCTAGGCTCTCGGAGGTGCCCTGTTGCCTGCAGTCCACAAGAGCACAGGGTTTGGAGTCAGGCCCTGCCTGGAGCTAAAGATCTGGGTGGGCTACTGGCCAACTGGGTCACCGGAGCCAATTCTGTCCTTCCTGAGTCAGCTTGCTCAGCATAAGACACAGAGCGTAAGCCCCAGGCGCACCCACCACAGCCAGCCCAGGGTGCCATCCCTCCCACCTGGTGCCAGACAGTGGTCATCAATCCCCCTCCAGAAGCACCTCTGTTGTATGCCCCTTTGCGCCCTGCACGATGCTGTGGGGGGCTGAACTGGCCTCTGTGGGTCTGGTGGGCTGACCTCTGTGGGCATTAGGCTGTTCTTGTATTGCTATAAAGAAGTGCCGAGACTGGGTAATTTATAACAAAAGTGATTGACTTGGCTCACGGTTCTGCAGGCTGTGCGGGAAGCAAAGGCATCTACTTCTGGGGAGGCCTCAGGGAGCTTTTTCTCATGGCGGAAGCCTGAAGGGGAGCAGGCACTTCACGTGGGAGAGTGAAGGAGAGGGAGAATGGAGGGGGAGGTGCCACACACTTCAACAACCAGAGCTCCCGGAACTCACATGCCATCGAGAAGTCAGCATCAAGCCAGGAGGGATCAGTGCCCATGACCAGATCACCTCCCACCAGGCCCCACCTCCAGCACTGGGGATTACCATTCAACACGAGATTTGGGCGGGGCCAAATATCCAAACTACATCAGGTGGGGTCTGGCAGGGCTGATCGTAGCTGCCCCAGGCTTCTCCTTCCAGCTGCAAGCCCCGAGCCCAGAGAAGGGGAGGTGGCTGGGGACTGAGCTCCCTCCAGGACATGGTGTGTCTCTCCAGTTCCATCATTCATTCATTCAACAAATGCTTGCTGAGTGGCCACTGTGGGCCAGGCACTGTCCTAGGTGCTGGGGTGCAGCAGTGGCTGGTTCAGTGCCCTCCAGCCCACCTGCCCTGCTTCCCTGACTTATCACAGCACTCTGCAGGAACCTCTTTTCTGACCGGTGTTTTCTCTCCCTCTGGCTTTATCCTCCCAGGGACTTGAGTGAGAACGCCATCCAGGCCATCCCCAGGAAAGCTTTTCGGGGAGCTACGGACCTTAAAAATTTGTGAGTACAGGCCTGGGAGGGAGAAGGGTGTGGGGGCTCCAGGGCCACTCCTGGCAGCATCCTCAGGGTATCCCTGAGCGAGCCGTGTGGTCCAGGCAGCCAGGGAGCTGACCTGGGCTCTCAGAGGGCTGGTGCCAGCATGGTCTTCTGGAATAGTCTGGGGTTGGAGGAAACAGGCAGCCCTTGCCTCTCCCTTGGTTGTGATTCCATATGAGAGCCAACGGAGGGGGCCCTTGGGGACCTGGTGAAGCGTGTTATCAGCGTGGGCAATGTTCTCAGTCCATTTAGGTGGCACAGTGTCTGTGCCCGCCTCATATTTGGGTTGGGAGAGCTGGGTTTGAATCTTCTCTTCTAGTTACACATACATAAGGCCGCTGCAAGTCAGTGAACATCGCTGAGCCTCGATATATTGTTCTGGAAAATGGGGATACTAAGATCTACTTCACAGGCATGTTCTGAGGTTTAAATGAAACATGGAAATAAATACACTTTGTCAAATGCTATTTAAATGTAATGGCTTATTATTATTACTATTCAAATGTATTCTGGTCCAGGCTTACCACCTCCTTGAAGTCTGACTACAGCAGGGATGGCAAATGCCTGGCATGCTTGTCACACACACCCCCAACCTCGCCTGTGGCACACATTGATAATCAGTCACCACATTCTTTCCCACAGAGCTCACCTCACAGCTTCAGTTTACTCTGACAGCAGCACTCCAGGTAGCCACCTCTAGTCAACCTCTTTGGCACTCAGGCTGAGGTCTGTTTGCCAGCTCTGGATGTCACTGCTTTGTGACTCTCCCATTTTCCAGCTGCCAGCACCCACTAGGTGGTCTCCAAAATGTGTGTGTGTGTGTGTGTGTGTGTGTGTGTGTAGGGGGGTGCCTGCTCCCCAGGGGATATGTAAGGTTGAGTAGAAGAATATAACTTTTACTTATATTTATGATTTTAACTGAAAATTAGAAAAAAACCCTTAAGTTTTTACTAATGTTCGCTATTTGGATTGACACATATACACATAACAAACGGCTAGGGGTGCACCTCTTTTGAATGAATGGAGCACGCGGTCAGAATGTTTGGACACCCTTACTCTAGGCAATGTGCCCTTCTCTCTACAACCTTCCTTTGCTTCACAGACAGCTGGACAAGAACCAGATCAGCTGCATTGAGGAAGGGGCCTTCCGTGCTCTGCGGGGGCTGGAGGTGCTGTAAGTAAAGCATGGAAAAGGAAGGAGGGGTGTGGAGGGCCCTGCTAGGCAGGTGCCAAGTGCCGCAGCCTAGGCAGCGGGCATCAGGGAGACAGGAAGGGAGAGACCTGCCCTCCTAGAATCACCTCGGAGGAGGGGAGGACAGGCACTCATGGGGTTGTGCCTGCAGCAAGTAGTGTGCCCCAGTATAACCTGCTCAGGATGAAACCCAAGGGTTTCTGGCACTTGGCCTGGAATGCTTCTCCCTTTCTCCCTACCTATCCAAACCCCACCTTTCTTCCAAGCCAACCCAAGCCTGGGACGCGTCCCATCACCCGCCCTGCTCCATCTCCCTATCCTACCAGCCTTGGAGTCTATGGTGCTGTCGGCTTACGGTCACCGTCCCAGCTCAGGGCTTTCCTGTGGGGTGGGATATGCCTCATGCTCTTCGGCTTAGCTCCTCCATGTCCAGCCCCGTGCTGGTCACTTTAAGGTCGAGAGCCTCCCTGTTCGTTAGCAGGGCGGCCCTGTCCCACATCATCTCCTGCTGGGCAGGTGCTAAATGACTCTGGTTTTTCCCATTTAGGACCCTGAACAACAACAATATCACCACCATCCCCGTGTCCAGCTTCAACCATATGCCCAAGCTACGGACCTTGTGAGTCAGCCGGGGCAGCTGGGAGCGGGGCAGCCAAGCCCGGTTGATGCCAGGGGGTGGGTGGGGCAGGAGGTGAAGGTTTTGCAGACAGGTCATGGAGCTCATTCTCCCTCAGACCCCCAGAGGCCAGCCCAGGCTGGGGGCTTCATGCTCTCGGAGGCGGAAGGAGTTATACGGTTGCAGGGCATCCAATGCCACTTAATTTGGTTTTTCCTTGGAAAACAAATGATTTGTTTTTGTGTTTGAAAATGAGCCAGGTGGTTTGGGGAAGTGAGCCTGTGCAAGGTCATTGCGATGACCTGGGCTTTGCTGGGTACATTCCGGTCCAGCTGTGCCCAGAGCATGTGGGAGGGGAGGGGCAGCAGCGGGATCTTCACGGGGCTGTGGATAATCCCCGGGTTGGAGCTGAGCCGTCTACTTGACTAAATGTAGACTGTGTTTGGCTTGAACACAGCACCGGGGGCAGCCTCCTGCCTGAGATTGGGGTTCCCACAATCAGGCTGGGCTGGGGGATCCAGATGGGTTGTGAGCCATCCTGTCCTCTTGCAGCCGCCTGCACTCCAACCACCTGTTTTGCGACTGCCACCTGGCCTGGCTCTCGCAGTGGCTGAGGCAGCGGCCAACCATCGGGCTCTTCACCCAGTGCTCGGGCCCAGCCAGCCTGCGTGGCCTCAATGTGGCAGAGGTCCAGAAGAGTGAGTTCAGCTGCTCAGGTGGGTGCAGACCCCTGCCGGGCTCTCAACTGTCCGGCGCCTCCTGCCCTGCCTCTTGTTCCCGCCCCTAATCTCGACATTAATACCTGGCCTGCCCATCACCTCCTGACCCCGCCCATCACCTGGCCCCACCCATCACCTCCTGACCCTGCCCATCACCTCCTGACCCCACTATCTGCCCCTCCTGCCCCATCCATCACCTCCTGACTCCACTGTCTGCTCCTCCTGCCCCATCCATCACCTCCCATTCTCACCATGGCATTTGTCTCTGCATGTCACTTCTTGCCTCCTCTCCTTTTCCCTCCTGTCCCCTCATTGCCTTGTCCACTCATCACCCTCTTTGTTCCACCCCGATCTCTTTCTGGTCTACTCAGTGCCTCCTCCGATGTCCTCTGGGCTCCTTGCCACTGCTATCACCCCCTTTTCCATCCTCCAATCGCCTCACCTCTGCTGCCTTGACAAGTCGTTGAATTAGGCCCTCTAAACTTGGCTCCAAAAGAGGTGGGCCTCAAAGCCCACACCCTTTCACCTTCCCCCTGGGGTTCTGTCATAGCCTCCTGACTGGTTGCCTACATCCTCCCTGGCCCCTGGCTTATACTACAGCCAGAAGACCAAAAAGAACCCGCAAGTCTGGGAGGTCACTGCTCGTGTACTCACCTGGCCGTCAGCACTGTGTCGAGAGTCTGAGGCTCTGCAAGCTTGGCCAGGGCCACCGCTGCCTCCCCTGCCTCCTGCTGCCTGCAGCTCCCCCAGCTGTGCCTGGCCTGCCTCTGCCCCTTCCTGGTGCAGGTGCCCCCAGCCCTGGCCTCACAGGCTGCTCCCCTGCTGGACACACCCTTCCCTCTTTGTTGCCTGCCGACTCCTCCTCACCCTGCAGGGCAGGGCCCAGGGAGCCTTCTGTGATCCTACATGAGGTCCCGCATTGTGTTTCTGGTGCATCCTCAGCACTTTGTCTTTGCTTGGCACAGGAAATACTTGCTGAATGAAGGGACAGTTCTCAGATTTGTGACAGAGGATTTAGAGGCTGACTGTTTCTCCCAAACCCGTGGACTGGGCCTGCCAGCCACACAGAGTTCTGAAGGAAAGCATCTCCTAGGCACAGCCTCCCCTCCTCAGTGTGAGGCTCTTGGCTGTGGCTGTCACCTCCTCCATTGCACTGGCAGACACCCAGTGCAATGGGTGGGCTTGAACACCGCTGTGCTCTGCACTGCTGTGTGTGTGTGTGCATGCAGATGTGCGTATGAGTGTGTGTGCCTGTGTGCGAAAACCTGTGTGCATGTCTCTTGTGTGAGCCAGGACTGCCTCTGCATCATTGCAGCTGCCACAGTTTTTAGGAATTGGAATGGGTAAATCACTTGGACAATTTTTATTTTGAAATGAAACCTTTTCCTTTGCATTTGGAAGACCGTGGTTTCTATTTTCAGACATGAGTTTCTCCTCTGGAGTCTGATCAGCCTGGCAACCCTTTTCCTTTGAAGGCCACTGTCACAATATGCCAGGAATCCATGTAGCTTTGTCTCATTTGGTCCTGGTGCCCACCCTTTGGGGCAGCCATGGAAAATATTCGAAGTTAGAATGCTGGTGGGGGTATCAACTGGCTCAACCACTCTGCAGAACTGTCTAGCAGGATCCACTAAGGCTCAACATCTGTCCACCCTGTGACCCTCCAACTCCTACTAGGTGTGTGCATTTTTTCTGCAAAAATGTCCAAAAATATTAAAGGCAGCTTTTTCCATAATAGCCCCAAATTGGAGACAACCTGAATATCCACCAACTAATTATGATGTATCCATATAATGGAATACTACTCAGCAATGAAAAAGAACAAACTACTGATACACACAGCAACATAGTGAATCTCAAAGATTGTATATTAAGCAAAAAAGCCAGACACAAGAGAAACTACTGTTTCATTTATGTGAAGTTCGTAAACGAGCAGAACAAATCTTTGGCAATAGATCTCAGAATGGTGGTTACTTTGGGGAAGGGGCAGGAGGGAATCTTCTTGGGTAATGGAAATGTTCTATGTCTAGGTAGTGGTCCCACCAGCTACATGCTTCAGAAAGAACACTTTGTATAAGTTATACCTCCATTTTTTCAAAGGCTCTTATTTCAGACACTGGGCTGGATCCTGGTTTTACCACTTATTAGCTGTGAGAATTTCTACAAATTAATTAATATCGAGGACTCTGTTTTCTCAGCTGTAGAATGGCAACAATAATAGGCTCCTCTTAGGCTTAAATGCAATGCTGCATGTAGTGCACTTATTATAGCATGTGGCATACAGTAAGTGCTTGAGTGTTTAGGAAACATTATCACCCTCATGGGAGAGATGAGGGGACTCAGGCTCAGAAGTGTTAAGTGACTTGGACTAGAATCCAGAGCTTCAGAATTCTAGGCCAGGATTTCTTAGTGTATGAATCACACACCAGTGCAGTTCAGTTCAGATTCAAGTTCAGCAAACATCTGACAAGAACCTGCTGTGTGCCAGGCACCCACAGAGTTATATCAAAGTCCAGAATCTTATTTCATTAGTGATCCCCTCTGGTTCATCCTTATCGAGAGAAACTGCCAGTGTACACCCTATCCCATCCATCAGTCGGTATCTGGGCTCAAGGGAGGTGCTGATGCATGACAGCCTGAGGCCACACCCCCCTGTTTCTGCAGGCCAGGGAGAAGCGGGGCGCGTGCCCACCTGCACCCTGTCCTCCGGCTCCTGCCCGGCCATGTGCACCTGCAGCAATGGCATCGTGGACTGTCGTGGAAAAGGCCTCACTGCCATCCCGGCCAACCTGCCCGAGACCATGACGGAGATGTGAGTACGGGGCAGGGCAGATGCTGGGGCACAGCCCTTTGGCAGGCCTGGCTCTGGAGGGCCAGTGAAGAGCTGGAGTAGGCGCTGCCTCAGGGCTTGCCCCAACCCCTCAGTGGCCGTAGAGAAGACACAGTTTGCCTCTGCTGGGCTGAGCTTTGTGTCCAGGGCTGGGAAACTCTGGAGGGCTGGGGAGGGAGTGTCCCTCTGGGGTCCCACCCAGCTGCGTGAGTCTGCTAGAATCAGGTTCTCAGCATCATTTGTGGGCCCCTTTCAGCTACAAATGCCTGTGATAATGGAGCGCAAGTCAGCATTTTCTCTGTCTGTCCCGGCGTCCTTACCCCAGACTTCAACTTCTGGAAGTGGGAAGGGAGCAGGGGCAAGAGGGGCCAAAGGATTATTCAGGGCAGGTGAGCCCAGCAGATAACACCCAGGGCTGGGCTGACCTGGGCCCTTGGGCTTCCCCTCTCTTTTCTCCCCGCAGACGCCTGGAGCTGAACGGCATCAAGTCCATCCCTCCTGGAGCCTTCTCACCCTACAGAAAGCTACGGAGGATGTGAGTGCCTCCCACTGCTTCCTGGGGAGCTGGTACAGGGCTGACGGAGATCCTGGGTGGTCCCACAGCCCTGGGGCAGGCCCTAACTCAGCCCCCCACAGCTGAGTGGCCTTGGCCAGCCACCTGACCTTCCTGCCCTTCAGGCTGCTTGGCTGTGATGCGGGGACCTCCTTGCAGGGCTATCGTGAGGCCTGAAGGGAGTGCTGAGCCTGAGCCTGGCCTGTGATGGGAGCTGCTTGTCATCCTCCCGTTTCAGCTTGGGTACCAATAGGAGCAATTAAGGATGGGAGGGGGCTAGGAGACTGCCAGGATGCATGGGAAAGCTTTGTCCATAACTTCCCAAGCTGGAGTGCCCCCTCCTGCCCAGCCCTCAGACTGCACAGGGAAATAGCGGCCATGGGCTTTTCAAATGGAGGAGAGATCTGGCCTCTCACTATTCTCATTTCAAAGCACTCCACCCTGCTCCTGTGACATCTAGGAGGTGGAGGGGACTGGGCAGGGCTTAGTGGCTGTTGAGGGATTCAGATGCCCCCTCTCCTTCTGCTCACCTTGCAGAGACCTGAGCAACAATCAGATCGCTGAGATTGCACCCGACGCCTTCCAGGGCCTCCGCTCCCTGAACTCGCTGTGAGTAGCAGTGCCAAGGCTTCCTCAGTGGCCCAGGGCATCCCCTGAGGAGGCTGGCAGGGCCCAGGGTCCTGGTGGATGCAGGAGGAGGAGCAGGGCTATGCCCCCCTCCACACAGCCCCTGCCCACCCCAGCCTCAGTGGGTCATCCTTTGGCTGCAAAGGGTTTGCTGTTCCAGCTCCCTCTTCCTCACTGGTGGACCCTCCGACGCTGGGAGCGGGAGAAGTGTGGAGAAGCTAGGCAGAGCTGTTGCCCCTGGCAACTGGGATGCACTCCCTGCCACAGTGAGGATTTTCCCAGCATTCTTTGCACAACCATCTTGGCCCCGTCCCCCGCCCGAAGCCCAGCATGCTGTGCTCCTGAGGCCTCTGCAGTCACCGCAGGGCCAGTGAGCACCAGCTCCAGTTGTGACATCTGCCACAACTTGCTATCTTTTATCCCAAATGTAATGAATCCCAAGATGTGGTGGGTGCTGCTAGGACAGTGTTTGCCCGCTCCTCCTTCAGTATTTCCCTTCCTTCAGGATCTACTGGGGAAGTCTGTCAATAAAACATACAAAAGGTAGTGAAGCACCTCCCTCTCCCACTCACCAAGGGCCTCACTACCCGAGGTCCTACAGCACTTTGTCTGTACAGAGAGCACACTCAGGGTGCCCTGGAGTTGGGCGAGCTCCCTGTAGGAGGGGCCATTTGTTACTCTAGGGGATGAGTGTTTTCACCTGCTCCTTGGCAGCACAGGACTCATGCTTGGCATAGACTAGAGGCCTGGCAAGTACAACGGAATAGAACTCCCCCGGGGAGTGCAGGAGCCTGCCAGCTCAGTGCCTTCTGTGTATGCCATCTTTTCTTGGAGCAGAGTCCAAGTAGAGGGTGGGGCCAATTATGAATGGCACCCCTGAAGTTGTGCAGTGTACACCCTACACAGCTGTACATGATAGCCTGGTGAGGGATCGTTGTCATTGGCTGAGGAGATCAGATTCTGAAGGTGGCCTGCCAAAATGCAGGGCCCTTCCTCTGAGAAGTGAATAAAGCTCTCCTAAGTTGGAACATGGCAGTCTAAAAAGGTAAAAGTGAATAACCCAACCAAGTGGATTTCTGTTGTTCATGGGTACCTGGTCACAGCCACCTCCCTGCATATAGGAACGTGGATGATTCCAGTACACCCCATCAACAGTGTCTACCTCGGCCAGCCCTGACCTTGCCTCCCTGCTTCAGTTCCTGCCCCCTCTGCTCCATTTCCCACCCAGCAGCTTGAGGGGTGTTTCTGAAATGGGAATCTGATGCTGTCTCAGTGGCTTCCTGATGCTGGCTGGGTAAAGACCAAGTTACTGTCCCATTTGTTCCCTCCATTCCAGCCACACTGGCCCCGTCACCTGTCCACACACGACAGGCACACACAGCTCCCACTGCAGGGCCTTTGCTGTTGCTGTGCCTCACTCCA
This sequence comes from Homo sapiens, assembly GCF_000001405.40. Classification (NCBI taxonomy): domain Eukaryota; kingdom Metazoa; phylum Chordata; class Mammalia; order Primates; family Hominidae; genus Homo; species Homo sapiens. The sequence continues at coordinate 97,058,019 of NC_000010.11, read as the reverse complement.
GGAATGACCTTGAAGCCATGTTTGAAGAGGAAGTACCCAGGATTTTTTACTCAGCTTGAACGTTTACGAGGGTAGCTTGTGGGGTCCGATTATGATATTGGGAATGGCATACAACCCCCCTCCCCAAACCTCCTGGATGTTTTCACTGTCCTCCTGAACCCACCCATGTCTACATGTGTTTTTTTGAACTTTTGTTTTTTTAAAAAACCTATACATGGAATTCATGCTCAATGCAGAAAACTTTGAAAATGCTAAAGTATAAAAAAAAAATGCTTGAAGTCCCACCATCCGGATCTCACACTGCATATGCCGTCTGGCATTCTATTTTTTCCTGTAACTCTCTGAAAATATGTTAATTATTCCTGCCCATGGGATTTTCTCTTCTCTCAACAATCTCCTTTTGGATTCTGGACCAGATGAATTTCCCAGGAAGTGCCCCTTTGCAGCCTTCTGTGGGGTCCACGTGTGAGGGCGGTGAAGCAGGAGCTGCTTTGTTAGTGATTGGAGTCAGGGGCATCTCTAGCCCATAGGGCACTTTACGCCAAGAAGCAGGCAACGCTTTCTTAAGACACTTTACTGTCATCTGTGGACAAGTTGCTATAACAAATATACACCATTAGGATGTGCTCCATGTAAATGGCTTAGGGGCAGCGCTGTTGAGCTGGGGCCGTCTGCAGAGTTGTGCTATTGCCCTGGTGGGCTGTCCTCTAACCCTCCTCTCTGCTGCCTTTTCTCCAGGGTCCTCTATGGAAACAAGATCACAGACCTCCCCCGTGGTGTGTTTGGAGGCCTATACACCCTACAGCTCCTGTAAGAACGAATCCTGGGTGTCTTGGGTGGGACCCAGGGAAGGGCCAGCTTTCCTCTGGCCTGCTAGACTGTCCCTTTAGGCCTCTCTTGGGTATGGGACTCAATTGAGACAATGAGCTTGGAAGACAGGCAGACCCACTAGGGCTGAGAAAGTCTCCAGGGCTCTGCAGAGGCTAGAGAAGGAGGTAGAGGCAGCTTCAGAGCTGCTCACAGGATGCCAAAGCAGAGAGGCTCCTGAGACTCGGCCCGTGCTCCTGAGGAGCTTGGTGTGGCTGGGGACAGAGCTTTCTCCTGCAGGGGGGACACCCAGGCCAGCTCGGCCTCCTTGAACCATGAACTTTCAGGCAGGGATTGTCTCCCAGGGCTCAAGAGGCATAGAACACAAATGCTCCAACTCAGCTGCCTGGGGAACCCAATGGACCTCTGGGAAGGAGGAGGAGCCCCCCCCAAAAATGCCTTCACAAGGTGGCTCTCTGCTTTCCCGGAATCCCACAGGGCATCTCTAGCAGTTCTTGGAAAGAGAGACGAGTGGGTTGACCAAGATGTCCCTATGCATGGAGGAGGCAGTCGGAGTTCCGGGCCCCTCTCCGTGGGGCAGACATCCAGAGGGCAGATTCCCTGGGCCTGCTCCGATGGGCTCCTCCCTGTAATAACGCAGGCCGGGACTGAAGAAGGTGCCCAGGACCTGAGATGGGTCTCAGGTCGAGCCTCTCTCCTCACCACTTGGTCCTGGCTCTGCCCACAGGCTCCTGAATGCCAACAAGATCAACTGCATCCGGCCCGATGCCTTCCAGGACCTGCAGAACCTCTCACTGCTCTCCCTGTATGACAACAAGATCCAGAGCCTCGCCAAGGGCACTTTCACCTCCCTGCGGGCCATCCAGACTCTGTGAGTGCCCTGATGCCTTCTTCTTCTCCCCTCCCAGCAGGTGGGCCTGGGGGAGGTTGCAGCCTCCAGGGACAGGCAGCTCTCCGGCTCTGGGCTGCTGTGCTCACTGGGGGTGGCCTCTTACAGAGGAAGGACACAGACCTGGGTTAGACCGTCCTAGGTTCAAAGTCCACCTAGGCCTCTTATTGGCTGTGTGATTCTGGGCAGCTTCTCTGGGCCTCATTTTTATTTATCCGTAAGATGGGGATGCCTTCCCATAGGGTTGTTATGAGATTAAGGAGGATGTTTGTATGAAGCTTAGCTCATCACAAGTGCTTGATAAATGCTGCCTTTAGCTAACAATAATATTGATGGTGATGATGATGATAATATATCGCGCTGATTCTAAGACACATGTTGTTTCCACGTTAACAGCTCTGAAACTGGGATGCATGTTATAATCAGTGGTACATCACTTAGTTGGCAGCATTTTGTTCTTTATTGATAGTACAAAAAATAGTAGTGCCTCTTACAATTCATAATGTCAAATCAGATGAAATACGGTAATGACAATGGTGACTGTGAATAAAAAAATTAGAGAGCAATAAATCTGGTAATTTGTTGTAATATTTTATTGTGGAAAATTATAAGCAGATTAAGAGTAGTACTGTGGGCCGGGCATGGTGGCTCATGCCTCTAATCCCAACACTCTGGGAGGCTGAGGCAGGAGGATTGCTTGAGCCCAGGAGTTCAATACCAGCCTAGGTAACAGGGCTGGGCACCCCATCTCCACAAGAAATTTTTTTTTAAAAAGTAGCCAGGTATGATGGCACATACCTGTAGTCCCAGCTACCTGGGAGGCTAAAGTAGGATGATTGCTTGAGCCCAGGAGGTTCAGGCTACAGTGACATGTGGCCACACCCCCTGCACTCCCACCTGGGCAACGGAGAGACCCTGTTTCAAAAAAAAACAGAGTGCTATGTATGGTGAACCCCCAAGTTTTCATCACCCAGCTTCCAATCCTGTATAATTAATTCCTTAATATCATTGAGTATCTAGTTAGTGTTGAAATTTCCAAGTGTCTCTTACATGTTATGCAATTTTTTTGATTGTTTTTTGTTTTTTGAGCTGGAGTGTCGCTCTGTCACCTAGGCTGGAGTGCAATGGCACAGTCTCAGCTCACTGCAACCTCCACCTCCCAGGTTCAAGTGATTCTCCTGCCTCAGCCTCTGAAGTAGCTGGGATTACAGGCGCCCGTCACCACGCCTGGCTAATTTTTTGTATCTTTAATGGAGATGGGGTTTCACCATGTTGGCCAGACTGGTCTCAAACTCCTGACCTCGTGATCCACCTGCCTCGGCCTCCCAAAGTGCTGGGATTACAGATGTTAGCCACCACGCCCGGAATGTTATGCAATTTTTTAATAGTTTGAATCAGGATTTAAATAAAGCCTGTGCAATATAACTGGCTGATGTTGGTTTATGTTGGTTGATGTACCTCTTAAGTTGCTGTTTATCTATGTGTCCTCTCCATTTCTCTTTTCCTTGTAACTGATTTGTTGAAGACACTGCATCATTGGTTCTGTAGGGTCTAGACTTTGTTGATTGCTTCCCTGTGGTGTAGTTTCACATGTTCCTCTGTCTTCTCTGTATCCTGCAGATTGAAAATTGGATCTAGGAGCTCGGTCAGGTTCAGTTTTGATTGATTTATTTGGCAAGATGATTTTATAGATGGGATTGTGGACTTCCCGTCAGAAGGCAGACAGATGTCTGGCTGTCTCCCTTTTGTAATAAAAACAGCCATTGATCTCAGTGCTTGAACCCATTAATTCATTAGCAATCCTGAAATGGTGATTTTGAATTTGTATCAGTCTGTTTTTGTGTTACTATCAAGGAATACCAGAGACTAGGTAATCTATAAAGAAAAGAGGTTTACTTGGCTGACAGTTCCATGGGGTGTACACATACGGCACCAACATCTGCTTGGCTTCTGGTGAGGCCTCAGGAAGCTTACAATCATGGCAGAAGGCGAAGCAAGGGTAGGCACGTCACGTGACAAGAGGAGGAGCAAGAGAGGGAGGGGGAGTGCCATGCTCTTTTAAATAATCAGATCTTGCATGAGCTCAGAGTAAGAACTCACTCATTATCACAAGGGCAGCACCAAGCCATTCATGAGGGATCCACTCTTATGCCTAGTCTTGCTTCGCCTTCTGCCACGATTGTAAGCTTCCTGAGGCTCACCAGAAGCCGAGCGGTTGTTGGTGCCATACTCGTCCAGCCCACAGAACTCTCAGCCCAGTAAACCTCTTTTCTTTATAAATTACCTAGTCTCAGGTATTCCTTTATAGAAACACAAAAGCAGACTGATACAAATTCGACCAAACACCGAACACCGATCCGAACACCTCCCATCAGGCCCCGCCTCCAACACTGGGGATTACATTTCAACATGAGGTTTGGTGGGGACGAACATCCAAACCATATCAGAATTCTAACATTCTTTTTTCATTTCTAATGCAGTTGTGACTATGCTTTAAAACAGAATCCTTATATTTAACTGGAATGTTTCCACGTAAGGAAAATTCTCATCTGTTGTGTGGTTAAACTTAGGCAATTAAATGGTCCCCTTCATCTACATCTTTAATTCTGAGCCTGCAGTTAGGCAGGATGTGCTGACTTGTGGGTTCTGTGGTGTGCATTTAATGAGCATTAATTATTAATATTATTGTGTCCATTGTTGTCGCTGTAATCCCTGCCCCTGTCTATGCCAGGCAGTGCTCTTCATCAGATAACATCTACATGGGGTATTGGGATAGGTTCCAAACAGGCTGAGTAAAAGGTACAGCTCGTGACCCCTGGGGACTCTGCACATCACCAGAGATGTCAGCCACAAAGACAAACTCATTAAAGCCCACAAATTTGCCTGCAGCCCAACTCCTCCCAATTAATTTACTTATAGCCAGGGAGACAAAGAGGAAGCCCCATGGGGAAACCTTGCCAAGTATGTGAAATTAGAGGGTACAGGGAGACACTGGCAAGGTGGACTATTTTAAGCAGCTGGCAGAATGTCTGAGAGAAACATGCTAAGGAGATTTACTGGCCGGGGACTCACACACAGGAAAACCTTGGGGATGGGGAATGGGAATGAGAGACTCATGTGAGCCACTGTTCTTTGCATGTATTATCTTAATACTTACAGTGATGCTATGAAGGTAGGTGCTTTATCATCCTGATTTTACCTAAAACAAAGACTGAGAGAGGTTATGTGACACACCCAATGTTGCAGAACATCCGGTAAAACAGGAATTTGATCTCAGGCATCTCTTCGCCATCACCAAGAAATTACTTAGCTGCCCCTTTAATTGTGCTTTTTCTGTAAGAACAGAGCTCATTATTGAAGGCTGTAAAGCAACACTGAACTTTCATGCACATCTATTAGATGTTAACAACTGAACTACAACTTGGAATAAGAATAAAAGAAATAGAAATCCAAGGTACTATCAGGTACTATTATTACAACCTCAAGTGGTTCAGTTTCTTGACTGAGTCTTATTTTATTAAACCTGAGCAGATTTAAATTTACCAAATCATGTTTGATTTGTCCGTAGCTCCAAGATCTGTGGCGAAGTCCCTGTGTAACAGCATTGATTTTGCTGCAGTTTTACTTGCCCCAAGAGATTTAACATTTAAAAAAAAGAAACAGCTCTATTGAGGTATAACTTACATGCCATAAAGTTCACCTGTTCTAAGTATACAATTCAGTGATTTTTAGTAAATTTCCAGAATTCAACTATCACTACGATTCAACTTTAGAACGTTTCCATCACCTTCCCTTCCAAATCCCTTGTCCCCATTTCCAGACTCAGCTGCTGGCCATCACTGATCTATTTCCTTTCTCTGTAGATTGCCTTTTCTGAACATTTCATAAAAATGGAATCATACAGGCCAGGTGCAGTGGCTCACACCTGTAATCCCAGTGCTTTGGGAGGCTGAGGTGGGCAGATCACCTGAGGCCAGGAGTTTGAGACTAGCCTGGGCAACATAGTGAGATCCCCACCTCTACACAAAATTCTTAAAAATTAGCCAGGTGTGGTGGTGCATGCCTGTGGTCCCAAGTACTCAAGAGGCTGAGGTGGGAGGATTCCCTGAGCCCAGGAGTTCAAGGATGCAATGAGCTGATTGCACCACTGCACACAGGCTGGGTGACAGCCTGAGACCGACTCCAAAAAAAAAAAAAACAAACAAAAAAAAACCGAATCATACAATATGCCATCTTTTGTGACTGACTTATTTCTTTAGCATAACGTTTTTGAGGCTCATTCATATTGTAGCATGTATCAGTACTTTGTTCCTTTTGATCGCCAAATAATTTTTCCATTGTGTAAATAGACCACAATTTGCTTGTCCATTCCAGGTGATGGACATTTGGGGTGGTTTCCACTTTGGGGACATTATGAACAATGTTGCTATGAATATTCACTCACAAATCTTTGTGTGGACCAACATTTTCCTTTCTTTTTTTTTTTTTTTTGAGATGGAGTTTCACTCTGTCGCCCAGGCTGGAGTGCAGTGGCACGATCTCGGCTCACTGCATCCTCCACCTCCGAGGTTTAAGCAATTCTCTGCCTCAGCCTCCCAAGTAGCTGGGATTACAGGTGCCCACCACCATGCCCGGCTAATTCTTTTTGTATTTTTAGTAGAGACGGGGTTTCACCATCTTGATCAGGCTGATCTTGAACTCCTGACCTCGTGATCCACCCACCTCGGCCTCACAAAGTGCTGGGATTACAGGCGTGAGCCACCGCGCCCGACATTTTCATTTCTTTTGGAATTTCTGGTTCATATGGTAGATTCCTGTTTAACTTTTTTAAAGAAACTGCCAGTGTTTTCCAAAGTGGCGGTACTATTTTACATTCCCACCAGTGGTGTATTATGAAGGCTCCAAATTTCTCTCATTCTAATCCTCACCAACACTTGGCTGTACTATTTTACATTCCCACCAGTGGTGTATTATGAGGGCTCCAAATTTCTCTCATTCTCAGCCTCACCAACACTTGGTATTGTTTGTCTTTTTTTTTTTTGCATTTTGATTCTAGCCATCCTAGTGGGTGTGAAGTGGTATCTCATTGTGGTTTTAATTTGCATTTCCCTAATGACTAATGCTTTTGAGCCTCTGCCTCCAAAGATTTTTAGCTGTGACTCCTTAATGCATACATCTACAAAGACACTGAGAATCAGTCCTCTCTTCCTTTCCTTCCACTGCCAGAACTGTTCAGGGAGGCAGCTGCGTGGCCACATATGCAGCACGTTTTTGGGTGTTCCTTTAACACGATTATTTTTTCCCAAATGAATTTTTTTTCTTCCTCTTGAGTGTTCTCTCTTTCCAGCTTCCTGCTCTTTGAAACTGTTAAAAATTCTAATTTGTATAAAATACTAAAGTTTGTACAGAAGCCACCTGTCTCTGTGGGTGGTTCAAGTTTTATAGGTTGTTTCTGGCACAGCCTGTTTTTAGAAAGGAGATATTCTACACCACACACCTTGAGTATTTTAATACATGCCTAAACAACACAATTGGATTGACTACACAGTTTTCTGCCAAGATGGTAATAAAGGGAAGCAATTGGTTCAGGCAGGGGCTGAGGCACTGAGGCACAGCCAGATGTGGATGGGCAGCTGGGGAGGAGTCATAAGCAGTCCTTAAATCCTGGTATGTTTTAAATTAGCTACAAACTCTGCCCCCAGGATATCAGCAAACACATCCTCTCTGTGCAAACTGAAAGTTTAAAAGGGGAAATGAATGTTGAGCTTGATGCAGAAGAGGTGGGAGGGACCTGGTCCACCTGGTGGAGCTGAGAGGAGCAAGAACTCAGGTGGGAAATAGGGAAAGACACTGCAAAGGAGAGGTGGCAGGGACCCAGCTCCCAACCGGGGGGCCAGAGGGCAGAGCCCAGGAGGTGATGGACGGCAGAGAGCACCGCCAAGGTCTGAGGTGAGCTGGGCACAGACCCTGGGCAAGGGTTTACTCATCTGCTTGGAGAGTCCTGCAGCCCCTTGCAGGGGCCTGGGCTGAGACCAGTAAGTCAGATGGCCTGAACTGATGGCACTTAGATGGAGGAAAAGTGGCCATGGCAGGGCAAGTCTCTTTGAGTTGGCCTGTTGCTCTGTCTCCCCGTACTTCTTTTTTTTTCCTTTTCGAGACAGAGTTTCGCTCTTGTTGACCAGGCTGGAGTGCAGTGGCACAATCTCAGCTCACCGCAACCTCTGCTCCCTGGGTTCAAGCGATTCTCCAGAGCCAGGACAGGTGTAGGAATGCTCTTCCCAGGCTGCCTCGGTTTGTACAGCCATGAGCAGGGCATGCCCAGTGCTGTGGTGGCTCAGAGGTAGCTGGTCTGAACCTGCTGTTTGTCAGAGCCCACCCGTGGGCATGCCAGCATGGGGTCGCACACAGCAACCCATCACGGCCATCTGCTCCCCGCCACCATCCCCGTATTTATCCTGCTGACAACACAGGCAGCCTGGGAGAGAATCTGAGTGAATCCCCAGCAAGGGGCTGCTCAGTCATGATTTCTGAGTTTTCTTTGTGTTGACAGACAGCTGTAAAATGGTCAAGGAGAGGTCACTCCTGTGGCCTGGGGTGGGGATGGTGACTCCCTGTGAAGCCCAGGGACTCCAGCAGGCCTGGCCACCCTGGCCTCATCCCTCTCTATAGGAGACAGGCTGCTACCTGAGTCTGAAGGAAAGGGCACAAACCAGGGCCCATGGCCACTGGGGAGGGTCAGAGGCTGTGGCCTGGGCGCCTGCAGTCCTGGGTTTTGTTACCCTCTCTGGGCTTTGGCTTCCTTGCCTGTGAAAGGCCAGGGGTGCTCTGGCCAGCCTCTGGGTCCTTCCTGTCTCCGCTCGTGCTCGTGAAATGTCCCAGGGCAGAGAGAGGGAAAGGTGAGTGGAAAGAGAGGGGGCAGAATGAGGCTTGATGGGGAGTAGGACAGCAGGAAGCTCTGGGTGGCAGAGACCCTTCACCTGTAGTGCGCTGGCAGGACCTCTCCAGAGGTGGTGGGCTGCACCCTGGGGGTTCACCCCACTCTCTCTTTCCCCCCGTGGCTGACCCTAGGCTCCAGGCCACAGGCAGCCTCCTTGGCCCCAGCCACAACGAGGCCCTGTCCCGGTGGAGGTCAGCGCGGGTTTGCAGCCCTTGTTTCTCATAGCTGATCTGCCTGCTTTGGACAGGCACCTGGCGCAGAACCCTTTCATTTGCGACTGTAACCTCAAGTGGCTGGCAGACTTCCTGCGCACCAATCCCATCGAGACGAGTGGTGCCCGCTGTGCCAGTCCCCGGCGCCTCGCCAACAAGCGCATCGGGCAGATCAAGAGCAAGAAGTTCCGGTGCTCAGGTACCTGCCCGCCTGCCCACCTGCCCACCTGTCCACCTACCTGCCTGCCCACCTGCCCACCGGCCTACTTGTCCACCTGCATACCTGCCCACCTGCCCACCTACCCGCCTGCTCACTTGCCTGCCTGCCTACCTGTCCACCTGCATACCTGCCCGCCTACCCACCTGTTCACCTACCTGCCTGCCCACCTGTTCACCTACCTGCCTCCCTGCCGGCCTGCCTGCCTACCTGTCTGCTTGTCTGTCTGTATTCAGCCTGCTCAGGGACCCCCTGATGTTTCCTGGATGGCTCCCACAAAGGTGTCTTTCATTACTGTGAACCCAGACTGGAGGGTGTGGGCCCAAAATTCTAGACTTGATCTGAATGGTAGTTCAGTCCCACCTCATTTTATTGAGGCCTAGGGAAGAAGCAAGGCTTGCTGAAGGTCCCAGAGGGAGGACTCAGGTCCCTCCACTTTTAGCCAGTTCTCTTTTATGCCTTTGTTGTCAAGCCTTTTAAGACACTCAGGAGGCCTGGGAACCCTCCTTAGTGAGATAGGAGCCTCCTCCAGGCTTTGGGATGCAGAAACAGCCTTAGCAATTGTAGTCCACGTGGCATCTGGCTGGGGACAGTGTGGGGCAGCTTCTGAGCCTACATCCTGGTCAAGGTCCTGACGCCACCTGTACCCCGTCCCCACCTGTAAAATTAGCACAGTCCCCACCTCGTGCCATTGCGAGTGAGAGCTCGATGGTTTTGGCACTCCTTGCGAGAGGTTTAACTGGATGCGACACCCCCAGTGTCAGCCTGGGCAAGGAACATGCGTGCTCTGTAGCTCGCCCTTCTGCACACAGGGACTGGGCAGATGGGCTCCTCAGCCCTGTCTGGGGTGCCTTCAGCTGAGCAGTGGGGCTGGGGCCTGGGCTGTTACTGCAGGTCCTGGCTGATTCCTGCATTATGGTATTTCTGCTTCTCTTCCCAGCCAAAGAGCAGTACTTCATTCCAGGTAGGAGAGTGGGGGGATCCAAGGCCAGCCTGGCGGGAATGGTGGTAGTGGGTGGGCAGGCTGGGGGCCTTGGTTGACCCAAACTGCTGGGAGCCGGCCCCGGGCTCCTCAGCCTCTGCCCCCACCCTCTCATGGCAGGCACGGAGGATTACCAGCTGAACAGCGAGTGCAACAGCGACGTGGTCTGTCCCCACAAGTGCCGCTGTGAGGCCAACGTGGTGGAGTGCTCCAGCCTGAAGCTCACCAAGATCCCTGAGCGCATCCCCCAGTCCACGGCAGAACTGTGAGGGTCCCTGGCCCCCCCAGCCCTCCCCTGTCCCTAACTGCCACTAACCCTCCTTGGCCTACTCCAGGATTTTCTTGGTCCAGCCCTGTCTGGGGCTGAACCACTGGAGCCTCTGGCTCAGGACATACCAACTGCTGGCTTGGGCAGGAAGAAACCCCACCCCTGCTGCCCTCTGCTTCATTCACAGCCCCCCTCACCCATCAAAAGCAGATGCCAGTCTCTGGCACTCAGGGCAGGTCACCAGCCTGAATCAGGGATGGCTTTTCTCAACGATGCGTTTGTCTTATTCTGTGGGACATGATTCCAAAACTCTTTGTTATTTTTATTCCTCTATCTAAAAATATGAATTTGTGTACACATATGTCTATGTGCATAGATGCCTGCAAGCATCTGTCATTTACGTCTGTAAATTTTTCATGGCATTTTTAATGTTAAAAATATCCCCATTCATATCCTCTCCCAGTACTAGGCCCAGCCTTCCTTTGAAATAGGATCAATTTGCTTTGCCAGATAAATTCTTCTGGGAGTCTTCTCTGTTTGAGTCCCAAATATTCTCAGTTTGGAAGGGATTTGAAATGTCCATCATTTGTGAATGTGCAAGTTCATTCTTGTCTCTTACAGGCGATTGAATAACAATGAGATTTCCATCCTGGAGGCCACTGGGATGTTTAAAAAACTTACACATCTGAAGAAAATGTGAGTTACCCATTGGCGAGAAGGTGTCTGTTGGGATGCTGGCCAGGGATGGACAAGGGAAATGCCAGGGTGGGGGCAGCTCCCACGGCGGGGGGCCAGGACTCTGTGTGTGGGGGTGTTGCCTGCAGGAAGGGAGGGGCCTGAGCTCCTGGCTGCTGGCCATATGTAATCCTCCCCCCGCCTCTTCTCCCAGCAATCTGAGCAACAACAAGGTGTCAGAAATTGAAGATGGGGCCTTCGAGGGCGCAGCCTCTGTGAGCGAGCTGCACCTAACTGCCAACCAGCTGGAGTCCATCCGGAGCGGCATGTTCCGGGGTCTGGATGGCTTGAGGACCCTGTGAGTGTGCAGGGCTGGGGAGCAGGGTGGGCCAGCTGCAGGAGGCAGGCAAAGCCAAGGGAAAGGAAGAGAGAGGCTGGAGGAGCCCCTCCCCTGGGCCCAGCTTGCAGGAGGGTGGGGAGAACTGAGGATCCTGACTGTGTTGGGACAGGTAATCAAGTTGGCAACTCTATGGTGAGACCTGTTCTCTTGTACCCTGGGGCATGGGGCCAATGCCCAGTTGGCCTCAAGGGATGGAGACATGTGGACCCTTCTAGGGGTCCCTTCCCATTGCCCTCTGGTCAGGCTGCAAGAGCACAGCATGAGTTCAGGAGTGGCTGGCACTGCTGCAGGCAGGAGGGGCTGGATGACCTTGCCAAGGTGATTCAGTGGGTGTAGATAGGGGAGCAGGGATGCTGCACTGTCCCTGAGATGCTAGGATCCCATAACCCACAGCCCAGCCTGAGCTGACCAGAATCTGGAGCTCAGTGGGATCCTGGGGTCATCTGCTCCTCCATGATGCAGGACACCCCCTCCATCTGCCCCAGGAGGGCTGGCTCTTCAGATGATCCTGAGGGTGTGTATCGTGTCCCATAGACAGGGCAGTCTGTCGGATCTCCCACAGAGATGGAAATGTTTCAAGTCTACGCTGTCCAGACCAGTCACTTCATGTGGCTGTGGAGCAGTTGAAATGTGGCTAGTGCTACTCAGTGACTGAATTTTGAATTTCATTTTATTTTAATGCATTTAAATCTAAATAGCTACATGTGGCTAGTGGCTACTATATTGGACACCACAGCTCTAGGAAGCCACTTGCCCAGGTATAAGTCCCAAATCTGCAGCAGGATGTAGAGTTGTCTCTGAGCAAGTAAATGAATGTGTGACAGGACTCCCTGTGGATTTTTGTTCCTTTATTTTACAAAAAGCAAATTTTATTATGCACTATGTTTTGCAGCTTGCTGTTTTCACCTGTGAATACAGCATTGCCTTCTTTCCAGGCTGTTCCTATAGGCTGCCTCATTTTTCTTTATGCTTACCTAGTATTCCTTAAATGTGGGTGTGGGGGCTGTCCAGTCAGCTGCATTCTTTCCAAGGAAGACTTAGATAAGGACAGAGGAAAAGAGAAGGGCCCATACCCCATCACTATCCAGAAATGACCACTGTTAATTGTTGGTATAAACAACTGTCTTTCCAGTCTTTTACATATCTCTAAACCTGCATACACATACATATACACACATACATACATACAAGCATGCACGCATACAGAAATATTCTAATGGACTCGTACATTTTATTTAGTAACCTGCTTTTTCCTTAAACTTAATATGAGCACCATTACATATTAAAATTTTTTTCCATTCCACATTTAATTCCTAATACAAAAAAAGTGCTCTGCATCAGTTTGAATGACTAGGTATTATATAATTATTGGCAATGTAGGCTGTTTCTATTTTTTTTTTTTTATAAGCAATGTTGTATTGATACCTGCCTTAGTGGGTTCAGGCTGCTATAACAAAGAGCCACAGACTGGAGGTTTATAGACAACAGAAGTTCTGGAGGCTGGAAGTCTGAGACCAGGGTGCCAGCATGGATGGGTTCTGGCGAGGGCCCTCTTCTGGGTTGCAGACTTCTGACTTCTCATTGTGTCCTCACATGGTAGAAAGAGGGCAAGAGAGCTCTCTGGGATCTCCTTGATAAGGGCACTAACTCCATTCATGAGGGCTCCACCCTTATGACCTCATTACCTCCCAAAGAACCCCCATCCTGATCCCATCACACTGGGGATTAGGACTTCAACATAGGGATTGGAGGGGATCACATTCATTCTGTGACAATATCTTTATTGTGAAGTTCACGTATAATGCATGATAATACTCTTGTTAGGAATTCCTAAAGATGGAGTAGTCGGGTGAAAACACAAAGTGTCATTTTGGGGATTTTGCTACATCTCACCAAATGCACTTCCAGGGAGGTATAAAGGCATCTCCTGCCAGTGTGTGGAAGTGCCCAGTCACTCACACTCTCAGAGATCCTGGATGTCATTATTATTATTATTATATTTTTCATTCTTTTTTAATTTGGCAGGCAAAAAATCAATATTGCATAAGTGTCTTTGATTAGTAGTAACATTGAACATTTTTGTGAATGTTGATAAACCATTTTAATTTCTTTTGTGAGTTGGCTACCCTGTGTTGACTTGGTTTTTGTTTTTACTTTTGGTTGGCAAGTGAAATTGAGCTGGGTTTTTGTTGTTATTGTTGTTGTTGTTTAGGGAGACAGGGTCTCACTCTGTCTCCCAGGCAGCTGGGGTGCAGTAGTGCCATCATAGCTTACTGTAACCTTGAACTCCTGGGCTCAAGAGATCCTCCCACCTCAGCCTCCCAAGCAGCTGGGACTACAAGTGCACACCACCATGCCTGGCTAAGTTTTAAATTTTTTTGTAGAGACAAGGTCTCGCTATGTTGCCCAGGCTGGTCTCAAACCCCTGGTTTCAAATAATCCTTGGCCTCCCAAAGTGCTGTTTTTACAGGCATGAGCCACTGCATCAGGCTTGGGCTGGGTTTTTGAAGATGAACAGCAGCTTTTCCAGATGTAGATGAGGCAAAAGAGTATTCTAGAAAACTGTCACAGCGGTGTAGCAGGCTGAGGGCTGGTCCATCTCTAGGGAGGCAGGCAGGTGCCAGGGCTGAGATGGTCCGGGTCTGGGTAGACATGGTCTCAGGTCACAGTAAGGAGTTCGAGCATGACTCGGTGGGCAGTTTGGAGGCTGTTAGTGGACTTTAAGCTGGAGAGTGACATGATGGATTAGGTTTCAGGAAGTCTCCTGGGCACTGATGTGGAGCATGGCCTAAAGACGGGCAGGAACTCTGGGCACCCAGGGCACGGAGGCAAGGCCAGCATGGGGGACAGGGCAGTGGCAGGGAGAGAGAGACAGAGCCTCGAGGCTTCTCAGAGGCGGGGGCGGGTCTGGAGTGGGCACAGGTGTGTAAAACTCGCCTCACCTGGCCGGGGCCTGGCTGGTGCGTGTTCCTGGCTCTGCGGCTCGCAGCCTATGGAGGAGAACTGTGAACGAGCCACGATGGCGGAAGCTGCGTGGCCCAGGTGGATGGCTGGCAGGGCAGCAAGGGTCCCCTCCTCCCTCCCCCGTTCCTCCCCAGAATGCTGCGGAACAACCGCATCAGCTGCATCCACAACGACAGCTTCACGGGCCTGCGCAACGTCCGGCTCCTCTCGCTCTACGACAACCAGATCACCACCGTATCCCCAGGAGCCTTCGACACCCTCCAGTCCCTCTCCACACTGTGAGTCCGGCCTCCAGGACAGGCGGGCGGGGGCTCTGGAGCAACCGTCCCAACCGTCTCGGCCAGCCACTTTGAAAGAGCTCACCCTGGGGGTGCTGGGTCTTCGTGGTTTGCTGAAACGTGGGTTCCACATTTCGAAGTCTCCCTCCGGTCCTCAGAGCCGGTCCTCTTGGTGATGGGTGGTGGTCTGGGAGACAGTGCCATGTGGCCATGTGGCCCTGTGTCCGTGGTACAGGAGGGGTTTGCTGGGACCTCTGAGAGGGGCAGAGTGTCTCCATGGCCGCCTGGCCTGCCTCTTCCAGGAATCTCCTGGCCAACCCTTTCAACTGCAACTGCCAGCTGGCCTGGCTAGGAGGCTGGCTACGGAAGCGCAAGATCGTGACGGGGAACCCGCGATGCCAGAACCCTGACTTTTTGCGGCAGATTCCCCTGCAGGACGTGGCCTTCCCTGACTTCAGGTGTGAGGAAGGTAACTCGTGGCCCCCCGGTGGCAAGGGAGAGGGCGCCCTGGGTCCAACCAGTGGGGTGGGGCAGGTGAGGAAGATGGGAGTGGACAGGCAGCACCCCCTGGCATGCCCCTGAGAGGAGAGGTTAGGTGGGGAGGGGAGGCCCTGTTTTCAGGAGGAGACGCGCCTGCCTGGTGGTGTCTTTGTGTGGTTATAAGAGCAATAAAGTTCCTATCCTTAAAAAATGGGAAAGTATGGATAAAAGAAGGAAATAAACTTTACCTATTATTCCATCGCTCAGAGAAAACAGTTCCCATTTTAGTGTAGTTTCTTTCTGTAAGTTTGGTGAACTCAGACCTGCCTTTTGGCTGTCCCTAAGCACTCTAGACTCATGGGGTCACCTTATCTTAATATGCAATGGAACCCTTTTGAGTCCCCTCCCCCATATGTAGGAAACCCTGGTCACTCTTTGCTCCAATGCCTTGTTTCCTGGGACTTCTCAGGGTAGCCCCATCCCTCATTTTTTCGCCACAGCACCAAGCACGGAAGGTCACTGTAGGAAGCAGATTTTTCTCTGTGCAGCCATCCCATCCTTAGTGTCTCTCAGCACCCTGCCGCAGGGAATTTCTCCCTGGCTGACCTCAGCTTCCAGCCCCCTTCTCCGCTTCTGGGTGCTAAGGTGCCTCCCTTCTCCCTGGTCTCTCCCTTTCTTGCCTTCTACCCCCTGCAGCCTACTCCCAGTGGCAGCTCCACCCTCAGCTGGCCTGGCCAGGCCACGTGGCAGTGGAGAGCTTTGACTTTCACCCCAAGAAACACCATCAGGGTATTTTCTAAACAAAATTAATGAATTCTCTAAGAATACTTTTGCTTCTGACTTCTAAAATTTAAAAAAGAGTCTATACTATTTACATATATATTTTATTAATTTATATAATAATAGCTTGCAAGTCTTTTTAAAAATGTCTGATTTGTTTAAAACCTAACTATATATTTTGGGCATTTTCTCATGCCATTAACTATCCTTTGGAAACATTATTTTTTCCAAGATACGGTTTCCTTTTATCCTTCTTTTTACAAAAGAAATGCATCCTCATTCCTTAAAACAACAACAACCAAGGACAACCAGAAGGAGGATTTAAAAAAGTTACTGACAGGCCAGGCGCGGAGGCTCATGCCTGTAATCCCAGCACTTTGGGAGGCCGAGGCGGGCAGATCCCTGAGGTCAGGAGTTCAAGACCAGCCTGGCCAACATGCTGAAACCCTCTCTTTACTAAAAATACAAAAATTAGCCAGGCATGGTGGCGCATGCCTGTAGTCCCAGCTACTTGGGAGGCTGAGGCAGAAGAATCTTTAGAATTTGGGAGGTGGAGGTTGCAGTGAGCCGAGATCACACCGTTGCACTCCAGCCTGGGCAACAGAATGAGAATCTGTCTCAAAAAAAAAAAAAAAATTAACGATTTGCCCACTACCCCCCGGCCCCCATGCCCCAACTCTGGATAACTCCTGTCGACATTTGCTATGTGGCTTTCCAGATCTTTGCTGTGTGCTCATGTGCACAAGTGTGGCACACAGAGGATCTTGCAGGGCCACCTGTGAAAACCTTTCAACAGGATGGACCGCTATCTGGAAGGCTCCACAATTGATGTAAGCAGCCCCCAGCTGCTGGACATTCAGACAACCTCCCAAGTCCCGCTCCAATGCATCGTGCTGCCAGGAGCACCCTCGTAGATGCTCCCTACGTATATATTCCACTCTCCCCTAGAACAGCTTCCTAGAGGTGAAAGGATGTGAATATTTCTAAGATGTTGCTGCTGAGAGCCTGGTGGCCAATCGAGCAGGTTCTGGAGGCAGGCTGCTTGCTCCAGGCTGGGGCAAGTTTCTGAACCACTCTGCCTTTAGTTTCCTCATTGCTCCAATGGGCTAATAGTAACACATTCACTAGAGAGCTGTTCTGAGGATTCAGTGAGTTCACCCTTATCCTGTGGGGCCTGCACACAGGCGACCTGCATAACTGATGGTCACTGTCACCCGGGAGCATGTGCTACCAGCATCCCAGTGTCCTCAAGAACTCCGACCGTGGTGATATTATCATCTCTCTGACACCCAATCAGCAGAAAGGAAGGCACAGATTTTTTGAATAGATGAATGAATCAATGAAGGGATGGTGTGGTATCGAGGGCTCGGATTTTGCGGCAGCCAGACCTGGGCTCAGACTCTGCATTGCCTTGGACCCACTTTATGATTCAAGCAAGGTGCCTAACGTCTCCAGACCTCAATAAAATGGAAATTCATCCACTTGTTCATTCATTCATTCAACTCATCTGTTTTGAGGGCTGCTGCGTGCCAGGCACTGCACTAGGCACTGGGCTCTATCAGTGAAAAAAAGAGGAGAAAAGAGGCCCAGGTCTCCATCCTCCTCATGCCTGCATTCTAGGGGCGATGCTGCACCCCTAACTGTACTGTTAAGGAGACAATGTCGATCCAGTGCCCGGAGTAGCAGGCACTCCGGGGATGGGATGGTGCGCGGCCATCCTCCTGTTCTACTTTGACCAGGTCCACTTTGAGTTTGAGGAGAAAGAGACCAACTCAAGACCTATTTTAACCTCAAAACTGCTCCAGGGGGCTTCATTCCTGGTGGCGGTGGTGGCTGGCGGGGAGGTGTAGTGCACAGACTTACTGATGGCCAAGGTACTGTCAGAGGGGTCTTCTGTTCTGAGAGGCCCCAGAGCATGGCCCTGACTGTAGGAGGCCCTACAGCGGCCCGTCCACCTCCCTGACAGGGGCTTCGTGCCTTCTTCCCTAGGCCAGGAGGAGGGGGGCTGCCTGCCCCGCCCACAGTGCCCACAGGAGTGCGCCTGCCTGGACACCGTGGTCCGATGCAGCAACAAGCACCTGCGGGCCCTGCCCAAGGGCATTCCCAAGAATGTCACAGAACTGTGAGTAGCTCAAGGCCTTGCCCCCTTCACGTGGGTCCACAGGACGGGGACAGTGGGGGCATTTCCTGAGGGGCTGGGGCCTAGCCATGGGAGGAGGAGGTGACCAAGAGCAGGCATTAGCTGACTAGGAGCTGGAGTTCGGGCTTTGCAGAAAACACTGCCTCCAGAAAGGCTTTGAGCTTCTCTCTGATTCTCCCTCTGCGGTCACCTGATGACCGCATGGCAGCGAGTGCTTCCTCCCTTTAAACTAAGCTCCGCCTTTAAAATGAGGAGAACCTTGCTTTCCCGCCTGTCATTGTCTCAGGCTCCTGTGTCATGAAGACACAAATGTGATTTTTGCACCAGCAGTGTAGTGTTCTTCACATGAATCTACTATGACCCAGATAACAAAACCCCTTTTGTTGGATATTTGTTTCCAATTTTTTTTTACTGTCATAAACAGCACCAGTGCTAACACCCCCTCACTGAAATCGCCAGTCAGAGAGCGGTGCGTTTTTAGGACTCTTGCTGCCTTTTGCCTGATGGTCTTCCAAGAAAATCTGTTTCCTTTGCACTCCCATTGACCATGTGAGAAGGTGGCCTTCTTGCTTCCCTGGGTCAGCACTGAGTATGGTGCTGAAATCCTGGCTGATTGGTATTTGGTATCTGAGCACATGTGGAGGATTGGACATAGATGCATTTGACAAACAGGAATGGAGAGCTGGGACTTCTTCAGCAGACACCTCCCAATGAAAGACTCTGGCCAGCTCCTGACCTCTGACCTCTTCCTGTGCTCTGGGGTTGATCCCTCCAGGCCTCCAAAGCTGAGCTTTTCTCCCCCCACCCCCAGGACCAGCGATGAGGCTTCTATTTGTTATTTCTTGCATTACCAGCAAGGCTGGCCTTTTCTTCACAAGCACATCAACCACTGCGGGCCTTTTCCTGGGCCTGGCCTGCCCCGTCTTCACCCTGTTTTCTACTGCAGAGTTAGTGTCCTACAAACCTCATGAGTCCTTGCTTTCTCCTTGGAGCCTCCTAGCAGCCCTGAGAATAATGGGATGGGTGGGGCAGCCTACCTTCTTTGACTGAAGATGGTGAAGTTCAGAGCCTGCGAAAATCTTTTAACTTCTCTAAACCTCAGTTTTGTCATCTGTGAAATGGGACTACTTGGGTATGTGGACGAGGACTGCCTCGAGGATCAAACGAGATGGGTGGGAAGTCAGTTTGTATGATGCAGAGCGAGGGGTAAGGATGAGCACAGCCCTCCTTTTGCTCCTCTCTGGGGCTTTGGGAAGTGGGGGAGAGCTGTCCTGCAGGCTGTAGTTAGTTGGGGGGTGGAGATCCTGTGCTGGAGCTCAGCTTGGCTCAGCTCCTGGCATTGGGCCACTGCTTAGCACCTTCAGGCTGGAGGCATGAATGGTCAACAATGAAGGGAAGAGGGGGAGGTTCAGAGCATCTTGAATCCCAAGCTCTATCCTGTAGAAATGGGAACCTTGGGAAGCTTCGGGCTTAGGAGGATTTCGGTGGGCTTGGTTTTAAGGACAGTGACTTGGATAGCAGTGAGTAGAGTGGAGGCCAGAAGGGAGGTCCAAGGTGCAGAGAACAGACAGAAGAGGCTGCAGCAGGAGCCCGGGCATGGGTGGTGGTGCACAGTCGGCGGGTGGCATGAGAGTGCAAGGAAAGCAAGCTGTGAGAGAGCAGCGGTGGCACTGGCTGCAGAGGGAGGAGGAGAAGCGACATCAGGGTGCGGAGCCTGGAAGGCAGGAAGGCAGAGGGGTGCTGATGGAATGAGGGGGAACTGGTTGGGCAGTCTGGCTGTGAATCAGCTTCACAGCCCATGCCAGCAGGTGGACAGGGGGCCCTGGGAGCTGGCAGGGCCCGGTAACGTGCAAATCAGATCTATTTGGCCAGGAAAGAGCAGAGCAGGGAGGGGAAGGCAGGGGCCCAGGGAGTGTCCATGGACAAGGAGGAGGCTGGGAGGGTGAGAAGGGAAGCGAGAAGGGAACCGAGAGAGGCCACGTGACTATTGGCTTTTTACCAAGTCCTCTGGGTGGCACCTCCCCAGATGGCTTCAACAACGTACATATTTTCTCCTCCCATAAGTGATTCTGGGCCCATCGTGTGGCCTATGTGGAGGAGAGGAAATGAGAGCGAAGTCCCTGGCTGCAGGGAAGGCTGTCCCCAGCATGGGGCACCACCAGAGGTGGAGATGGGCACTAACGCCGCTGTGTTCTCTCTGCAGCTATTTGGACGGGAACCAGTTCACGCTGGTTCCGGGACAGCTGTCTACCTTCAAGTACCTGCAGCTCGTGTAAGTATCCAGGCCGCTTGAGGACAGGAGGGCCTTTGGCATCTAACCATCAGGACTCCGGCTTTCCTGGAATTTCCTACGGACCTCACTTCTGGGCAGATCCTGCTTCTTTTCCTTTCCCTGCTCCCCTCTGGGAACAGCTGTGCCTAGAGCTGTTTTGCCACCTAGTGGCCACGATTGGCAATTACATAGTTCCAGGCCATGTTGGGTTGGACCTGCCTCCTCCTCCTGCCCACGCCGTCTCCCCAAAGCTCCCCCGTGAGGCTGGTCGTGACTGTTAAAAGGGTTATCCTGGTCGGGCGGGCACGGTGGCTCACACCTGTAATCCCAGCACTTTGGGAGGCTGAGGCGGACGGATAACCTCTCGAACTCATGTTGGAGTTCGAGACCAGCCTGATCAACATGGAGAAACCCCATCTTTCCTAAAAATACAAAATTAGCCGGGCATGGTGGCACATGCCTGTAATCCCAGCTACTCGGGAGGCTGAGGTAGGAGAATCGCTTGAACCCGGGAGGTGGAGGCTGCAGTGAGCCAAGATCGCACCATTGCACTCCAGCCTGGGCAACAAGAGCAAAACTCCGTCACACACACACACATACACACACACACACACACACACACACACACACACACACACACACACACACAAAGGGGGTTATTCTTGCAAGGTTAGGAGCCAAGGAGCCAGGAAAAGTGGAGGGTGATGGAAAGCTTCTCGGTCCAGCTCAGCTCTCAAACCAAGTATGAACTATGGCAGCTACAAATACATACCTGTAACTAAGTTTTTCTTCAGGCTACGCCTCTGCTTTTCTATTATTTCCACCTTTGACCCCTTCTACTCCATGAAAATATACAAAATAAGCCTCAGGATAATAAGTTCAGCTCCTTTTAGTTTTCTAGCCTACCTAGCTCCTCACTTCAATTGTCTTTATCTGCTCCTTGGCCAGATTCTACCAAAAAGAAGTCCAGAGAACATTCCACCTTAGTGTGATTTGGAGCAGTCCCACTCCAAGTGCAATCTACGGGCCCACATCAGTCCCAGAACTGTTTGTAATGGGTTTGTAATTAGATATGGCGCTTACACCAGAATCTAAATCAATGTATTGCTTCCTTTGTTGAGAAAGTCTTGCTATGGAAACAATGTTCGCGTAAACTAAGCTAGGTGTGGTGACCGGATCTTGGCCCAAGTTTCTTATTGTGGGTTGGTGAAATTTAGTTCAAGGACTGGCTACTTTGGGCGGCTCTGGCTTACAGAATTTTGAAGCTCCAATTTATCTGTCTTTGCTTAATGACCTGGCCAATGTGTGTTGAATGTTCCAATGGGAGGGGTGGAGAAGGGATGGAGTAGTGTGATTCAGTGGCTGGTGTCAGAGTGCTTTGAGCCAGTGAAACTGCCTCTTGGGGGCTGAAGTACCACCACCTCCTCATCACAGGGGAGGACCACAAAGTGTGTTGAACATTCAGTAGAGCACTTAAATGTATCTCCAAAGACAGTGGAATGATTTAGAATTAGATTAGAGGAACGTTCAGGAGGAGAAGATGAAGGCACGGCACATCGTTGCATTTTCTAAATGTTTCCTGAGCTGAGAGCGCATGAAGTGGGCAGACGTGAAGGCCCCGAAGTCATGGCCCCCTCTCCAGACTGTCATGGTTTAGGGAGGATGCAGGGGAGGGGAGGGAGCGCATAAAGTCGTGTGGGTGATAAGGGTTCCAACAGAGGTCAATGCTGATTAGGGCTGTGGCTCAAGGAGGATGTGATCAACTCAGGGAGGCGGCTTGCGGGGAGGGCATCTTGGAACACGAGCTGGAGTTCATTGGTGGGCAGAGGGAATAAGCTGTCTGGGGCCACAGAGTGTAGTCTGCTCAGAGAACTTCAAGAAGCTTAGTGAATCCTAAGCCTGGGAAGTCTTCGGAGCAGGGAGCAGAGGGAGGGAGGGGCAGGGGCTAGACCCAGGAGTGCCGACAGGTGGCCAGCTAGAGGGCCTGGAGTCCACATGCTAGGCACATGGGTGCCACTGTGGGGTTTCGTCAGCTTTGTGTCATAGAGAAATTGCTCTGGTGCCACCCTCATGGCAGATGGATCAAAAGGGGCAAAGCAGTGGGTGAGAGATGAGGTCAGAATCCCAGGCAGGAGCCAGAGAGAGAGGACGCTGGCTCAGGAGGAGGGCACGGTGCGAGAGGTGACCAGGGCCACCAGCCAGGGGCGGATCAGATGGGTGGGATGAGAGGGCAGATGTGTGGGCAGGCAGCATTATGGAGCTGGAGCCTGGGGGATGGGGCGTGGTAGGGAGAACAAGATGCGGGCGGAGTTTGAGTATCTGTGGGCATCAGGAGGAGGAGTTCATGAGAGGACAGGCTGGGGCCATGGGGAGGGGGGCACTGTCAGCACAGGGGCGTCCCCGAGGGCACCCAGATTGGACTAAACAGGGCACAGATGGGCTTTAGCAATCCCCATGCCTCTGGGCTGAGTACAAAGGAAGCTTCTACCAGAGACTGAGGAGGCACAGCCAAAGGCCCCCAAAGACAGTCGGGAGCGGAGGAAAGCGGGTGGCGGGAGTTTTGAGAAGAGAAGAGAGATCAGTTGTGTCAGATGCCACAGGTGACTCGGAGAGGCCATGGCAGCAACCTGGGCTTGTGGCCAGTGGACCGGCTTTGAATCTGGCTCTGCCTCCGACCAGCTGGTGACCCTTCAAGAGTCATGGATCCCTCTGAGACTCTGGGTCTTTGTCAAATGGGGCTGCCCTCTCCCTCATAGGACTGCCTCGTAGGGAGGGCTTCTGAACGAGCCCACCTAAGGTGCTGGCAGGAGAGAAAGGAGAGAGTGCTGGATCTGGTCGGGAGGCCACCAACACCCTGGTGGGAGTGTTCCCATGGTAAAAAGGGGCAGAGCCAGGCTCTGCTTGCAGAGGGATGGGGGTGAGGGTCAGGAAATGGAGGCACCAAGCCCTGGTACCTGAGGGAGTTGAGGGAGCAGCGCAGCACTGTAGCTAAGCAAGCGCTGAGACCCGAGGCTGTGCACCAGGGCTCCTCTCCACCCCTGGCCAACCTGGCTGGGGAATGGCCCTGGGCAGAGTGAGGGAGGGGAAGAAGCCCGTGAATGTGAGCCAGGGCTGAGTGAGTTCTTTCTAAATCATGATGCCTTTGCCTTTTCCAGGGACCTGAGCAACAACAAGATCAGTTCCTTAAGCAATTCCTCCTTCACCAACATGAGCCAGCTGACCACTCTGTGAGTCCCAGCAGGGCTGGGGTGGGGGGCCCCGGGGCCATGGCTGTGAGTCATTCCCTAGCCCCAGCCTGTGCTTTTTGCTCCCAGATCCCTCGCCTGCAGACGCCTTGCCCTCTGGAGAGGGTGCCGGGCCTGAGAGCCTAAAAGACTTTGAAAAAACATCTTTCATTGTGAAATACAACATATGGCATATATGGAAAATAATAATGCAAAAAGTAAATAGTGCAAAAAAATAAATATACAGTTTCACAAATAATCATAAAGCTAGCACACATGTAGATACCAAGTCAAAAATTAAGGACACTCGGCCAGGCGCAGTGGCTCACGCCTATAATCCCAGCACTTTGGGAGGCAGAGGCAGGTGAATCACTTGAGGTCAGGAATTCAAGACCACCCTGACCAACATGGTGAAACCCCATGTCTACCAAAAATACAAAAATTAATCGGGCTGGGTGGCGGGTGCCTGTAGTCCCACCTACTTGGGAGGCTGAGGCAGGAGAATCGCGTGAACCTGGGAGGTGGAGCTTGCAGTGAGCCAAGATCGTGCCATTGCACTCCAGCCTGGGTGATAGAGCGAGACTCTGTCTCAGAAAAAAAAAAAAAAAAAAAATAGAACAGTGCTAGCACCTTGTCCCTTCCTGATCCTTATTGCTGTCTCCTCCCCTACCCCAAGGCAGCTGCTGTCCTGACTTTATGAGGATCACTTCTTTTATTTTCTTTACAGCATTACCATCTACATAAGCATTTCTAAATAATATAGTCTAATTTTGTCGATTTTCACTTTGTTCAAGTGGAATCATATGGGTGATAGTCTTTTGTATCTGGCTTCTCTTGCTTAGCATTGTCTATGAGATCCATTCATGCCACCGTGGCAGCTGTGGTCTGTTCATTCTCATTGCTAGGTAATGTTCCTTTGGAGGAACGGGCCACACTTTCCTCATCTATTCTAGTCTTGATGGATATTGAGGTTGTTTCCAGTTTGGATTGTTGTGAGCGGTGACCCTCTGAACATTTTTTGTGGCCATATTCTAAGATATTTAAATGCTGGCTTTAATTATATTCCAAGCAACTGATCAGAACATATTACCAAGTGTCCCTTATATTTGCCTGGTGTGTAAAAGTATCTCATTCACCTTCCAACACCTCACTTTACAGATAGAACAGTAGAGCCAGTACCCAAAAAAGGAAGGGGCCCTGACCCAGCCATTCTCCAGGAGCTGAATGTGGGCCCAAGCCAAAATACAAAATAAAAAAATTAGTCAGGTGTGGTGGTGCACATCTGTGGTCCCAGCTACTTGGGGGGCTGAGGTGGGAGGATGGTTTGAGCCTGGGAGGCAGAGGTTGCAGCAAGCCAAGATCACACCCCTGCACCCCATCCTGGGTGACAGAGCTGGACCTTGTCTCAAAAAAAAAAAAAAAAGAAAGAAAGAAAAAGAGTGCTATTCTTGATAATCCCCTGCTCCTGCCTCTCCCAGCTCCGAGACCCAGGCAACCACTGGTCTGCTTTCTGTCACTGTAGGTTAGTTTGCATTTTCTAGGGTTTTACATACAAATGGAGAAAGTCGTTTTTGCTTGGCTTCTGCGCCCAGCATGATTATTTTGAGCTTCACCCATGGTGTGGTGTTGCATGTGCCGGTAGCTCTTTCTCATTGCTGAGCTGTGTTCCACTGTACAGGCATGGATGTGCCACAGTTTGCTCATCCATTCGTCTGCTGGGGAACACGGGGGCTGTTTCCAGCATGACGCTATTGCAAGTGTGATTTCCCTTGTTAATCTGCCTGTCTGCCCTGGATGGATTCAGTTACTTGGAAGCATTTTGGGACAGTGGCTTAGCCTGTGGGCTCTGGAAACTGAAAGCTATAATGAAAATCCCTTCTTAATAACTTTTTTTTTTTTTTTTGAGATGGGGAGTCTCGCTCTGTCGCCCAGGCTGGAGTGCAGTGGCGCGATTTTGGCTCACTGCAACCTCTGCCTCCCAGATTCAAGTGATTCCCCTGCCTCAGCCTCTCGAGTAGCTGGGATTATAGGCGTCTACCACCATGCCTGGCTAATATTTGTATTTTTAGGAGAGACGGGGTTTTGCCATGTCGGTCAGGCTGTTCTCAAACTCCTGACCTCAGGTGATCCGCCCACCTCAGCTTCCCAAAGTGCTGGGATTACAAGAGTCAGCCACCGCATCCAGCCTTCTTAATGACTTAATAATGTGACCCTGGAGAAGTTTTTTCACCTCTCAAGGCCTCAGTCTCCTCATCTATAAGATGGGAATAGTGACAGCACCTTCCTCACTGTCACAGCTTTTCAATAGTAAATTATTGTAGATGACTTTGCCTGTCCTCCCTGGAAGTGGTCGGCTGAGACGGTGAGCTCCCCGCAGTCAGGTGTCACCTTCATAGGGAACTCGCCTATGCACCTTGCTGGGGCAGCCCCTTAGGGAATGTTCTCAATCATAACAACAGCAACTCTCCTTTGTTGAGGATTTATTGGAGTCAGGCATGATGCTAAGTGCTTCACCTGGATTTCGTCCCCAGGACAGCCCTATGGAGTTGGCATTATTTTTGTCCCTATTTTACAGTCGGGGGAACTGATTGAGGCAGAAGGGATTAGGGGGCATGCCCAAGACCACCAGCTTCTTAGGGCGCAGCCCAGCCCATGCACTTGCCGGCTGCTCTGCCTCCCCTCACAGAGCCCGAGGAGGCTGCTGGGTGAGAGGGACCTCCACGTCCTGGGCGGCGGCTGTGCCCACAGGGGCCAGGCACTAACACAGTGCCCTTCCTCCATCTCCTTCCTCCGCAGGATCCTCAGCTACAATGCCCTGCAGTGCATCCCGCCTTTGGCCTTCCAGGGACTCCGCTCCCTGCGCCTGCTGTAAGTCTCCTCACTCACCATCCTGCCAGAAAATCCACCCCACTGAGGGTCCTGCCACCCACCTGGTGGGCAGAAATGTTCCCATGTCTAGGGCCCACGCTGTGCCATGGTGGAGTCCAGAGTGCTGTCACTTAAGCCCCTGTGGATACTCTCATTCCCAAGAAGCTGGGGCGTGCATGGGAAATGATCTGAGAAATGGGGGTTGCTGTCACCCCCAAGATGAGTTTGTGGTGGTAGGGGCGGGACATCCAAAATAAGGTGGCCCTTCATTTGCATGTGAGACTTCTGTTCAGATTAAAGAATGTTTGTTTGCAAGAGATTTGTGAACCTCTTCTGTGAGTTCTCACTGTGAGGTTTTTGCCCTGGGATCAAAGCCCTCAGTCCATCCATTATGATGGCCTCAGTCAGCCCACCAGGGGCAAGGTGACATTCTCCCAGCCCTAACCTGTGGCTGTCCTTCTTAACTTCCTAAGAAGAAGCGCCTCCCCCCTTAGGGTCCTCCACGAAAAGAGGGAGGGCTCTGGGTGCACGGGTCCTGTTTGTAATGTAAACACAGTGTTTCAGTCCTCCGAAGGGCTTGGGGACAGGGCCGTCTGCCTGGAGGATTTCTTCCCTGTGGCCAGCTGAGCTAGGGGCCATCTCCTTCAGGTCACTGACTGAGAGGCCTAGAGGGAAGGCACGGCCTGTCCCCTCTCTGCAGAGGGCTGGGCCTCTCCCTCCAGCAGGTCTCCCATCTCTGTCCCTGGATAAGGCACCAGCAGCCTCTTCCCTTCTCAGGTCTCTCCACGGCAATGACATCTCCACCCTCCAAGAGGGCATCTTTGCAGACGTGACCTCCCTGTCTCACCTGTGAGTACCCTAGCCCCTTTCTCTGGGCCTCTTTGGATTTCAACAGGACTTGGTTTCTGAGAAGATCCCACCTCCTGAGATTGTCAGAGTTTGTTGCTTTTACTCTGAAATTAAGCTTGGGAACTTCCCACGTGCACCTTCTGGGACTCTTATATGTCCAGTGGTTCATCAGCCACAGCAATAGAGTAGAAGAACAGTTCCTCGCAAGCGGTAGTGAAGGTTGTCATGACCATTGATCGATTGCTGTGCACTTCGCCTGCCTCAGCTAATGTGCGCCTCACAGTTATCCTACAACATAGGTGCTGTGGTTCTCATCTTTCACACCGGGAAATGGATGGAGAAAAAGTGGGATGCTTGCCCAAAGCTGCACAGCTGCAGGGTGGTGAGGTTTCTGACTCCTAGGCCAGTGCTCTTAAGCGCTCCACTAGTACTGTGCCTCCGACTTCACACAGTGCAGGATAAGCTCTGGAAATTTACTGCCTCCAATAGGTGCTGTAATTCAATGTAGAATTACTTCCAAAACCATTTAGCTAGCAGTGCTATGAGAATTCCTTAAAAGCAGTGGGCTTGATTCCTCAAAAATCTCAACATAGGATTACTGTATAACCCAGCAATCCACTCTAAGAGGTATATCCAGAAGAATGGAAAGCAGGGACTCAAACAGATGTGTGTACACCAATGTTCACTGCAGCATTTTACATAATAACCCCGAACTGGAAACAGCCTATGTCCACAGATGATAAACAAAACGTACTACATACATACAATGGGGTATTGGCCATAAAAATGATGAAGTTCCGATGCGTGCTATGACATGGATGAATCTTGAAGGCATTATGTTAGGTGAAATAAGCCAGACACAAGAGGACGAATATTGTATGATTCAGTATATATGAGGTACCTAGAACAGTCAAATTCATAGAGACAAAAAGTAGAATGGTGGATGCCAGGAGCTGGAGGCAGGGGCCATGGGGAGTTGGTGTTTAATGAGCACAGAGTTCTTTTGGGGTGATGAAAATGTTTTGGAAATAGGTAGTGGTGATATTGTACAACACTGTGAATACAATCAATGTGACTGAATTGTACACTTAAAATGTTGAAAGTGGCAAATTTCATGTGATATATATATTTTGCCATATAAAAAACAGACGAAATCAAAAAGCACTGGACTGTGACAGGGCCATCCTAATTCTGGAGGTTGGGCTGGGCACTGAGCAGGCACATTCTCTCCTGGCATCTCTTGGCATTACTGGCTGAGGCAGGATAGGAGAACTGTGGCCACGTGGACTCTGCCTGGCACCTCAGGTGCAACTGTCTCCTTTTGCTGTCAGCCCCATCCTCAAGCCCTAAAAGGGGCCTGGTGGGCAGGCATACCCAGGTTGGAGAGCCTTTTGGGGCCCCAAGCCACTCTTCTTGAAGTTCATTCACTCATCAGTCTCGCTAGATTTTCTCTAAGACTCACCTTTTCTACATTTTAAACTCTAAAACCAGAGTGTATATTTAATATGGTAATGTTCCCCACCCTTCAGAAAGCATGTTAAATCAGCGGTGCATCAAACAATCTTAGACTTCAGGAGATAAAATAGTAACAGGTGTTGCCCTTTGAGGGTCTGCCTGAGTCAAATACTATACTCTGTGCCTCATCTACAAGGTCTTGATTACCCCATGATTGAACCGGGAAGTGCGTTTTATGTTATGAGCCAGCTCCACATGATTGGCAGGAACTGTCTTGAGGACCGCACTGAAGATTCCAGGGCTGGACCTGGACTCAGTGGGAGGGGTGCTGTGATTGATTTGTAATGTCTGCCATGGAAGTGGGAGGGGTAAGGGGCTCTGCCTCAGGTGGTAGGATTTGATTTATTATTTCCATTTTACAGTCCTAGGTTCTAAAAATTTAGGCAGCTTCCCTAGGATTTGAATTTAGGTGTGTCTGATTCCAAAGCTCGCTATTTATTCTTTACTCTATTGCCTTAATAAATACATCCTGGGTAACCAGAGTGACTCTAGTGCTGAAGAATTTACTAACACAAGGTTTCTGCCCACTGTGACCATTTGGGATCTTATAAAGAGAATTCAAAGGAAGCAGTGACTAACTCTGGGCAAGTCCAAGGGGCTTCACAGAGGAGGTACCATTTATGCTGTCATTGGAAAGGAACTAGGAGTTGGCCAGTTGGAGAAAGTGAGGAAGGGAATTCTAGGAAGAGGGAACAGCATGTGCAAAGGCATGAACATGAAAAAATGGGATGTTCAAGGATGCTGCGTTGTCCAGCATAGGATAAAGGGTGTTTGGTTGGGGCAGGAATGTGGGGTGGGAGGAGATTAATCTGGAAAGGGACATTGGAATTCTGTTGTGAAGGACCATTTGTGCCTGCTAGGGAGTTTGCACTTCATTGTGTAAAGAAAGGGAATTGTGGGGAACTGAGTTTCAGGAAACTCCTGGAAAGCCCATGGTGACATACAGAGGGTGAGTGGGGTGGGAGGAGGCAGGAGTGAGCCCTGCTGGAGGTGGTGCCTCTGGACATAGGCCAGGTTGGGACAGTGTTGTTTATTGTTCCTACTGACTTGAATTCACAGGGGCTTGTTTCCATCTGTGTTGGGTAATTTTTGGTTGCATGCTCATTTTTGCTGACATGTCTTTAGGAACTCTGAAGAGCTAAGTTGGAGATGCTCCTCTCCAGAGTGCATTTGTGCTTGTCTCTGCTGGGCACCAAGGGCTGCTGCTACCCTGGGACCACATAGCTTTTGTTGCATACACCTGGGCATAGCCGAGTGTCCACTTTCACTGTCCACCTTAGCCTTTTCAGCATCTAGTCTACATTTTACACCTTTGCATTTCCGCCCCCCCTTAATGTATCTCTTGTACTCGGGGTTCAACTGTGCAGATGTGCAGTTGGCTACCTTTTCTCCTTCCTCATGAGAACCAAATAACACCTGAGTACATCTTGTCTCCAGCTCAAAATCTAGAGGTTTTGTTTTTCAAATGAGAGGTGAACAAACAACATATGTTTTAAGCAAACCAAAAAAACCAAAGCTGCAAAAACAAATGTTGAGCCTATACCCATCTATAAATTAAGACTTTCTTTAGGAGAACAGTGATATCAGGCCAGAAGCCAGATCTAGTTTATAAGAAATAAACCAATAAGTAAAGATCAGGTTAGCAGTACTTGTAGAAAGTGGCATCAGTTTTACTGATTAGATGTGTTTATTAATTGCACCTAAGCTTAATTTCTCTACGAAACAGCATCTGTGTGAAAGAAACCTTCAGTTGTTATCAAGAAAGCTTGTGGATAAACTCTGCCCTTTATACCCAGGGTTTAAGATGGAAACAGGCAGCAGCCTGGAAGATGTGTGTGTACTTATATTCATGTGTTTGCACATATGCACATGCAGTATTGATGGGATATATGTCATGTACACACATACAGTGGTTGTCGCCTCTGTGCTTAAGACCTGCAACTCTTCCAGAAAGAATATTGAGCACTTATAAGGAATTGAAGAACGGTAAAAGGATGACATAGACCCACTACATTCACTCCGGGCTTCGTGAAAGCTGTATGCAATTTGAAGGGAGGCCCTCGCACACGGCTCTATGACAAGTGACAATCGAGGGTTAGCCAGGAGTTACCATCCAGTGTTCCTGGTTCCTGAAGGTGCTGATGTTACTGAGAAGCCCTGCTCCTGATCTGACTCTGGCCAGGGCCTCTCCTGTCCACTCGCAGTGTGGAGGAGGGGTGTGTGGAAGAGGGGAAGTCTTCCTATTTAAAACCCTTGAACTCTAGACTAATCAGGACTTGGGGCTTTAGGTTCTTGTTCTGCCATCAACTTGCAATGGGCTTTCAGACAATTTATTCTTCTCTTGAGGCCTATTTTCTTACCTACACGAAGATGATTTCTAAGGTCTCACATGGTTCACACATGCTGTAATGATTGTGAGCACTCTTTACTGTGCTGGACTTCAATACCCTGCACAATCCTCTGCTGCTATTTACTTTGCAGTTAACTCATCTTCCATTCAGCCAGCCAGCCATCAGCAAATATCTACTATGCACCAGGTCCCAGGCTAGGGTTCCCCAATGTCTGTCTTCATTGCTATACTCTGGCATTTTGTTGCCTCTCATTTGCTGTAGGCTGGAAAGCTAGATGTCCAAATGCATTAAGAATTTGGCATGAAAGGAAATATGGAAGGATTAAGTAAATTATGGCATGCCCATATGACAGAATAGCAAGTACTTAATAATGATGATAAAGACAACACATTTATTTATTTATTTATTTATTTATTTATTTATTTAGAGACGGAGTTTCGCTCTTATCGCCCAGGCTGGAGTGCAGTGGTGAGATCTCGGCTCACTGCAACCTCCGCCTCCCGGGTTCAACCAATTCTCCTGCCTCAGCCTCCTGAGTAGCTGGGATTATAGGCACCTGCCACTATGCCTGGCTAAGTTTTGTATTTTTAGTAGAGATGGGGTTTCGCCATGTTGGCCAGGCTGGTCTCAAACTCCTGACCTCAGGTGATCCACCCGCCTCAGCCTCCCAAAGTGTTGAGATTACAGGCATAAGCCACCGTGCCCGGCCAACACTATACCTTATTATTTGATGAAAACCTAGAATAAAGTAGACTGTACACTCTGATGTACAAACATATACACAGGAAATGGAAGGGAATACACTAAAATCAAATCAGTTGCATTTATGGGATGATAGGTGGTTCTTTTCTTTTTGAATTTCCTTTGCACTAAGATGTTGTGCTTTTCTCATGCTTTTAGACAGGCATTCATTCATTCACCAGACATTGACTGGTGCCTGCTAGTGCCTGACACAGCTGGGGATTTAGTGGTTTCTGCCCTCAAATGCAGCAGGAGACAGTGATGCGCACAGATAGATCGCCTAGGAGTGGGATGGATGATTCTGTGACTTGTAAGACAGCCAGGGGGCGCTATTTCAGTCCAGGTTACGCAAATAGGAGCTGGGTAGGGCCTTGGCATGAACAGATCAAATAGCTACTGTTTCAACTATTTCCATATTATGCCAGAGATCAACAACACAGGGTTATTTTTACTTTGGCTGGGGTATAAACCTGAATCCACAGTCCTTTTGGATTGGCGTGGCCTGGCTGCGGTGTCTGCCTCCCCAACCCCTGACCACCAAATACATCTCAGTCGGGCCTTGGCTCTGCACTCCCCACTGAGTTCACAGGAGTTTTCGTCAGGAGAAATAGTCCCCAGATGAATGCAAACTACAAGTACTACCGAAGAGAGGGCAAGGCAGTCCTCAGCCCCGAAAATCCAGCCTTTGGATAAATGAAAGCTTGTAATGTTGAATTCAGGTGTGGCTCAGAGTCTATTCAGTATAGAAACAAGGAAAAGCAAGTGTGGGCCAATCCAGAATTTATATTTTTGAATAGCTTTAGACGTGACTTTGTACCCATATTTTTTGTTGTTGTCGTTTTTTGTTTTTTTGTTTTTGTTTTTTGAGACGGCTGGTGTGGCATGAGCCACAAGTTGCCCAGGCTGGAGTTCAGTGGTCCGATCTCAGCTCACTGCAACCTCTGCCTCCTGGGTTCAAGCGATGCTCCTGCCTCAGCCTCCTGAGTGGAGTAGCTGGGATTACAGGCGCCTGTCACCATGCCCAACTAATTTTTGTATTTTTAATAGAGACAAGGTTTCACCATGTTGGCCAGGCTGGTCTTGAACTCCTGACCTCAGGTGATCTGCCTGCCTCAGCCTCCCAAAGTGCTGGGACTACAGGCGTGAGCCATCGCTCCTGGCCTGCACCCATATTTTTTTTATGATGGAGAGAGGGGAAGGAGCACTTACATCTCAGGTGTCACTTTGCTGACATTTATGGAGGGACCGTAAGCCACGCCGTGGGCCCTCTCTTTCACAGGGCCTCAGATTTCATCTTTTTGGCATTTTTCTCTAAATGAGCTACAGGACTGAAATAAAGCATTCCCAATCATCTTTCAACTTGTGGCTCATTGCCAGGCCACACTCCTTATCATGTGCTATAAAAAATACTTAGAAATACATTGTGTATTTATCTTTCGAATAACATACTTATGTGACATCACACTTTTTGTTAGTATAAAAATACTAATCTGGTGAGTGTAAACATTTTAAATATACCACCATTTAAAAATTCCTGTTATCTTAAAAAGTCTTTGTTTTTCTAAACACACTGGAACTTCAGAAAAAAATCACCCATCCCGTTAGCCAGGATGGATGCTGTCAGCAAATAAGGAAAGAAAAAAATGAAACACATGCCGAGGTCGAACCTGCTCTCTTTTCTGAGCTGTGTTGTTCCCTCAGCACCTCTTTTAGGTCATGCGTGCTTGTCTGTCTTCTCCCTCTAGGTTGCAGGCTCTTTATTGAAACATGAAGTGACCCCCAGATATATTAAGGGAGCCACTCAAGGTCGCCCAGGCACGGGGCAGCTGCATGGGGGCCGGAGTCCAGGTCTTGTTCAGCCTGCTTTATAAGATTGTGAATCATCAGCTGAGCTATTTTGGGGAATTCCTGTTCAGAGCCACTGCTGCTTTAATCAGGTTGTACAGGTCTCAAGGGTAACTGCTTCCTCTGTCCTGCCCAGAAACAGGTGGAAAATGGCAAGGCATCCATTGGTTATTTAGTAAATGTGCCCATTCTCATTCACGTTATTTAGCCTTATATTTTCAAAATAATGTTGATATCAATGAACTTTAGGCATAAGGCATTCATATTTGCTGAGTCAGAGAACTCTGGCCCACTTTTCCTTCCCTCGCTCCCTCCCTCCCTCCTTTCCTTCCTTCCTCTCTCTCTCTTTTCTTTTTTCTTTTTCCACTGAGTTTCAGTCTTGTCGCCCAGGCTGGAGTGCCATAGCATGATCTCAGCTCACTGCAACCTCCCCCTCCCGGGTTAAGTGATTGTCCTGCCTCAGCCTTCCGAGTAGCTGGGGCTACAGGCATGTGCCACCACACCCGGCTAATTTTTGTACTTTTAGTAGAGATGGGGTTTCACCATTTTGGCCAGGCTGGTCTCGAACTCCTGACCTGAGGTGATCTGCCTGCCTCGGCCTCCCACAGTGCTGCGATTACAGGAATGAGCTACCTCACCCGGCCGGAATTCTGGCTCTTTCTTACCCTAAAATCCATGTCTTGTCCATCTCTAAGTCTCTCATGTGGTTTAGTGGAGAGATTCTGAGCTTGCCCATCAGATTGGTAAGAAACAAAGGGGTTGGCAGTATGTTGGTGCAGGCGTGAGAGCAGGCCCAGCCTTGTACTGATGGCCAGTGTAAGTGGATACAACCTTTGCAGTTGGGGGCGGGCTATTAGCATATTACACGTGCTTCCTCTGACCCCCAAATCCTACTTCTAGGCATCTGTTCTAGAGAAATTCTCACACCACACAAAAAGGAGCCAGGTGCAGTGGCTCAAACCTGTAACCTCAGCACTTTTGGAGGCTGAGGTGGACGGATCACTTGAGGCCAGGAGTTTGAGACCAGACTGGCCAACTTGGCGACACCTCCATCTCTACTAAAAATACAAAAAAAAAAAAAAAAAAATTAGGTGGGCGTGGTAGTGTACGCTGTAATCCCAGCTACTCAGGAGGCTAAGGTACAAGAATCACTGGAACCTGGGAAGCAGAGGTTGCGGTGAGCTGAGATCGTACCACTGCACTGCAGCCTGGGCCACAGAGTGAGACCCTGTCTCATAAAAAAAAAAAAAGAGGCACGTATGAGTATTCACTGCCATTGGAAAGAACCAGAATGTCCAGCAACAGGGACGCTGTCCACTGTGCCATGGGATATCCACTCTGGGATATTGCGGAACAGTTGGACACAATGAGATAGATGCTTATATGCTGACCAGGAAGATTCCCAAGACGTGCTGTTTAGTGACAAGGAGCAAGCTGCTCAGTAGTGATGTGATTTGTAAGGAGGAACCACGTGTGTACGTGTGGGAAAGGCCTGGAAGGCTACACGCCTGAGCATGGTGACCCTGTGACTGTGTGCCCCTTTGTGGAGGGCAGTGACAGTGGGGTGTAGACTTTTGTTTTTCGTAATGTGAATGTATCACAATTTATATAACCACTCCCCATTGATGAACATGGGGTTTCCAGTCTTTCCATTACAAATAGGCCCATTGCACAGATGTCTTTATGTGTGCCTACAGGTAAACGCCCAGAAACAATGGCTGGATCAGAAGGCAATTGCATAAGTCATATGATAAGTGTCACACAATTCCCCTCCACAGGCGCTCTACTATTTTGCACCCCCATCAGTAACACAGGAATGTGCCTTCAAAAAAATTGAGGTGAAATTCACATAATACCAAATTAAGCATTTTTTAAAAAGTGTGCAACTCGGTGGCATTTAATCATTCACAGTGTTGTGCAGGGCAGACACTTGCTTTGTCTGCAATGCTTGAAAGTGGCTGACAATGAGAATGCATTCATGTGTTCTGTTTAATTAAAAATGCAAAGAAAAATAAAAGAGCATGGGCTTCGGAGGCAGACAGCGGCACATCTGGATCCAGGGGCTGCCCTTAGCTAGTTGTGTGACCCCAGGGAAATTACTTATTCCATGGGAGGCTCGGTGCCCACATCTTTGAGATGGAGAGGAGAAAACTTGCACAGTGGGGCTGATGAGATGATTCGGTGCCCAAACACAGGAAAAGCAGCTGTCTCATTGCAGCAGTCGATGTGGGTTGCTTTCTCCCCATGCACACTGGAGGCAGTGCATTCGTAGGCTCTGGCCCCAACAGCATGGCCCCAACAGCTTCCCGTTTCTCTGTGTGATCTTAGGCAAATTCCTCAGCCTTTTTGAGCCTCGGTTTCTGCACATGTAAAATGAGAATAGTAGCGTGTGGTGATGACTAAGTGAGACAATGCATATGCAGTGCTTAAAACAGCACTGGCAGCCAGGCACGGTGGCTCACGCCTGTAATCCCAGCACTTTGGGAGGCTGAGGTGAGTGGATAACCTGAGTTTAGGAGTTCAAGACCAGCCTGGTCAATATGGTGAAACCCCGTCTCTACTAAAAATACAAAAATTAGCTGTGCATGGCGGTGTGTGTCTGTAATCCCAGATACTTGGGAGTATGAGACAGGAGAATTGCTTAAACCTGGGAGGCAGAGGTTGCAGTGAGCTGATATTACGCCACTGCACTCCAGCCTGGGCGACAGAGCGACACTCCATCTCAAAAAAAGAAAAAAAAAAAAAAGCAGCACTGACTATACAGTAAATGCTCATGAAATGGAGGCTAAGATTTTTGCCAGCCCCTGGTGCAGTGCCTGGGACTCTAGGTTCCCAGTGGGCGAGGGACCCCATGAAGCTGTAATGCCTGCTTCTCTCTGCTTTCTGCTCAGGGCCATTGGTGCCAACCCCCTATACTGTGACTGCCACCTCCGCTGGCTGTCCAGCTGGGTGAAGACTGGCTACAAGGAACCGGGCATTGCTCGTTGTGCTGGGCCCCAGGACATGGAGGGCAAGCTGCTCCTCACCACGCCTGCCAAGAAGTTTGAATGCCAAGGTGAGCCTAGGAGCACAGCCTCCTGCTGCTGGGGGCTCACAGAACTTGCCCAACACTGCAGGGCCTTCCTAACATGCCTGCGTCCCTGTGGTGACCGCTGGGCGGGGGGTCAGGGGACAGGAACAAGGCACCTGCGGCTTGATGGCTGCCTTCCAATCCTGACATATCATGGACAAAAAGAGCCAGGCAGAAAAATCCCAGGCCGTCAGGGCCGTAATCCCTCCCTGTGGTTACATAAGGAAAATAAAAATAGCAGCAGTGTTTCTGGAAGCTCCAAGCCTCGCAGCAGAGCATGCGCTCAGACCTCCCTTTGGTAGGAATTGTGTTCAGCAGTTAACTTAGACCTCTCTCAGTCCCTGGTGGAGCAAGGGTCCCAGCAGCCACTCTCCCGACATTTACAGAAATACAGAGCTGGAGTGTCACTGGAGGCTGGTTCCGGCTTTGCCCCGGGACCCTCCACTGTGGGCATTTGTAAATACTCATTCAGGGATTGAGTGACTGACAGCTCAAGCCCCAGAAGCCCTGCTGAGCACAGACAGGTGGCTGAGTGGCCGCCGGGGCCGGGCTTTATGTGCAGGGGTACAGCGGGGGGAGGACACTGGAGGCCGTGGAGCACGGCTCCTGCCCTCTGCAAGCTCAGAGGCCACTGTTGGAAATGAAGCTGACAGCTGTAGGTTAATGAGGAGGCCCTGGGCCACCCTGCATGCAGGATGCTGTCACAGCCGTAACGGCTCCGGGGGGCCTGATCTGCGGCTTGGCTGTTGGGAGCAAGTCAATTTATGCTGAAACCTTTGCTCTGTGTTTATTTAATGGGGTGGGATTGGTGCTGGTGAGAAGGGGTTTTGTTTTGTTTTATTATTTTTATCGAAAGAGAACACACACATTAAAGTACACAGATCATGAGTGAATGGGTTGCTGAAGTTTCACAAACTGAACTCACCCAGGTAACCTGCACCTGGATCAAGAAACAGAACCCCAGCTGGGCGTGGTGGCTCACACCTGTAATCCTAGCACTCTAGGAGGTTGAGGTGGGAGGGTCGCTTGAGCCCAGGAGTTCGAGACCAGCCTGGGCAACATGGAGAGACCCTGTTGCTACAAAAAAATTTTAAAAATTAGCTGGGCATGGTGGTGTGTGCCTGTAGTCCCAGCTACTGGGTGGAGATGGAAAGATTGCTTGAGCCCAGGAAGTTGAAGCTGCAGTGAGCCATGTGTGCGCCAGTGCATTGCAGCCTGGGTGACAGAGTAAGACCCTGTCTAAAAAAAAAAATAAAGGAAAATAAAGGAAAAAAGAAAGGAAACAGAACCCCATCTCTACCCCAGAAGTCCGTCATGTGTGCTAGTCGTTGCTGAAAAGTGTTTTTATTTCTATTCATGCTCATGCCTCTTCAGCAGGAGTAATATTCCACCCCTTCTAGAAGGCATCTTCTGGGGAAGCCTGAGTTCACTGGTCTTCCTATTTAGTCTCCTGAGATCCTGCTGCCCCTTACGGGTGGTGTCCCAGGCGGCCTGGCTGTCGGCTCCTCTGGTTACTTCTACAACCAGTGCATCCTGGAGATGCTGGAGGGGCCTGCTGTAGCAGGGAGGTGGGGGAAAATGGTCCTCCCTGGCTCAGGCATGGAGGGTAACAACCCCTGCTCCCTGGTGTGGCCAACCTGCAGAGCCGAGCTTGGGCACGATGCTCACAAAGTCACCGTCTCCTCTCTGCCGAGGTGACCACCTTCTGTCCTCCTAGTCAGCAGGTGTCAGGATGGGGTCATTGCCTCAGAAGGGCATGAGGGGAAAGAGGAAGGGTTGGCCAACTTCGGTGGTAGCAACTGTCCCCTTCTTACATGGATCATGCGGCCCTAATGGCCACTGTGCACAGTGCCCGCCCGCCTGCCTGCCAAGCATGCTTTGCACACTGGAATTCACTGCTTTAGCCCTTCCAGCCCAGAGGGAGGGGCTGTCATTAACCCCATTTTACAGAAAAGGGTCTGGAGGCTGGAAAGGTGGGCAGTGCAAGGGGAGTGTGAGCACGATCTGGGGAAAAATCAGGAGGGGAAACGGCTCCTTGGACATGGGCTCCTCGGGGTTGAGGTGCTCTGTGCCCAGCCCTGTGCTGCCCACCCCTCCCCCTGCACTAGCACCCTCCCCTTGCTGCAGGTCCTCCAACGCTGGCTGTCCAGGCCAAGTGTGATCTCTGCTTGTCCAGTCCGTGCCAGAACCAGGGCACCTGCCACAACGACCCCCTTGAGGTGTACAGGTGCGCCTGCCCCAGCGGCTATAAGGTGAGTGGAGGCAGAGGCCGGGGAGGAGGAGGGCTCTTCGTGTACACTGCAGGGCTGTCCCCAGGGCCCAGAGCACTGCCTGACTCAGAGCAGATGCTTGAGTGAACCTGTAATTAATGACTTAACATATGAATGAATGAATGAATGAATGAATGAATGAATGAAGTGGACGAATGAATGAATGAAAACAAGTAACTCCTGGGACAGGGAGAGGCTGAGCTGCTGAGGGTCTGGCTGGCTGTTGGCTCATACTAACTCCTGGGTCTCCCTGGGGTCCCCATCACTGACTTTCCCCCCAGGGTCGAGACTGTGAGGTGTCCCTGGACAGCTGTTCCAGTGGCCCCTGTGAAAATGGGGGCACCTGCCATGCACAGGAGGGCGAGGATGCCCCGTTCACGTGAGTTACCTGGAGGGGCAGGAGCCTGGTGAGTGCTGATGGGCCCAGCACCTGTGCCTCAGGGCCCTCCTCTCCATCAGGGATGGCCCAGGCCTCCTGTGCCCTGTGGGGAGGTGGAGGCGCACTGTCGGGGGCAGGCATGTACTCCAAATCATAGCCAGAGGGCTCTCCAAGCCCACCAGGCCAAGCCCTTCCTTGCGCAGATGCAGTGGGAGCACAGAGAGACCAGTGGATACCTAAGCCGCACAGCTCCCCAGCTCCAGGGTTGAGCAGGGCTTGGAGTGGGCTCTGCTGCCTCCTGCTCCAGGCCTTCTTCCTGCTCCTGCCAGGTGCCATGGGGGCCTTTTTGAAGGCACTCGGATTCCATGGCCAAAGCATATACAGTGCAGTGCCAAGGACCACAGCAGGGGTGTTTGAAATTCCTATAAATTTCCATTCAGGCCGTGCTCGGTGGCTCACTCCTGTAATCCCAACACTTTGGGAGGCCGAGGTGGGCAGATCACGAGGTCAGGAGTTTGAGACCAGCCTGGCCAACATAGTGAAACCCCATCTCTAATAAAAATACAAAAATTAGCTGGGTGTGGTGGCACGCGCCTGTAATCCCAGCTACTCCGGAGGCTGAGGCAGGAGAATCGCTT
Source organism: Homo sapiens (assembly GCF_000001405.40). Classification (NCBI taxonomy): domain Eukaryota; kingdom Metazoa; phylum Chordata; class Mammalia; order Primates; family Hominidae; genus Homo; species Homo sapiens. The sequence goes on along the minus strand of NC_000010.11, from coordinate 97,017,947 downwards.
GAAACTGGAAGGCGGAGGTTGCAGTGAGCCAAGATCATTCCACTGCACTCCAGCCTGAGCAACAAGAGCGAAACTCTGTCTCAAAAAAAAAAAAAAAAAGAAAAGAAAATTTCCATTCACCCCAAAGCCTCCAATCTCCCTCGAAGAGCCTGCTCCTGACAGTGCTGCCTGCAGACAGGGCCCTGGCCAGCCTCCTCAAGCTGCCCCCTGAGCCCCTGAGACACAGCTGGGGCTGCCACTGGGTGGGTGAGGCCTGCCCAGAGGTGGGAGCCAAGGCCTGTTTGCTTTCTCTGGGGTCCCCCCATCTCATGAGTCACACTGGGCACTGTGGGAGGGGATAGCCCTCCGGCCCTGCCCTGAGCAGCCCATTTTCTGCTATTCAGTGAAGGGGCCAGCCCTAATGACCCCATCTCTTAAGTCCTTCCAGAGCTGACATCACAACGCAAGCGCCCTCCCACTGGCTGCTCCCCACAGGACCGCCCAATGAGCCCCACCCTCCCAGAGCTTTTCTGAGGAATACATAGTATTTAGTTGCTGAAAATAAATTGCTGGCGCAATACATTGGCTCTTCCGAAAATGATGTTGAATCTGGGGGCAGAAATGGCTGAGCCTGCCTCTGCATACCCAAATTACCAGATGTAAAAATGAATCACTAAATGGCCTCTCTTCCCCTGGTTGCCTTGGAAACGGCGTCCTTACACTCTGCACCCAGCCTCCTCGGGGCTTCGGTGAGCAACTCCCTGGGCGCGCCCTCCTCATTCCTGAGACGCCCCAGCTGGGGGCTGAAAGGACACCCCCTTCACCCTGAGATGGGGAGATGGGGCAGCCCCCTCACCTCACTGCCTTACAGAATGCGGGCTGCGGGAGTGGGCTCTCCAGGTGGAAAGGGGGTGCCTCCACGAGTTACCCCTCAACCCCAAGGCTCTCTGGGGCACCTGTTATCCCCTGACCTGTGTCTACTCCCGCTACCCTGCCCCAGCTCGTACCACAGGCCACTTTCTGAAATGTGAAACTGACCCTGTCACCCCAGCTTAAAACCCTGCTGCTGGTCCCCTCCAGCCTTCAGGGAAAACAGTTAACCACAGACCATTTCCTGCAATGGTGATTTGAATTCTTTTTACTCACAGACTCCCCAGATACATTCTAAAAACTATACACTCCCTCACACATCCTTAGATTGACAGCTAAAATTTTCATTTTAAGTTTTTCATTGCAAAGGAGGTAATTTTTCCAGATATTATAAATATTATTAACATTTAAGAATAAAACTATCACTTTATTTGGGAGGCTAAGGTGGAAGGGCCTTAAGACAAGTAGTTGGAGACTAGCCTGGGCAACATGGCAAAATCCCCATGGCAAAACCCATCTCTACAGACAATTAAAAATTAACCAGGTGTAATGGTGAATGCCTATAGTCCCAGCTTCTCAGGAGGCTGAGGAGGGAGGATCACTTGAGCTCAGGAAGTTGAGGCTGCAGTAAGCTGTGATCATACCACTGCACTCCAGTCTGGGCAACACAGTGAAACTGTCTCTAAAATAAAAAAATAAATTAAGCTTTAAAAATATGACATTAAATCACTCTTTTATCATTCTCCAATGCAATCTAAACAGCACATCATTTTGACACTTTTTTTTTTTTGAGACAGAGTCTCGCTCTGTCACCCAGGCTGGAGTGCAGTGGCGAGATCTCGACTCACTGCAACCTCTGCCTCCTGGGTTCAAGCAATTCTCCTGCCTCAGCCTCCCGAGTAGCTGGGACTACAGGCATGCACCACCACACCCGGCTAATTTTTGTATTTTTAGTAGAGACGGGGTTTCACCATGTTGGCCAGGCTGGTCTCAAACTCCTGACCTCAAGGGATCCACCCACCTTGGCCTCCCAAAGTGCTGGGATTACAGGCATGTGCCACCCCACGTGGCCAATTGGATACCATTTTAAAATGACACGAACAAGTTCTTCTTTAACAGTTAAACATTTTACCTTGTTCTTTTTTCTCCTCTAACTAGTATTTCCATTTTACTCCTTACCCTCCTGTCTTTTTTTTCTAACCAAATATATTTTTATGCTAGACTCTTTTCTTGAGTACTCTGCCATGCGTCTCTGTCCCCAACATGGGTACACGTAAGTTAAAACTTAAAGTTTTTTTCTTATTTCTCATCACCATAAGCCTCTGATTTAAAGTTTCTTTTGCAGCGAGTTATCCCTACAATAATTCGAAACAACATAACTGTATTATAGAATTGGATTGAAAATTATTACACATAGAAGGAAAATTTTATTGGACTGTATCTCTCTTAATGAGATGGATGGGTGCTTTTTTGTTCTTTTCTTCTCTCAGTTGGTTTATGGGTGAATGTTGCAGAATGAGAGAGGACACAGCGTTTGATCTTTTCCTGTTTTGTTTTTATAGATATAAATGCTGGGAAGTTTGTTCATGTAAATAAACTGGTGAGATTAGGAGTTTTATTATAGCCATGTCACTTAATTCTTTGAAAGCCCTCCCAGTTTTTATGCCAAATCTCCACAGTGACCTGTCATCAAGATTATTTTTAATGTTCTATCAGCTGACAGTTCTATGAGGCCTTCCTTCAATTACTTCCAGTGCACAGAACTGGAAACCTCTTGACTTAGATTGCATTTATTCATTCACTTTCTAAACATCAGGATTCCTAACTGCCCATTTATTTGGCACCTGGAAGCATGCCCACCTTTCTACCTGGAGGGCTTGTCCCATCACCCCCCAGTCTGTAAGGGCTGGGGCTGGGACAGATGCCACCTTTTTAGAGTTCTGAGCTGGGTCAATTTAGGGAAGAGCTCGTGCAGATATTTGAAGATCTGGAAATTAATTTCTTGGACCTCTCTCTGATCCACACACCCCTTGGAAAACCTTGGGTGCCCCAGGGGAAGGTGTATCTTGGTTTGAAAGTCACTGATCCCCAGGGCCCCTCATGACCAGGCTCCTGCTCACCGCAGCCCTTTGCTCACTGTGCTCCTGAAGTATTGGACTGTGTGGATGGGCAGGGCCCCTATAGAAGACTAGCTGTGGGGTTCCCTTCCACTCTAGGCTTTTTTTTTTTTTTTGAGACAGAGTCTTGCTGTGTCACCCAGGCTGGAGTGCAGTGGCATGATCTTGGCTAACTATAACCTCCACCTCACAGGTTCAAGCGATTCTCCTGCCTCAGCCTCCCGAGTAGTTGGGATTACAGGCACATGCCACCATGCCCAGCTAATTTTTGTATTTTAATAGAGACAGCGTTTCCCCATGTTGGCCAGGCTGGTCTCCAACTCCTGACCTCAGGTGATCCACCTGCCTTGGCCTCCCAAAGTGCTGGGATTACAGGCATGAGCCACCGCACCTGGCCACTCCAGGCTTTTACACACACCTCTGCCCCAGTCACCTTCCTCCCATTCCCGCTCTCCCTTGTCAAGGTCCTTGGTTAATTCATCACCTCCTCCAGGAAGCCTGCCCTTATCACTTTGTGCCAAGGAGGAGCCAGGTGTCTCCTGCCCCTCTGTGCCCGCTCCCTGGCTTCAGTGCTTACACCATCCTGGTCCTCACTACCTCTCCCCTCGCCATCCATCTCCTTTTAGCCTCCCCACTAGACTGTGAGTGAATCCCATGAGGGCATGGTCAGTCTTGGTCACCTCTAACCCTACCCAGCACCTGGCAAGGGCCTGGCCGGGATTAGGGACCCTAACTCCGTGGAATGGTGATATTAACCGGCAGCCACAGGCTTCCACCAGTGTTCCAAGAGGGCTGTCTCTCCATCCTCCCCTTCCCCGCACAGGTGCTCCTGTCCCACCGGCTTTGAAGGACCAACCTGTGGGGTGAACACAGATGACTGTGTGGATCATGCCTGTGCCAATGGGGGCGTCTGTGTGGATGGTGTGGGCAACTACACCTGCCAGTGCCCCCTGCAGTATGAGGGTAAGTGCGTCAGGGCAGCAGTGTCTGGGGGAGGTGGGGAACAGAGACAGCCCTGAGCCCCCATGCTCGGGAGTGGAAGGGGATCCCTGCCTCAGTGTCTGCAGGAGGATTTCTGTGGGTCTGGCTGCCCGGCAGAGCACAGGAGAGCAGCTTCTCTCCTGCCCCTTGCTCGTTCTTTCCCCAGGAAAGGCCTGTGAGCAGCTGGTGGACTTGTGCTCTCCGGATCTGAACCCATGTCAACACGAGGCCCAGTGTGTGGGCACCCCGGATGGGCCCAGGTGAGTGTTGCCCCTTTCCAGGGCCAGGGAGGAGCTCAGGCCCCTGAGTCAGACTGGATTCCAGTCTGGGCTCCGTGCCCCACCCTCATTCCCTCATTTGTCCAATGGGTTTGGTCTCAGCTCTACAGGGTTCCTGAGAATCCATGCGGGGTTGTGGGTGGAGGGGTGATGTGCACAGCTTTGTGGCCACAGAGACCTGGGTTTGCAGCATGACCCTGAATGTGTCACTTGCCTGCTCTGAGCTTGTTTTCTCATCTGTAAACTGGGCACAACAGTAGCTTCCTCCTGGGGTGATTGCAAGGGTAAGATGAGAAAATGCATGGAAAGCACTTAGCTCCCGGTCTGGCATCTGTTAAGTGCTCCAGGCTATTATTCCAGATCTACCATTTCTTATCCCCAGTTACAAAATCCACAAAACTCGGGAAAGCATCCCATCTCATGGCCAGATCTGATCTGAGGTGGACGTATTTGGTAATAAAAGCTGCCCCGCACTGGTGTGAGATTGCTTTTTGTTGTTATTCATCCCACGTAATGTGAATATGTATAGATTTTGTGGCAGAAATGTGAATAAGTCTGATTACGGGGCTGCCTCAGCTCCTACCAGCAGGTTGTATAATATGCATTGTCTGACCTTACGAAAATCTAAAAAGTGTTGAATTCCAAAACCTATCTGGTCCCAGGAGGTTTGGGTAAAAGTTGTTGGTCTGTATTTTCATCATGGTTGTTATTGGCATATGTGAAAATGTTTGTTACTTGAAGACTGCTTTATGAAGGTTACGCAGTTTTAAAATAATGCTTCCAACTGCAGTTGTGCAAACGTAGTCTCATTTCTGGGACCTCCCCATTCCACCAGTCAGGCCAGCAAGGGGTGGTCAGGGCAGAGCTTCCTGGGGCTTGTGGCTGAGGGACCCAAGCCTAGGGACTCAGATGGAGTCCCCCAGGAGCCCCCTGTCTAGCTGGAGCAGCCTGAGGCCCATGACAGGAAGCAAGAGCCCAGGATTGTTGAGGCCTGGTTCCACGGTAAATGGGCCCACAAGAGCCTCCATCCAAATGGTAGACGGACGCTGTACTCCTGTGGGGGCTCCCAGGGGTGGGGCTTGGCAGGCAGACCAATCAGCAGTGGCAGATTGGGCAGCATGCGCCCTCCTTGGAGGGTGGAATAAGGCAGGACTGCACGTTGTCCAGCCTGGAGCTGCTAGCACAGCCCCTCAATCACGAAGGGCAAGCATTGTGCTTAGCTCCGGACCCGGGGTTGTGGCACACAGTGGAGCGTTGAGTGCGTGTTCTCTCAACTGCCTGTCCTGGTGGAAAGATGGAACTGACATGTTCAGCTGTGCCTGGCATTACCTGGAACCCAAGATATATATCCAGTATATAGTCATTAAATGGATGAATAAGTGGTGGCTTAGCTACTGTAACATTTTTCAGACTGTAACTCCAGACTCATTAGTAGACTGTGATCAATTGGATATAAAGGGAGCCCCAGCCCCTGTTTAATATTAATGTCAAGATTAACATTAAAAGATGAAACAAAGTATCAGACAGCAACATGCCATCTTATATAATAAGGATAATCAGTATTGTTGTATGAATCTGGTTTCGAATGTGTGCGTGTGTGTGTGTGTGTGTGTGTGTGTGTGTGTGTGTGTGTGTGTGTGTGTGTGTACTGGGCTTGAAAGTATTTCTTATAGCCCGAAAAACACTGGACAAGGAAATGAGTAAAAATCCCAGGCAAGAGCACCCATCTGCCAGGTTGCATGGTTGAGCTTCAGAGTTAGGAGTTTAGAAGGCGATCAGACAAGGGGACTGCTCAGTGAGGGCTGGAGTGCTCTCCAGAGGCTTCCTGGAGGAGGTGAGGTATTGGGCTGGCTGGACCATGCAGGCAGACAGGAGACGGTATTCTGGAATCCACAGGTGTGAAGGCAGGGAAGTGCTTGGTGAGGTGGGCTTGGTGTCAGGGGAGCAGGAGGTCTGTAGGACAGACAGCAAGGCCATTACTAGAAAGGGCTACAGGAGTGCATCCTTTATTTATTTGATAGGCAGACAGGAGCCCAAAGGGAGTGTTTTGGGCCAGCAGTGAGGCATGGTGGCAGCTGGGAAGCTGGGGGCTTACCTGAGGTCAAGGCACCCACTGAGCAGGGGGCACTAGCCCTGCTGAGGACTGGGAGGCTGGAGAAAGAGGAGTGGGGGAGCCTGTGGAACTCAGTCACATGGTAGTGGGTCCTGGGAGAACAGGGAGGGTGCAGCTGAGCTGCTGGGGAGGTGGGGAAGGGGCTGACAGTTGGCCTTGGATGTGCTGTTGCTGGTGAAGGTGGGTCCTCCATGACAAGACTCCATCTGCCCCTGCTACTGGGGTCCACTCTTCCAGCCCCAGGCCCCTACCTCAAGTCCACATGAGCTCTCTTCTACTAGGAAAGGGTCCCAGGATGGGCTAGGGGCCCTTTTAGATCCAGAGCTCTGTGTGACCTCCTGGAGATCCCCACAGCCTCAATGGAACTTGAGGTTCTCCCTCACATGTACAGACTGTGTGGGGGATCCCTGGTGCGCTCCCCTGGCCTCCCAGACTCTGTGTGGCTGACCCCCCAACTACCCCTGCCCCCCACCCACTAGGTGTGAGTGCATGCCAGGTTATGCAGGTGACAACTGCAGTGAGAACCAGGATGACTGCAGGGACCACCGCTGCCAGAATGGGGCCCAGTGTATGGATGAAGTCAACAGCTACTCCTGCCTCTGTGCTGAGGGCTACAGGTGAGCAGCCCCTGGACACACTAGGAGTGACTCCTTGTGGCTGTCAGCCCCTGGGCTGGCAGGAGCCTCCAGCCATGGCGAAGGAAAGGGGTGTGGGTCAGAGCCTGGAAGTTGGATGCTGGGGTTTTAACCGTGGCTCTGCCAGTCACCAGCTGTGCAGCCTTGGGAAAGTCATGTAACTGCCCAGGGCCTAGGCAGAGGACCCCTAACCTGTTTGGTGGAGGGCATGAGAGGTGGGTGCAGATGACAGGGCAGTGTGCTGTCACTTACCTGCCTACCTGAGCCTCTGAAGACATGTCTTGCCCCAAAGATTATCTACCAGCCCACTGGGCTCCCCTGGGAGGTTGGAGGGCCCACCCTCCCTCTGGCCACCCACGTCCCATGCTCTGCTCACTCATTTGTTAAAAAATAGCTTTATTGAGATATAATTCATGTACCATACAGTTTACACAGTTACATGTAAAATTCCATGACTTTTAGTTTATTCCCAGAGTTGTGTATCCATCACCACAACCAATTTTGAACATGTTGATTTCCCCTTAAAAAACCCCATACCCTTTATCTGTCACACCAGCCCCTCTTCTATCCCAGCTCCAGGCAACTACTAATCTCCTAATATTTGTGTCTATAAATTTGCCTGTTCTGGGGATTTCCTATAAGTCGAATCGTACAGTCTGTTGTCCTTTGTGACTGGCTGCTTTCACTCAGCATCATGTTTTGAGGTTCATCCGTGTGGTAACATGTGTCGGCACTTCATTCCTTCTTATGGCTAAACAGTGTTCTGCCGTATGGACATACCACATTTTGTTTACCCACTCATCAGTTGATAGGCATTTAGGTTGTTGCCACTTTTTGGCTATAATGAAGACTGATCTTATCGACATTTTTGTACAGGTTTTTGTGTAGACATACATTTTTCAGTCTCTTGGGTATATGCGTAGGAGTGGATTTTCTGAGTCGTATGTTAACTGTATGTTTAACTGTTTGAGGAACTACCAAACTGTTTTTTCCTAATGGCTGCACAATTCCCACCACTATTGTATGAGGGTGTGAAGTGGTAGCTCACTGTGGTTTTGATTTGCATTTCCTCAGTGGCCAATAATGTTGAGCATCTTTTCATGTGCTTATTAGCCATTTAAAAATATCTTCTTTGGAAAAAATTTTTATTCAAGTTCTTTGCTCATTTTCAAATTAAGGTATTTGTCTTTTTGTTGTTGAGTTGTAAAGGCTTTTTATATATTCTAGACAAGTCCCTTATCAGATATATGTTGGCAAGTATTTTCTCCCATTTTGTTGGTTATCTTTTCTTGATAATGCACAAAAATGTTTAATTTGGGTATATCTAGTTTAATAATTTGGGCATATCTAGTTTATTTTTTATTTTGTTGCTTGTGCTGTGGGTATCCTAAGAAACCATTGCCTAATCCAAGGTTATGAAGATTTATACCTATGTTGTCTTCTAAGACTTTTATAGTTTTAGCTCTTATATTTAGGTCATTGATCCATTTTGAGTTAATTTTTATATATGGGTAGAGGGCCCAACTTCATTCTTTTGCATGCAGATATACAGTTGTACTAGCACTATTTGTCAAAAAGATAATTCTTTCCAATTGAATGGTCATGGCACTCTTGTCAAAATCAGCTAACTTTAAATGTAAGGATATTTCTGGACTTCAAGTTCTATTCCATTAATCTGTATGACTATCTGGATGCTAGTGCCACACTTTCTTGGTTACTGTAGTTTTTGTAATATATTTTGAAATTGGGAAGTGTGAGTCCTCCCAGTTTGTTTTTCTTTTTAAAGATTGTTTTGGCTGGCTGGGCGCGGTGGCTCACACCTGTAATCCCAGCACTTTGGGAGGCCGAGGCAGGCGGATCACAAGGTCAGGAGATCGAGACCATCCTGGCTAACACAGTGAAACCCCACCTCTATTAAAATACAAAAATTAACCAGGCATGGCAGCAGTCACCTGTAGTCCCAGCTGCTGGGGAGGCTGAGGCAGGAGAATGGCATGAACCCGGGAGGCAGAGCTTGCAGTGAGCCGAGATCGTGCCACTGCACTCCAGCCTGGGTGACAGAGTGAGACGCCATCTCAAAAAATAATAATAATAAATAAATAAATAAATAATAAAAAATAAAAAAAGATTGTTTTGGCTGTTCTGGGCCCCTTGAATTTCTGTATGAATTTTAGGATCAGCATGTTGAGTTCTGCAAAGAAGTCAACTGGGATTTTGATAAAGATTCTGTTGAATCTGTAGATCAATTTAGGTAGTATTCCCTTTTTTTTTTTTTTTTGAGACAGAGTTTTGCTCTTGTTTCCCAAGCTGGAGTGCAATGTCACAATCTTGGCTCACTGCAACCTCCACCTCCCGGGTTCAAGCAATTCTCCTGCCTCAGCCTCCAGAGTAGCTGGGATTATAGGCATGTGCCACCACGCCTGGCTAATTTTTTGTATTTTTAGTAGAAACTGGTTTTCACCATGTTAGCCAGGCTGGTCTTGAACTCCTGACCTCAGGTGATCCACCCACCTCGGCCTCCCAAAGTGCTGGGATTACAGGTGTGAGCCACCATGCCTGGCCCAGTATTGCCATTTTAACAATATTAAGCATACTGATCCATGAACATGAATGCCTTTCCATTTATTTAGATCTTCTTTAATTTCTTTCAACATTTTGTAGTTTTCAAAGTATAAGTTTTGCACTTAAAAAATTTATTCTTACGTATTTTATTCTGTTTGATGCTATTGTAAAGGAATTGTTTTCTTAATTTCATTTTTTGTTTGATTTTTGTGCATTAATCTGGTATTCTACAATCTTGCTGAATTATTTCATTAATTCTAATAGCATTTTACTGGAATCTGTAGGATTTTCTTATATAAGATCATGTCTTCTGGATGCATTTTATTTATCTTTCCTTTCCTCCTTCCCTTGCTTGCCTTCCTTCCTGCCTGCCTGCCTGCTTTCCTTCTTGCCTTCCTGCCTTCCCCCTCTCCCTCCCTCCCTCCCTCCTTCCTTCATTCCTTTTCTTTCCTTTCCCTTTTTCCTAACTGCCATGGCTAGAACTTCCAGTAAAATATTGAATAGAAATTGTGAGAGCAAATATCCTTGTGTTGTTCCTAATCTTAGGAGGAAAAAATTCAGTCTCTCATTATTAAGTATGATGTCAGTTGTGTGTTTTTTGTAGGTGCCCTTTATCAGGTTGATGTAGTTCACTTCTATTCCTAGTTTGTGGAGTGTTTCTGTCATGAAGGAATGTTGAAGTTTGTCAAATGCTTTTTCTGCATCTATTGAGATGAACTTTTTTTTTTTGCTTTTTCATCTATCAATATCATGTATTCCATTAATTGAATTTCAGAGGTCAAACCAGCCTTGCATTCCTGGCGTAAATCTCACTTGGTCATTGTATATAATCCTTTTTATGCTGTACTTGATTAGCTAGTAATTTGTTGAGGATTTTGGTGACAATATTTATAATAGATATTGGTCTGTAGTTTTTTGTGATATCTTTTGTTGTGATGTCTTTGGTTTTGGTATTGGGGTAATGCTGGTCTCATAGAATGAGTTAGAAAGTGTTCCCTCATTTTTTATTTTTTGGACAAGTTTGTGAAGAATTGGTATTTATTGTTTTTAAATGTTTGGTAGAATTCACCAGTTAAACCATCTGGGCCTGGGAAGTTTTCTGATTACTAATTCCTTTACTAGTTATAGGTCTATTCATATTTTCTATTTTTTTCTTGGTTCAGTTTTGGTAGTTTGCATATTTCTAGGAATTTGTGCATTTCATCTGTTTTCTAGTTTGTTGGTATATTGTTGTTCATAGTATTCCTTTATAATTCACTGTATTTCTATGAGGTTGGTAGTAATGTCCCTTCTTTTATTTCTTATTTTAGTAACTTGACTCTTCCCTCTTTATGCTTGTGTCTTAAGTCTCAGTTTTCTTTTCTATAAAATGGGTATAGTAAAATCTGCCTTGCAGAGTTATTGACATTGTCAGTAATCACCTTGGATCTTGTTAAAAAGCAGATTCAGTGGGTTTGCCATTTCTATCAAGTGTCCAGGTAATGTTGACGCTGCTGGACCAGGGACCATACTTGTATCCTGGTATCCTTCTGGCTCTCAGCTCTCTCATGAAAAGTGTTTATTAGGAGCATCTTCTGTCGCTTTAAGAATCCATTTTCCCAAGATGTTTAGTGAATTTCTCTCCAGGGCTGTGGGAGAGGAAGATACTCCCTTCCTCCTTGGCCCTCTCTGACTTATGTCCTTTCCTCTCAGTGGACAGCTCTGTGAGATCCCTCCCCATCTGCCTGCCCCCAAGAGCCCCTGTGAGGGGACTGAGTGCCAGAATGGGGCCAACTGTGTGGACCAGGGCAACAGGCCTGTGTGCCAGTGCCTCCCAGGCTTCGGTGGCCCTGAGTGTGAGAAGTTGCTCAGTGTCAACTTTGTGGATCGGGACACTTACCTGCAGTTCACTGACCTGCAAAACTGGCCACGGGCCAACATCACGTTGCAGGTGCGTGCCAGGGGGCTTGGTCACAGAGGGGAGTCAGGGAGCAGGCGACCCTGGCTTAGGCCAGAGCATCAGGATACATCCCTGCATGGTGCCTGGGGAACTGGAAGGACTCTGTGTAATCAAAACGTTTTGCATATGGGTATCAAAATCTCAGCTTGAACTAGTTTAAGCACAATTAGAAAGGTTATAGTGTCACAAAACCAGGGCAGGGGTGGACATGGTCTCATGGGTAACTGAATCCAGAAAACCAGGCTTGCCATCATCCCTTCCCACCATTTCTTGTCCCAGCTACTCCTCAGTGTCTGCCTCCAGTGCTGCAGACAGGCTTTCTATGTGTGCCTGGAATGTGGCCAGATTTAACTTTGGGCTTATACCTTTAACCAAATGTCCCTAGGGTCCCTTAACTCATCCTTTTCATGCCTTCAGTTCCATCTCAGAACATCTTCATGTTGAGGGGAAAATAAAGCAATTCCCACTTCAGCAGCATTGATGAAATATATCAATATTTTGCTAAACACTTCTTTTGGGGGATGGAGAGGAGAGTGGTTTATATTGCACAGCACATGATAAAGAATGTTAAACTCCTCTGTAGTCATCTTTCTCTTTCCCCCGAATTCCATTCCCTGTCACAAATGCCACATCTTTCTTCCCTCTCTTTTGTCCTCTTTTCCTTTTTTCTCAGAACTCTTCAGCCTCTCAAACATGCGCATTCTGCTCTCTTCCCCTACGTCACCTCTCCAACATCCTATCCACTTACATAGTCTACATGGCAAGACAACAGCTAGCCTAACCGCCAAAAATAAAATTCACCAAAACCCTAACCAGCCATTGCCTCGGGCACATCCTTGGTTTATCCTCATCTTTTACCAGACATTGATTTACAAAGGCTCTTCCTTGCCAGCTCTAATTCGGTCAGCTCAAGGAAGATCTCTGATTGGCCTGGCGTTAGTCACATGCCCATCTCTGAACCAGCTGCTGAGTCCAAGGAGATGGGGCAGTGTGACTGGACAGCTTGGGTCATATGCCCAGCTCCACAGACCAGGGGGCTCAGGGTCTTTACCAGAAGAAACGGAGGGAGCAGGACAAGGCAGGGAAAAATGATCATGGCTCCTACAGCATCTTAGAGGGATCTCCCTCCTGAGGCAAAGATCTCACTTTTGCTTGCACAGTTCCAGCGACAGACACTACCTTCTGAGTGGCTCCTTCCACTAGGCTTGGATGACTCTGGCTGTCAGAGAGCCTTCCTGAACTTGTCCTCTCTGTAGTTCCCACCCTGAGCAGTTAGCTCCCCAAGGCCCACAGGGCAAGGCTACCCACACCCAGCAGACAGGGGTCCCAGTCTAATTTTCCTCTCTGGGAAGATTGTCCTGAGGTCTCCTGGCTGCTCTTCCTGGCACAGAGTTTCCAGGCCTCAGGGACCCATCACCCTCCCCTGCCTGGACCTGGCCAGGCTGGCAGTGGATGGGGCTTGAACCAGAGGCTGCAGCCCCTATTGGTGCCCCCTGGAGGAATGGCCTTGGGGAGGCTGGCCAGGTGGGGGAAGAGCGCTCTGCACAGAGCATCTCTCTTCCAATCTTGGGTGCCCTCTCTGCCCCATCTGCTAGCCTGTGCCGCTGCTGCATGGGGTGGGGTGGGAGAGAAAGTGCCACTGCCCATCAGGTCTCCACGGCAGAGGACAATGGGATCCTTCTGTACAACGGGGACAACGACCACATTGCAGTTGAGCTGTACCAGGGCCATGTGCGTGTCAGCTACGACCCAGGCAGCTACCCCAGCTCTGCCATCTACAGGTAGGGCTTCCTTATGCCCCCCAGCTGCCCTCAGGGGTACGGGACTGCCAGGGCGAGGTCTCCTGGGCCAAAAGCAGGTGGTTATCGAGACCTCTAGAAACCTGGGCTGCCTGAGTTTGAAGGACACTTGAACCATCTGGGTTAGCCCCAGCTTGGGGCTGAGGTCTCTGAGGCCTGTGCAGTGGCCCCATCCTTCCCCATCCCACCACCACCTTAGAGGAGGCTCCTTAATGGGGAGGGGGAGACTTGTAAGTTTGAGACCCCTGCCTCAAACCTCTCAGCCTTCCCCAGGGAGTCAAAGAAGGGGAGTGAAAGGGATCATGCGATAGACCCTTGAGCCCCCACAGTCCTTTTCCTTAGATATTTGGTCTCCTGGGAAGCAGCTACTGGTGTTTCTGGGGAAGTGCCCAGGCAGGGATGGTCCAGACTGATGCCCACTCCCTGGAACGGGGAACCCCCTCTTCCTCCAGTGCTGAGACGATCAACGATGGGCAATTCCACACCGTTGAGCTGGTTGCCTTTGACCAGATGGTGAATCTCTCCATTGATGGCGGGAGCCCCATGACCATGGACAACTTTGGCAAACATTACACGCTCAACAGCGAGGCGCCACTCTATGTGGGAGGTGAGGACCTGGCCCTGGCGGGGCCTCTTTTGCTGTCTGGCCTGAGGCCAGCCAGGAGAGCTGGTGCCTAGGGACTGCACTGTGGGAAATGCCAAGTGGGAAGATGATCCTGGTGGTGGCCAAGCTGCAGGTGGACTGGCCTCGCTGCCTGGAGCCCAGCTGCTCTCTGCCTAGCCCAGACTGACCAAGGAGGATGGATGCTTGGGTTGGGTGCAAGGTCTGGCTTAGGGGAGGCCCTGGGACTGTCCGAGCTATCTGCAACACCTTGGGCACATTTCCTCTTGGTTTTGGGCTAGAAGGGGCTTTTCAATGGCTTCAGGTCCATTCCCAGTCTTGGGGCCCTCTGAGACCCAGAACCACTGCAAGAGACTCAGGCACAGAGTCCCTGTATCAACCAGGGACTGCCTCGGCTGGCCTTAGAGGCTTTGCAGGCTAGATGACCCCGTCTACCACCTGCAAGCATTTCTCGGTATTGATGAGCAGGCTGCTGGATGCAGTGGGGCCATCTCCACCCTGTGGGAGGCGTGCTGAGGCTGGGGCAGAGGTGAGGGATGGCCCTGGGCCTCAGCCCAGCTCCGCAGCTTACTCCTTGTGCAGCTTCAGGCCAGTCATGAGCATCTGTCAAATGGGGCTTAGCAAGCCCTACTTCAGAGGGCTGCTGAGAAGGGACAGCCACAAAAGCAGTGACCTAGCGCCACACGTGATGTCTCGGTCCTGCCCCTTTGCTACGGCTGGGGTCTCTGGGAGGTAAAAGCTAGCGTCCCAGGGAGAGAAGGCGCCTTGGCGAGGGAAGCCAGACTTTAGGAACAGGCACCTCAGAGCCACACGCAGCAGCTGGCCACCACCAGGCCTGATGCCCCAGCTCCAATCACAGAGGAAGCAGCTTTTCCCTTTCTTCTGGGCAAGGAGCCTGGGCCCTCCAAGGTGGCAAAGGACCTTGGATCAGGGTTGCAGAGATGAAGGACAGAGGCCGCAGGCAAGAGGGAAGGCCATGGAGCTGCCCAGACCTCAGGGGTGGGTGCCCGGCATAGCCCGAGCTTTACTCAGCCCAGCTCTGCTCCCTCCCCTACCCCAGGGATGCCCGTGGATGTCAACTCAGCTGCCTTCCGCCTGTGGCAGATCCTCAACGGCACCGGCTTCCACGGTTGCATCCGAAACCTGTACATCAACAACGAGCTGCAGGACTTCACCAAGACGCAGATGAAGCCAGGCGTGGTGCCAGGCTGCGAACCCTGCCGCAAGCTCTACTGCCTGCATGGCATCTGCCAGCCCAATGCCACCCCAGGGCCCATGTGCCACTGCGAGGCTGGCTGGGTGGGCCTGCACTGTGACCAGCCCGCTGACGGCCCCTGCCATGGCCACAAGTGAGCCTGGGGCACTGGGGGAGCCCTTGCCCCTGCCTACCTGTTCCTTCCCCATGGGAAGGGCTGCCTCACAGTTTTCCAACCCATATTAGAACATGTAGCCTAAGCCAGGGTTTTATTACTTTTATCTGGCTTTCACTTTTTATTAATAGGACAAGGCCTATAGGGACACACACATAGTCGCATGCAACTCCCTTTGTTTCAGTTTTGGGAACAGATTAAAGACCTGTGAAGTCAGGGCTGGGTGGGGTGGGCTGTGTCAGGTGGGGCGGGCTGTGTCAGGTGGGGCTTGGCTGGGTTTGTCCTCACAGCGCCTTTTCTCTGTCTCCTCCAGGTGTGTCCATGGGCAATGCGTGCCCCTCGACGCTCTTTCCTACAGCTGCCAGTGCCAGGATGGGTACTCGGGGGCACTGTGCAACCAGGCCGGGGCCCTGGCAGAGCCCTGCAGAGGCCTGCAGTGCCTGCATGGCCACTGCCAGGCCTCAGGCACCAAGGGGGCACACTGTGTGTGTGACCCCGGCTTTTCGGGCGAGCTGTGTGAGCAAGGTCAGGGGCCCCCCTCCTGACGTGCCCTCCCCAGGGTCCCCCACAAATTGCTTTAGCAATTTGACTCTTCCTCCCAGTCTCGGCAGCCCTTCTGTCCCTTCCCAGCCCTGTACCATGGGCTACTATGGGGCTTTCAGAGTCCCTCCACCCTCTGGGCACTGCTCCCAATCTCTCCTGGCCCAGTTTGCCCTGCAGCTCCCTTATTCAGGGTATGCGCCTCTTCTGGCTGGGGTCTCTCCTTGCAGAAGAGACCACCCAGGGTAACAGCTCCTGGCCCAACCTCTGCCTCTTGGCCCCATCACCTCATGACCTGGGAGCGGCAGCAGGAAGTCCGAGGGTTGGGGACTCCTTCCCAGGCCCTCCCTGGCCTGCTTGACCAAGATGGCTTCTGCTGGAATCCGGACTGCTAAGGCTGGGCAGGGAGAAGCTGGAGAAACCCAGAACTCAGGCACCTTAAGGGTCCCCTAGGCTATCCCCTCCCCAGCATGAATCCTTTTCATAATGTTATTGCCCCCGGGGCCTCCAGCCTCTCTTGCACGCCTCTAGCAATGGGGACCCCCCCTCCCTCCAGCAGTTCAGTCTGTCCTGGAGGGCCCTGACGCTAGGACCAGACTGTAGGCCCTGGGAGGAAGCTTGTGCATGTCAGTGGGAGGCGG
The DNA here is from genome assembly GCF_000001405.40 of Homo sapiens. Classification (NCBI taxonomy): domain Eukaryota; kingdom Metazoa; phylum Chordata; class Mammalia; order Primates; family Hominidae; genus Homo; species Homo sapiens. The sequence continues at coordinate 97,001,501 of NC_000010.11, read as the reverse complement.
AAGTATGCTGGGGACAGAGGTGGGGTCTGAGAGCCAAAGGATCCACCCCACAGATGCTGCCCTCCTCCTCCTCTTCCTCCTGCCTCCCTGGAGGCAGCAGCTCACCCATGGGTGTGCCCTGAGGCTTTCTCTTGGTGTCTGTCCCATCCAGAGTCCGAGTGCCGGGGGGACCCTGTCCGGGACTTTCACCAGGTCCAGAGGGGCTATGCCATCTGCCAGACCACGCGCCCCCTGTCATGGGTGGAGTGCCGGGGCTCGTGCCCAGGCCAGGGCTGCTGCCAGGGCCTTCGGCTGAAGCGGAGGAAGTTCACCTTTGAGTGCAGCGATGGGACCTCTTTTGCCGAGGAGGTGGAAAAGCCCACCAAGTGTGGCTGTGCCCTCTGCGCATAGCGCTGGGCGTGGACAGGCCGGTGAGGGCGGGCAAGGGGCCCCAGCCGCTGCAGCAGCGGAGACAGTCGCCAGCAGCTGGGCTGGGGTGCAGGTCATCACAGGACGGCTCCTGGGCAGCTGGGCCCTCCTGGGTGGGGTGGTGCCAGAGCAGCCTTTTAAAAGCAAATTGCGCCATAGCTGGGGGCAGCGGGGGTGGGCGAGGCCTGAGCTGCGGGCTGCCCTCTCCGGAAGTGCCTTGCACAAATAGGCGCTTAATAAATATTTGTTGAGTGAATGTGTGCGTGAGGTCAGGCCAAGAAGTGCAGAACGATGACACCCCTCCTTACCTGCTATCTGAATCTGGAGAAGAAAAATGACAGCCTTCCAAACCAACCCTTCCCTTTGGCCTGTGGCCCAGGCTGGCTTGGAACTGGGTCTGTGGCCCCAGAAGCCTCTTACCCCTCTGCGGGCAACCATGAAGTACTGTCAGCCTCCCCGGGAAGCCAGCCTGGTTCATTCTGCTGCTACAGAATCTGCTGGTGGTAGGCCAGGCTCTGGAGCGGGGGTGCCGCCTCCTGCTGGCCAGGGAGGGTCGGACCCTTGCCCCCTGGGCTGACTGGCAGCTCTGCAGCCACGGCTTGGGAACGAGGCTGTGGGTGGAGGTGGTTCTTAGGACCAGGCCTCTGAATCCTAAAGTTCTAGCATGACTACTGTAGCTGCGAGGGCTTATGTGGAGGAAACAGTCACAGGGGCTGCTCAGGGTGGCAGACCCCACTAAAGAGGGCAGAGGGTTCTTTGCTCTAGATAAACAAACATCATCTGCCTCCAGACACTGGCCACAGTAGGAGTATTGGTCCTGGGCTTCCCCAGCCACCAGTCAGCCACAAGCTGTCGGTGACCTATTGGTAGAGGGACTGGGTGTGAGGGTCTGGGCCAGGGTGCTTGACCTGGGAGCAGCTGGTTCAGAGTCCTTCACACCGCAGGCCAGTAGGGAGCAGTGGAAGGGACAGTGCTCCAGGCATTGGGAAGTCCCTGCTGGCTCTATCACTCGGGGCAAACTTCTCCCCACCTGGGCCTTGGGTTCTTCAGCTATAAAATGGCCAGAGGTGGGGGGCGGGATGACTAAAGGAACAGTGCAGACTCCCCCACTGTGGTCTTGGGAGGCCAGAGGAGTTAGAAGACCTATCTATCTATCTATCTATCTACATTGATCACATCAAAAGTATTTATGTGCCTAACCCGGGGCTGGGGATTGTGGACGTTCTGGCCTAATGGACAGATGTGAACTCATCCCAGAGCATCGCAGGAATGACCAGGATGCCCGGGAAGAGTTGAGCTGAGTGGGGGCTCCAGCCACAGACAGCGGCCCAGGCCAGGGAGTTGCTGGCAACGAAGGAGCCAGTGGTGGAAGAAGAAGAGGCCCTGAATATACGATTGCCTGCCCACGTTGTCTTCTCTTCCATACACAGTGAAAATGTAGAAAGATGGTTTGTGAGGCCAAACTGTGAATGGGCTAAAGGGAGGCAAAGTTGCACTCTCCTTCCCCAGAGGGCTCACCAAGAGGGCACACCCCCGGGGGTTCTGGTGGGCAACGGGGGTGAGCATGTCCCTGCCCTGGCTCCCTCCATCTGTGACCAGGAGGCATGGCTGGGTGTATGTTCAGGTGAGGCTCAGAGTGGCATTGTGTCCCTGTCCCCTGCCCAGGGCAGTGAGGGGAGCCCTTGATGCTGATTAGAAGGCTAGAACTGGGGTAGAGGTGCCTGGCATGTCTCATGCCATGGGGACTCAATCTAGCAACTGTGAGTCCTGGGGTCCCTGTGATGGGAAGAGGGCAGTGCCCTGCCCAATGTGGCAGGTGTCCTCATGGCAGGATCTGCCCCTCACCAGGGGGCTGGGATCTACTTGCTTGGAGCTCTGAGCAAGGCCACAATGCCCGCCCCCACCCCCAAGTAGACTGCAGCCTGGGCCTCATGGGGCTTCTCCCAGGCCCACATGGCATCCCTCTCTGAGTTTCCAGGCCACCGTGGGACCCTGCAGAGCATCTGCACCGGGCTGGATAGGGCAGAAAAGCTCAAGGGCAGCTAGCTTGCCTCTTCCCTGGAAGAAAGGTGCTCTGGGACTCACCAACCCTGAGAAAGATAGCTTTCCTGGCCACCACCATTCCCCACCACCCTGGAGAAGCCAATTCCCAGGCTTGAAGGGCACTGGCTGGCAGGAGGCCTCTTCATTCTGCAGGAGGTGGAAAGGACACCTGTAGACAGGTGATGCTCACCCCTCACCTGGCGCCATGGGGCTGGGAGGTGAGCGGCTGGCATGTTTGTTCCTAGGGAGCACCATGTGAGCTTAAGGCTCCCCTGACCGGCCCCACCACATGGCCCAGCCTCCTAGCACAGCAGCGCTGACCTCAGTGCAGTCTGAGGATTGGAATCCACCATGAGATGATGTGAGAGCTGTGTGCCCCAGGATCAACTTTTTCTCCAACTTGGCCATCAGCCAGCGAGTTGCTAAGGACCTGAGTCAGCACTCACGTTGCCTATTCACACTCCGCTTGAAAGTCCGGAAGGTGGCTACTGCAAAATCACCCCTCTGAGAAGTCCTCTCTCCACATCTTGTCCCCCTTTGTGAAGACCCCTAGTTCGCTCTGCATTTTAGGCATGAAGAGATACAGCAGGGTGCGTCCGGAGGGAGCTGTGGCCTTGCAACACCACTGGCAACAGGGCCGGGGCTCCCGGTGAAGGTGTCAGGAAGTGGAAAAGGCTGGACTTTGTCTCCTCTTTGCCTGCTGGTAGCCTAACCGCAAAAGTATCTCTTTATACAGAATACTTACAGATTCTAATATATATTTGTATTTCATTTTGTTACAGTATTTTTATATGTTAAAGTCAACATCCAGCGTCTTGTTTTGCCTTTCAGATGCTATGTGGTCGTGGCACGTTTTGTTGGGGGTTTCTGTAGTCGTCTTGTTTGGATCAACTCCTAGAGGCTGGTTTAGAACAGGCCCATGAGGGAGCTGCACCTGCCCTGGAAGTATTGTTTTAGACTATGTCGATATTGTCTGTTGTCTTCCATGTGAACATGACATTGAGTCACTCTGCCTTGTTGGTCTCTTTTTCTCCACCAAGGGCGGGCCGGGTGCTGCTGGCATTCTCTCCTAGGGCTTCTGGGCTGATCGCATATGGGCCATCATCCAGGGATGGCTCCAAGGGGCTACACACGTAGGATGTCTGTCCCTGGAACTCCCTGCTTTTCCTGAAGTCCATTCCTCCTGAAGGAGGGGGTCCTGGGAGAGGGCTGGGGGACACCCCCCCGGGGTCTGTCAGTGCACGGCCGAGCTGGGGAGGCTGCTCATCCTCATCTCCCTTCAAGTAATTGCCGTGACATGGACATTCTGTAAGTTTGTGCACAGAGCCACACCCATCTTTAATTTGGCTCTAAGGGTTTCGGAGCCATCGGGGCAATCTATATAGTGTGACTTCTCAGATGCCCTGTGAGGTTCACTTTCCTGTCCCCAGCACAGTGGCTCTTAGAAATTGGTGGAGAAAGCAGGCACACACACATACGTCTGCAGTGGCTCCATCACCATTCAGATGAGAACACTGCAAGCACGATTTTATAGGACTCACTCACTCAGGATGGATGTCTGGGTAAGGCCAGGCCTGGGCAGGCAGGCTGGGCAGGGTCACTGACACTAAAGGGAAGCCTGAGCCGGGACCATGAGCCAGCGCCATGGACAGGTTTCTGTGGAAAATTGGGCCAGGGCAATGGTCACACAAGCCACACCTTAACAGCACATGGGTCATCTTGAAAGTGGCCACTTGATATAACTTCAGTGCCTTCAAAAAAGTCAGGGATTTTGGAGGAAATGTAACGAACAGTGTGCAGGAGAGAAAATGCGTTCCAATGGGGTTGGATGCTCCCGTCTCACAAGGTCAGTTGGTTACCTGTCAGTCACCTGGCTGTCACTTCTGATAAGGCTGCACGTACACAGACCCATTCCCCTGCCGTGAAGAAACAGTGACAAATGGGAACTGACAGTCAGGGGCTGTGGTGACCTGAAAGGCACGTTTTCCAATCTCATGCCAGCTGACTCTTACCGTGAGTTAATTCTGTCAAATCTTCATCTTTTTAATTTTTTTACAAAAGTCAGAACTCTCAATCTTTATGTAAAAAAAAGCTCACGAAGTATTTTTTTAAACACTAGGCTAAAGAAAACACATCTGTAGGCCACCAGTTTGCTATTTCTGAGTTAAAGTAAAATCAGTGGCAAATTTCACTGCTAAAGGGAAATCCCCAGCCAAGGGAATGGGCACAGCCGGGCTTGGTTGGGAGGGTGGAGGCCAAAAAGCAGTGCCCAGACTTCCAATGGGCGACATCCTGATTACTAGAGCTGCCAAGTTTTCCTGAGATTGGTGATGACACATCTCTAGACACATCTCTATCATCCCTAAGCCCAAAGCCCTCAGAGTTAATTTTTGAGATGTCCCCTCACCCCAAGGCAGCCAGTCTGCACCTCTTGGGTCAGTATTTTCATTACTCCACTACAGGATGACTACTGGAGGAAAAGAGGTCTATCTTAACAATGAAAACAACTAATCTGGAATGAGGTAATCTTCCAACTTCAGATTCAGAGGGGTGGCCTGGCAGTCAGCTGTGGGGTTATTTTTGCTGGATGTGGTTCTGCACAGTGATGGCACAGTCAGATGAGCCGCTTGTGGGCCCTTACGCTGACCCACTTCAAGCAGAGTTGAAAGAATATAATGAAAAACTCATGAGGCTAGCAAATCGAAGGACTTTTTCTGCCATACTCCAACAAGGGCATTGAGAGCTGGGGCAGCCCTGGCCTGTGGCCTGCACACTTCCCAGTGGCTAGCCTGAGGTCAGGAGTTTGCCCTCCATTGCTCCCTGCCCCTCAGGATGAAATGCTGGCACCTTTCCAACCCTGCCATGGGAATCTCAAGGATTCCTCCATTGCCTTTTCTTTTCCCTGAAGTTAGGCAGAACTCACAAAATGATTTATTACTTACATTAGCAAACAAGGTTTCTCTAAGCCCTGACACTTGGTGGAAGTATTGCTTTGTGGTTCCTTCTGGCAACTCATCAATTTTGCCTTAGGCTGCAAGTTGAATGCCCGGCTTCAAGGCGTTCTGTGCCCTCTTCAGTGACTACACAGACACACTTGAATATCAAAGAAGTTTAATACGCTGCCATAAAATAAGCGCCTTGAAAAAGCTCATGGAATAGAAGTCAGTGTTAGAGAAACCCCTCCCACACATCCTCTGGCTCCACACCGCATCCTTCAAAACCAAACAAGAGAATCTGAAACAACACAGGACATCCTTCCAAGCTTGGATTTCAGTGAGGGCCCCTCTACCAATAACAAGAACACAGTTTCCTACATGGCCTGATAGGAAAGCAAAACACAGAAGCACAAGAAGTCTACAAGATTTCAATATTTAAGAGACTTGGTACATATTCAAAGTTAAAATAACTCCAACTTTTATAGCTATACATATTGTTTTAAAGCAACTTAATATATTTTAAAATTTTATATATACACTCTCAAAGGTTCTTCAGGTGAGGTATGTAAACATTGTCTAATGAAAAATTTCAATGTTTCAAACCAACAAATTCACAGCATACATTGAATTTTCATCCATTAAAGACACAGTATATTCCTACACTCACTAACATAGTAGAAATCCAGGCCCAAGAGCTACAGACTGATCTTCCGGGTGGCCACTTGCAGAATTTCTCATTTCACTGCTTCGGGAAAGACACTGTCACACAGGCCAGGAGCACACGCTTGGTACCAGGAGGGCGCTAGGCCCTCTGGAGGCCCTGTCCTTGGGCAGCTGGATCACTGGCTAAGACTCACAAGACAGCAAAAAGAGCACAACTGAACAACTACGAGATCGACCTCAGCAATGACAACACTGGGAGGAACCAGAAAGACCTTTAAAGGAACGGTAGAGATTCATTTTAGAGCTCCCTGAATCCACAGCCGGATCAGCAGCCCCTGCCCTAAACTCATTCAGAAAGGTTGCGGCCTAATAAGAATAAAAATCCAACGTGGCACCTGAGCTTCAGTTAAATTGCATGGGCCTCCTATGGCCCCCTGGCCCCTCAAAGGCATTCATGCTAGCCTCAATTAGGGCCCTGGGCTGTGCTTTTCATACAGGTTGGGGTTGAATTTCTTAGTATCATAATGCATATGAGGAAATAATGCCATGAGTTTACAAAGATGACCAATGCCTGCACACAGCATTGGCCAATGACCTTGGAGGAGCTCAATTTTGAAAACTACTTGTTCCCTGAGGGTAAACAGCAGGCTTCTATTGAGATTAAGTGAGGCTAATATGGGGATTTTTCATACAAGGTAATAAGACTTGGGGAGCCTCAGGCCAGAATTCTATTGTACCCCCACATAATCTACAATGCCCCATTCCCCCCACCCCCTACCACCACAAGAAGTAGTCGCCTCCCCAATGATACAATACAGGTCAATTTCTTCCCTCTTGCTTGCCTTCAGGCTCAGCAAGGGAAAGTTTTATCCTAATGCACCCACTTCAGTCTAAAAATACACTAGTGAAAAATTCCAAACACCATCATAAATACAAAAGAGAAGACATATTCCAAAAGCCTAAAAAACTACATTACTTCTATTAATGGTTATCTGGGTGTGGGGTATTTATTTTCACAAAGTTTAGGACGGTCAAAAAGAGAGGCTGCTTAACAGCTTTAGAAATCTGCTGAACTGGACACGCTGGGAGAAATGGAGGAGTGACTGCCCTCTTTATACTGACCTACATGGTGTAATCCCAGACACGAAGGCAGCTTTAGACATTTCAAGCCCAGGCACAGAAGAGGCTGATATGAAATGGGCTAGGTTTTAAAGGTAGGTCAAATATAGCCAAAGGACATTGAACTGGCCACTTAAATTTCTGTTGTAACAAGTCTTACATTTACTCTATAGCCAAATGAGCTTTGCCTCAACTAGATTCTGGAAACCCTATAAATTCATGAAAAATTGCAAAATTTTCCATCTATGTGCCCAATTTTGATGTGTCTGGTGCTGGCAGATTTCTCATCCATTGCTAGAGTTCTATGACATGAAGGAGCGTGCAGACAAACAGAAGCAAAAATTCAAGTACAGCAACCTCTCCAGCAAAGGCAAGAGGTCTTAGCAAGAGCTGTTCTACCCCCACCCTATCCTCTGAGACAAGGGCCAATGTGGGCCCTGGAATAAATGTTATTACCTAGGATCTTATTGCTTATGGGCAACACATCAGAAAGAACATCTGGAAATCTGCTCTGCAGATCTGAGTACTGACCACTGACCAGTTTATCATACACCTGTATATATATATATATAATATATATATATAATATAACATAACCAGATGAGAAGAGGGGGCAGTTAAAGCTCAGATTTGATGTAACATTACAGATCAAAGGCCCCAAACAGCTCTCAACCTGCTGGTTTTTGTTCTTTCTCCATGTGTGAACTGTGTTATGAAAGGAAGTCCACTGCTCAAAATATATTCTATAATACTACAATGCAAACCAACATCACTCAGAACATGAATTTGTATACAGCACAAGTAATAAATATTTTTAGAAAACTATTTACAACATTACTTCTTGTGAACATTTAGACGAGAGCAAAATTTATTTCTTCCTGCAAAGTTAAAAAAGTTTTGACTGTCTAGTTCAGTGCTAAATTCCCTGGCACCTAGTTTCTCATTCACATTTCATCTTAAAATCAGATTTGCTTACAAAGTCTCCTAGAAAAAACATTCTCCAGCATTACTGTTCAAGTGTCTGCCTCATTTGTTTAGAAAAGACAAAGGGAGGCCGTAAGAAAATATGCAAATTATGGTTCAAATGGATGACAAAACCCCTGCGTGCCTAGTCCCAAAGCTCCCTGCTGTCCTGGAGTTGCAATTCTCAGTCCAGCCAGCCCTGCACAATGAGGATCATGACTAACATGGGGGTGCCGAAGGACAGGGCACAGAGAAGAGGAACATGATCATAAAGCACTGGTTCCATCCCATCTAGGGGTGCTCTGAATTGTAGGACAGGACTCCTGAGAAGTAAAGCTGACCACATCTTAGAACAGATGGTATCATTCTGTAACCACTGGTTACAGGGGGACTGGCCCACATCTGCACAGATGCACACTGAGACAGGGAGAGAGGGGAGAAGGAGGAAGAGGAAAGCCAGGTGCTCACGAGCAAAGTCAAGGTGCAGAAGGTAACATGCTTATCTCCCATGATTAATTAGAGTGTGAATAGGTGTCTTTCACCAACATGAAAGGGGAACTGGAAATACACCTTAATGCTTTCTCTAGGCAACCAGTGGTTTCTCCATATCTCACAAGCATGGGTTTGGATTTCCTTGGGGCTACAACTAAGGCTCATTTTCCTGTACAGGCTGTTAAGTGTACAGCTGAATGTACCAACTGTGCATGCAAGAAGTAGGCTGCGTGGGGCACACCCGATGCCATACAGCTAAATGTACCAACTGTGCATGCAAGAAGTAGGCTGCATGGGGCACACCCGATGCCATGCCTGGCACAGCCATACCCATGATGGGATTCCCACTTTGTTGTGGGATGGGGTGACAGTGGGGGAGACGTGCTTCTGTTGCATCTGTCCAAATACAGTGAAGGTTTCAAGGCCACACCTTTCTGCTTTCACTGTTGTTTGGGGGCTCAATGGTTGAGCATGGTAGCTGGGGAGGATGGGTGGCTAGAAAGAACACTTTTTGGAAAGCCCTTTTGACAGTTAATTTTCTTGTTAAAATAAATACTTTCTATAGAAGTATCTGAACAGGAAAATATCACTATTTACACAGTGAAATAAATTCCACAGTGGTGTGTATAAATATTATATATATGTATTTGAAACCAGTTACTAACACAGTCTCCGAGAACTATTTAGAATGCAGAAACCACACTAGTGAAATCAATAACCTTAAGCTATAGTGACTCTAAAAATAATCCCTACCTGTGGTATAAATATAAAAAATTATGCAAATCTTGTTGGTATAGTCTCTTTCCCAAAAATTAGCTCCCAAATACCTCAGCTTTAGCTACAAGACAACTATGAGGTGCAGATCACAGAAAACTGGGGTTTAAAAAAAAGTGGATAAATTGAATAGCATTTAAACCCAACAACTAAATACTAGAGGAAAAGAGTTTTGAGAGAAAAATGCTTCCAATGTGACAAATTTGTGTTCAGGGCCACACTGGGGAAGTGGGGGACTGTCCCAGAGAATATGCCTCCTGGAAGGGGGCTGGCGGCATAAGCAGAGGCAGGAGGAGGGAGGGCAAGGTGCCAAGGATGGCTCCTCAGAACGAGCAGTGACTCGGGCTGGGCTGGAGAGCCCTGAACTTGTTCTGTCTAAAGCTGCCGGTGTCCTGACAAGATGCCACAGACATGCTGGTATTTTTAAGAGAATGTGTGGTCTGCACTCGAAAGTCAAACAGGCAAACACCAGGCATCTATGTTCTCATATCACGACCAGAGCTTGAAGAGTGAGAAACCTTCAAGTATATGATACAAAAGAGAAATGAAGGGTTCTAGGGGTAAAACCAACACATCGCATACTTTCAGGGAGAGGCACTATTCTTGGCTTTAAGTTCATGAGTAATTTGTTTGTGCTGAACTGCTGTTAATGGAATGTCTACCACAGTCAAGTTCACTCTGATTCATAAAAATGAAGACTGTACTTTTAAAGACTGCACTTTTAGTTTTCACTACATACCCTAATAGATATGATCACATGGCCCACAACTTATTAACAAGTAGACAACTGGCAAAGGGGGATAATTTTTCTTAACGCAAAAGCATTATTCAGGAATAATCTGTAACAGCAGCTGTGTACTGAGATGAACAGGCAAGACACTCTAAAATCTAAAAGAATTGCTGGACTGTATGAAAAAAATGTTGGAGCATATGAAAAAAAAAAGTTGTGCCTGTCTACACAATTTGATCTTTAATGACTACTATAAGGATCAGTAGAGCTTTTCCACAAAAGGGTCAGGAAGTAAATATTTCAGGCTATGCGGGCCACATATAGTTGCTTTTTTTTTTTTTTTTTTTTTTTACATAACCCTTTAAAAAAGGGTAAAAAATCCATTTGTCCAACCCCTGGCATATTGTAATACCATGAGTACCTGATTTTTTTTTAAATGGACAGTCTATGCTTTCATGAGGCATGCATATTGAGCACCCCGTGTGGGATGGTCCCAGCTAGGGGAGAAAGTATGTGTGTCTGTGCTCACCCGGCAGCATAACTACACAACTGCCCCTCTGAAGGATGGAGCAAAGGACATCTCCTGAGCACTGAGCATCAAGCACTGAGGCTCTGGGAAAAGGAAGATCAGACAGAGAGGAGGTAAGTGGAAGGAACTGAGCAGCTTCGGTTCAATCCCAAGGCAAAAGCCTGAGCAAGGACACACTCCACAAAGTGCTCAGGGTGGTTCCCCGGGCCCCAGGACGGCATGACACAGCACAGCACAGCAAAGCCCTGAGAGCTCTGAGTTTCTGCCTGAGTCTAATTATCTATAAAGGAAAGAGACTGGATCCTCAAGTCTTCCAATCCATCCATTGTAGAATACAGGACTCTGTTCTGATGTTTCAAAGGATGAATTATATTGAAGGCTGCCTCAAAAGACTTCCCAGTCTGGGCAACACAGTGAGACCTCATTTCTGCTAAAACTGGAAAAAAAAAAAAAATTAACTGGGTGTGGTGGCATGCACCTGTAGTCCCAGCTACTCAGGAGGCTGAGGTGTGAAAATCTCTTTGAGCCTGCAGTGGGCGTCATAAAAATGAAGATGACTATACTTTCAAAAAACTGTACTTTTAAACTACATACCCTAATAGATAAGACCATATGCCCATTGCACTCCAGCCTGGGGCGACAGAGTGAGACCCTGTCTGGGGGCTGGGCAGGGGGAGGGGAAGGCCCTCCCACAATTCTGCTCGTTTTAAATACAATAATCTTTTTATTTTTCCCCTGAAAAGGATTTGAGAGCAAGCATGGGGAATAGCACTTACTGCTAGGATATGAAGACCGCCTTACACAGATCAATTTTATACTTAAAAAAAATTCCAGTATTTCAGTGGATATCAAGTCACAATAAGACATCAAAGTAATACTAAGAATTCAAAATGATAATTGTTTCAAAACAACTAAAACGATCAGTGATTTGGGGCCACTGACAAAAATTTTTCACTGACAGGACATTGAATCACATTAAAAAAAAACCAGCATAGAAACTCATACTTGGGTTGGTGCGGTGGCTCACTTGTAATCCCAGCACTTTGGGAGGCTGAGGTGGGAGCACTGCTTGAGGCCAGGAGTTTCAGATCAGCCTCGGCAACATAGCGTAACCTCGTCTCTATTAAAAAAAAAAAAAAAAAAAAAAAATATATATATATATATATATATCCTTATCCTTGAGTTTTTGGAAAAGGAGGAAGACTATAATAGCTTTTCAGTCATACTCTGGTTATAACTCCAATTTTTTAAATCAATATTAAAGCACTTCAAAAGCCTCTATGTTTTATTTGTTGGCTTACCTTTAATAAAATTATTTTGAAAGTATGTGGCTGAAAAGGTATCAGTACCAAAATATTATATAAGAATAAACAAAGCTTTGGGATTGTGATCAGACTTTGTTTCTACTCTGTGAAAAAACATTTTCCATATCTAAATGTGACATTCAGAGGACTAAAAGTCCAACTAAAGTAGTCTCAACTAATTTTACCAGAAACAAAATCTTGGCTTACTTTAATAAACAAGAAATAAAGCCAGAGTCAGTTCTGTGTGAGTGAAATGAGAGGCCCAGGCCACATAATTTTAGAACTCTGAATCCCTATTTGCTCATGGGTTCCGGCTCGATACGGTAAGGTGGCCTCATTTTGGCTACTGTGATGGTTTTTTTTAAGAAGATGGAATGCTAAGGTTGCTCAAGTTTAAGGGGATAGTAGTGCATATCGATATAACATGTCTCCTTTGAAAAGAAAAAATGGAGACAAGGAAAATGAGAAGTAAAGAAGAACAGAGAGAAAAGGGCAGAAGAGAGAAGGAAAATCAAGAATATTTGTTCCTGAAAAGGATGACTTTCTCAAGCAGGGATCAGCAGATGTTTTCTGAAGGTCCAGATAGTATCTTAGGCTGTAAGGGCCACACGGGTCTCTGCCGCAGCTACTCAACTCTGCTCTTGCAGTGCGAAAGCAGCCGCAGACAGAACTTAAGAAAATGGGTGTGGCTATATTCCAAACACATTTTATTTACACAAACAAGCGACCAGCCCACAGTTGGCAGACCCTTGACAGATCATCTGGAATCCGAAAGGCAGTCTGCACAGAACTTGCTGATAGTAACACTACAGCATCTCCAGCTTGTATCACATAGCATGCTATATTTTCCTACTTGGCTCTTAGGTCCACTAATCAACAGGAATGCTGCCCATAAATGTGAATGACAGCTCCCACCCTCATGACCGAACCCATTACAAAGCAGGAAAAGAGGCCAAACCTCAATTCAAAGTAATTATCTTGAAGTGATGCCTTTTACTGATGACCTATCTGAACAGTGAGAAATTCACCTGCATAGTATGTGATGCATAGAGATCCCATTAGAAAGCACCACATATGTAAAGGGATGACTAAGGGCACCTCTTCTATCCATACGATTTTAGGAACAATACAGCAGGAGACTCACAGCCTAAGATTATCATTTTAGATAAGGCTGCACAGAAGTCTTTAACAAGGAATCCAAGGGGCTAGTGACTGGTGACTTACAGAAACTGACAGCATTCCTATGAAGGAAGCCTCAGGAGCAGAATAAAGGTTCACAACCTTCCTGCTGTGCTGCAAGATTGTTACCTGTCTGAGGAAGTGCTAGGGGTGAGGCTCAGGACCCCAAGTGAGGGAGTGGTCTCCTGCATGTCCATCTATAGCAGGGAGTCTCGTAGGATAGAAGATGGGTGTCCTGAAGAGGGCCCTCCTCTACGGGAGCTATGGCAGAGCTTCAGTGATTGCTTCCCAGGCATCTTCCAGCTTCTCCAGAAACTCAGAGAATACCAGTGTCCTTTGGTCATCAACTTCAGCCCCAAGACTGGAACAGTCATTTCACTGAGTGTACACCCAGGAGAATTCCTTTCTGATTTGGATCGGAATGTGGGATGGACTGCTTTTGCATCTGGTGTGGTAAGCCATTCTTGAAGATGGCTCTGGGAAGAAGGTTTTTGCAAGGTAGGGAAAACAATAGCAGACTTGAGTCAATACCACACCTGAGCTTGGAGGTATCTGGGAAACTGCTTTGCCAGTACCTGCTGTAGGTATCAAAGGGCCTTGCAGGATTAGCCCTCAAGTTTTGCTGTTTTCTTTCTTCTATTAACAAAATTAACTGAATCAGCAAAAATGAGATTCAACAAATATAAAAAATTCTAAACTTTTAAGTGTCATAATTATGTAGACTCTTGGTCTATTTAAATGTCCTTATTATAAAGTATAAGTTGATTTTAAAGATGATCCATTGCATTGTTAGGTATATAAAATACATACATACACATTAACACCTTTTCTCACACACAGCCTAGAATGGGAAAGAAGGCTATTATCTTTAACTGAGCTTTTAAAAATGAAAAAGAACTTAGAAAAGGAATGGAATGAATTACAAACTTGGAACTGGAAAAGTTCCACCCACTTACTACCTTACACCTCTCCCTAACCTAATCCAAGCACCTTACAAGGTAGTCGGTATGCAGCCAACGGGGCACCTCTTCTGTACAGGAATCAGCATGCCTGACATTGGCAAACATCAGCTGTTTAAGTCACCACAAACACAATATCCAGTGACAACTATATGAAAAGACATTTTTAAAACCTTAAAACCATTTTTTAAGATTAAATGAACCTATTCAAAACACATTAATGCCTCTGTGCAACTTAATGCTGAGAAAGGGTTGCCAACATACACACTCAGCAGTTTTATTAATGTAGGTAGCTCTTGAATGGCCAAAGTCAAAGATACTAAAAAGAAAAAGACTCATCAGATAGAGAAGACATGAAAAAAAATCAGGGCTTCATAAGACAGCAAGCTTCTCTAGCTATGAAATTCAACACAATTCTAAATTTCTCACAAATCAAATACTTTTCTCCAGTCTTATCCAATCATCAGAAGTTCCCATGATATACAGCAAACCTTTAACAGAATGGGTAGAAGGCCTGTATTATCATGATTTGCATGAAAAAAGTCCATCTGGGCTTATCTAAAGAGATCTGAAACAACCTAAATGGAAAATTTTCAAATAAAAAGGACAGGGCAGCAGCTGTCCATACAAGCTGATTTTGGTGACAGAACCGGTTAAGGAAGCTGACTGAGGCTTCAACAACCAAGCCTTTTTTTGTAGAGCGGCCCAATGGAAAAGTCAAGTACACGCTGCACTATAATAATGGAGCAAGGTCACAGGCACTAGGTTGAAGCCAATGCGCCTGTCTCAGGCTTCACCTGGGAAAGGCAAACAAAGTCATTAAAACATTGTGGCTCTCACTTCTGAGACACGGAATAGAGCCTGACATGACATGGCAGGAGTGATACTACAAGCATTTAACTACTAGGATGGTGTTAATCAATCAGAATGAACGTCTACTCCAACAAGTACATTCACATTGGAGCATACAGCTGAACATCAGCTCTGGGTGTAGGGGGTGTGTGGGCTCTTCACAGATGCTGGAGCTGCTTCCTCCAACTGCAAGGCTGCTCTAACCTTTACATAACTCCATGCTGTTTTAGATCTTTCTGAGTCTGGTACCAAAGTGGTATTGGGGATGCTCACAGAGACACTGGGCTACTTTTAAACCATCTGTCCTTTGCTAATTACTCAACTCAGGGACACCCAAGCACACTGCATAGGGAAAAAATTTTACTGTAAAATTGGGATTGGGAGACATTTGTGGCTGATAACCACATGCAAATGCACCCAAACACACATGGACATACATATTCTTAAACCTTTCTATTACTGGAAATAATAGTTCGGCTTTCTTTGAATATGGAAGTACTCTGGGTAAGAAAGAAAATAAGAGTCATTTTCATCCTAATCATCAAATTACAGCTACAAGATGGAAAAAAAAAATCCTAGGCTTTTTCCTCCCGAAGTAGGATGGAAGCCTTGCAGGAGTGCTAGCAAGACCAGAAATGAAGAAGATGGTGAGAATTAGTAATACAGTTTGGGGATGCAAATGATTTTTTAGAGTTTGTAAACAAAAATTAACACTTGTGACATATCTCTTGTCCCATGGGCACATAATTTAGAATACATGCTCTCAAATGACAAAACATCAAAGGTGAGAGGAGGGACCAACAATGAACATGATCTTTTTTAAAAGGGGGTAACAGAAATAGTAATCTTTTATAATTATAAATCCTCTGCATACCATAAAATGATTTGGTTTAGCTTTCAAACATCATCTAAACAAACAAACAAGACAGAGAGGGAAGTTCACTGCTGGGGTTTGCAAAGAAGGGCATCTGTTCGTGGGCAGATGCTGCAGGGTGGCTGCTGAAAAGCTCCTTTTATGTGCATGATGGTGGTCTTCTCGGCTACAGTACAAGTGCTTGTGCATCAAGTATAAAATACAAGCCTTTAATCACATAGATCAGCTTTTTAGCTTTTGTAAATTTAAAAACAAAAAGGATAAATAAGGCACTGTACTTTTAAAAACGAAAACTGCTTGGTTCCAAGTTTAAAACCCAAGGAACAACCAGAATATAATATATAACTTCCCTTAGCCTCAGAGAAGGACTCTGCAAGTTCCCTTCTCCATCTGAGATGCATTTTCTGACATCTCAAATTACGGTGTTCTCCATTAACTGTAAATTTGAAAGGCTTGATAAGCTTATAAAAGCAGATTTAGTTAATGCAAAATAAAAGGTTACTTCTATAGAACAGTTTTACTCTTGGCTACCATCTTTCCAATCACTTTGCATCCAGCCGCCTCCGTTTGCTGTGCGAACAGTCCAGCTTTGCCTTCAGCTTTCGCTTTCTCTGAGCTGCACTGCTCTCTGGGGTTTTCGTTGAGGGTCTGGCCCGAGTCTTTCCACTACTCTGCTTCCTATTCGTGGCTTTCTGAGGCCTTGAAGAGGATTCACCGGCCCCCTTCTGTTTTGCAGGTTTCGTCAGTGTTTCCGAGGCAATAGACTGGGAAGGCCTTTTGTTTGTATTCTCTTTTTCTTTCCTGGAGGGAGGGCAGCTCTTCCCAGCGGACTTTTTAGGGATCTTCACTTTATTCTCTTTCAAAGACGTCTTTTTGGGGGGTTGGCTGCTTCTGTCCCTTGCAGCTGGCCTCTTGGCAGCAGGGGTTTTGGTGGCTCCATCAGCATGCTTTTCTTTGCTGGCTTTCACCGTAGGCCCCTTGTTCTTACTATCTGGAGGGCTGCTGCCTTCTGTTCTCTTGCGTTTACTCTGAACTTCTGCTTTAGGCAAGATTTCAGACACCTGCTTCCCCTTCCTTCCCTTCATTCCTTCAGTACTCTTGGGCTTAACAGGAAACCCATCTGCATCCACTTGCAGGGCAAGCTTGGGGGACATCAGAGGGTTGATGCATACGCTCTTACGACTTGGCTTACTTTCCACAGCCAGAGCATCTGGGCATTCCATTTTCTCATTCTTGATTAAACGTTGCTGGGCTCTGAGCTTTCCTCGAATATTGGAATATTTTCTAAGAATCCGGGTACTGGCTGGAGTGGGCAGGTTTGCTGGAGGATGACTGTTTCTATCTTCCTTGACTTCCTCTATGCTGTCTTCAGAATTAGGGCCGGGGCTGACATCACTGCCATCTTCTGGCTCCACTTGATCAGGATTCTCTCGAAATTTGGCCCAGAGCTTCTGCATTTTCCAATTATTCTTAGCAGGGGTAGCTCCAGGAAATTTCTTCAAGTGCTTTTTCAAGCGCTCAGCCTGTAGTGAACTGGGATATAGGCTGGAAGGAGCGTATTTCTGAAGAGGATGCTTGACAGGGGGAACGTCTCCTGGAAGGCGAGTATTGAGCTTCTTCACAATGACTAGAGACCGGGTTTCAGTTGTCTCTAAGAACCATTTACAAACATTAGATAATTTAAAGTTTGTCATAAAGAGCATCTGAACAGGAGAACACTTCTGACTCTCCAATGAACTCCTACATTTCCGTGACCTTTTCTTGCTTTTCCAAATCTCTTTCAGTTTATCTGATTTGTTCCTTGCTCTTGGTGTTGGCTGTCCTTCTTTCTCCAACTGGATCCAGCCCTTCTGAACTTTCATGTACTGGGCATTGAAGTTGGCGATGAGCTCTTGGTTCTCCTCCTCAGCACACCATTCCATAAACTTTGGCTGTTCATCTACCACGGTGTCAACATCGTCCTCATCTAGGGGGTCTCCACTCTCTGAAGCTCCATTTTCCTTTGGCATTATGGGGTTTACTTGTGCAGCTTCCTTTTCTGAAGTCACTTTTGAAGCATCCAAGGAGCCCAGAGAATGAGCGTGTCTTAGGTTGTAGGTTGAAGAGGTCAATCTTTTAGGCCTTGGCACCGATTTTGGTGCCCTAGCAGCATCACCACTTCCACTACTCGACAACCCAAGAGAGCTGCATGGGGCATCACTCTCATCATCTTTCTGCTGGGTGTTTTCGTTGTCTACCTCATTCACAGCCTCCTCCACATGCTGTGTGGGAATATGCCCTGGCTCTTCTTTTGCCTGTTCTGGGTCCCTCTTACAAGCAATACTTTCTGAGGGGATATGAGCATTCTTCTCATCCATTTTAGACTGAACATAGATTTCCAATCTCTCTCCAGGCAGTGGCTGTCCAGCTGTGGTTATGGGGTCCCTGCTGGGGAAAATCTCTCCTCGTAACTCCTTGACTTCTTTGTCCAGCATGTTTTTCAAAGTCTGCCTGGTGATGATCCCCCCGCCTTCGCCCTCCTGCTCAGCATCTTTCTCAGAGGGGCGTTCATTGACACTTGGCTTTTCTGTGTCCTCCAGAGTTTCCGTGTGGAAACTGTCAGGTAGAAGGCCCTTAGGTGTTGTCCCACCAGGGTGCCCTTCTTTTTTTGAACGTTTTGCACTAGGATTTTTAGGAACTTTGATTTCAAGACAAGCTGAGGAAGAATCTGAACTCTGATTTCTTAGGCATCTGTCAGCAGAGGAAGAATCCGAAAGTTGACTTCTTAGGCACCTATCAGAGGCCTCAGGGAATTTTTTACCTTTTTTCTTCTTGTCCAAATTCTCTTCGAGTGAGTCAATGCTTGTATCATACGTGTCTTTTTCTGACAGGCATTTTACATCACCGTCCTCTCCCTCTAATTTTCCTATACCACCTGCTGCCTCACTTTCCTCAGTTTCACTGGGGTTTTCATCAGTAAAAGTGCTGCTTTCCTTCAAGAGTGGGTCGACATTTAGCTCCTGGGTGTCTCCAGACTCAACCTCAGCACTGATGCTTTGGTTGTCCTCAGCCTTTCCCAGACTCATGGGGGGCTCCAAGCCCATTGGGGAACTCTGATTTTCTGAGCACTGAGGACTTTCTTCTCTACTGACTATTTCAGGAGGAGAATGAGGCCTAGAAATGACATCTTCACTGACTCCCCCGGAAAAGCTTTCAGTGGAGGGAAGGAGGTGACAGTCCTGGGGTACACTCATCTCCTCCGTATCCAACAGTGCAACTGGTGGTTGGTTGTGTTCAGGAGAAGACATCCCACTTGCTGTGGGAGCTGAGACTGTGGAGCCACCTTCTGGCAGGTCCTCTTCAGGAAGGTGAGCAGGGAGAGGCCACACCAGGCTGGAGGCTGTCGTTTCCTCTGACCTAGGGGAGCTGCTCAGGTTCGGCTTAATCTTTGTGGGGCAAACCTCAGGCTCTTGAGGTTCTTTTCGAGGTGAAACGTCTCCACCTCCTTCCTCGTGAGAGGTGATTTCCTTGCTAGGTTCTTCAGGGTTGTCTTCTCTGGGAAGCTGCACATCTACTGTATGTCTAGGGGCTGGAATTGTAAGGGTCTGCTTAGGAGTGAAAACTGCCTCTGATGCCAATGCTGAGCAGCTTGCTTTTTCCTGGGAGTGTAAATTTCTGGCCAGTGTACGAACAGTTGGCAGCTCACAACAGTCACCATTGAAAAAGTATCCTCGAGTACTCTTTCTGGCTGTTTTCCGAGAAGATAATATTGATTTTTGATTCTCAAAGTGGCATTCTGTTATTGGTTGACTGATATAAACAACATCACACTGGTTATCATAATCATTTATCCTCAGCCCTGATGCCCTTTTACTTTTCCGAGCTGTCTTGATGGAGGTTGATATCATCTTGGTTCTTGAGTGTCCATTTGCCGCTTTGTGTACAGCTGGCATAGGGCCGGGGCCTAACCAACCATCTTTGGAATGATCAAACTGGCCCTTATCACTGGGATGTAAATGGTAACCCACCTTATTTCTTCCCAGAGAGTGAAGATGGTTCTCTTGCTTTGGCCTTGCATCTTGTTCATTTGCCTCTAAATCCTGGCGCAAAGGTGTTTTTGGACACTGTAAAGTATTCTCTTTGTCAGCAGTTCTAGATGAGTTCCCCATAAACCCTGAGTTCCAAGCCTCTTCTGATAAAGCTTTGAACAAATTTCTTTGAGGAATAATACAGGTATTGCCTTCCTCACTATTCTCAGCTGCCATTTTTACTGTAATTAGACTTTCTACTAAAGCTGAACTCTGCATATGGTCTTTACCATCCTCACATATGTTCACATTTGTGTCTTGCTCTTGTCCAGTGGTCTGCCCCTCCAAGATTTTAGGGATGTGGTGGAAGTTCACTGAGGAACAATTAGATGCAGTGAGGTATCCCGGAGTGAAACTATCCACTGAACTGCTATTAATAGAATTCGATTTAGTGGTTGGAAGTTCAGAGGAATCTTTCTGGACAACAGTCAAGGCATTCTCTCTTCCATCTACAGGGTTTATCTCAGGAGGAGGCTTCTTCGGGGTCTGTTCCGTCAAGTGTAGAGGGCTGTGAGAGTCTGACGAGTCTACGAACAAATCTACAGAAGCAGAAGACTTCATATCGAGACACAGAGCATCTTTTTCCTTATGTTTGGTGCTGAGCTGGGCACAGCCAGCATTGCAAGTGGATACATCCATTGCTCCCGAATCAGAAGGCTGCAGGTCCTCAGTGCCTGGTTGAGATTCAGTGTACAGGTCGTTCAGAACACGAATGAATTGCTTTTGATGATGAGTACACAGTTTGACCATAAATTTCTCCAGTGGGGACTTCGACTGATTGTTAGAATCTACTGCTTTTGCCTCTGTTGAGTTCTCACTAGACAGAGAAAGAGAAAGAAGGAATTAGTATTGTCATTTACCAAAGAACCATTTTTACATTATAAAATTCACCCAACGTTATTCATTTTATTATTTATTTATTTTTTGTAGATACAGGGTCTCGCTATGTTGGCCAGGCTGATCTCGAACTCCTGGCCTAAAGAGATCCTCCTGCCTCAGCCTCCCAAAGTGCTGGGATTACAGGTGTAAGCCACCTTGCCTGGCTATCTGTATTATAAAGAGGGTGGGTACTTTGGCGAAAACTGCTTCTAAGTCTGCTCATATACTTTTGATTCAATAAATGTGAATTATTTACCTAATTATAAGGTCAGCCTGTTATAGCCTCAAATTTTAGTGACGATATTCTTCATACGTTAAAAGTAATCATTCAAAAATCATTTTTATCTTAAAGAGAAGAAATACTGCAAATACATTTTTTTCAAAAAAGCTAAAATTTTGACCACACTATTAACTCTGGTTGGTCAACATATACTTTATTTTAGGTCTGGGTATTCCTGTTAAATAATCGTGGGTTTATAAGTCCACAACACTGACAAGAATTGAGGTGCACTACAGTACAAATCTTGGGTTTAGAAGTACTTAACAGAACTTACAGTTTTTTTTTTTTGTTTTGTTTTGTTTTTTAATGGAGACAGTCTTGCTCTGTCGCCCAGGCTGGAATGCAGTGGTGCGAGCTTGGCTCACTGCAACCTCTGCCTCCTGGGTTCAAGCAATTCTCCTACCTCAGCCTCCCAAGTAGCTGGAACTACAGGCGCACGCCGCCACGCCTGGCTAATTTTTTGTATTTTAGTAGAGACGGGGTTTCACCATGTTGCCCAGGCTGGTCTCGAACTCCTGAGCTCAGGCAATTCGCCTGCCTCAACCTCCCAAAGTGCTAGGATTACAGGCGTGAGCCGCCGCACTCGGCTGAGAACTTAACAGTTTTAAGATAGTTTCTCAGCATGACCAATTGGTCATGCTAATGCAGGAATCCTGCTACCCTTTCCTGGGAGTATAAAGGAATAGAAATCAATAACTTCACCTACTTTAAATGGTGAGATGACAAGCAAGTCCCAATTCGCAGTCTCTTAAGTGAGGAGATAGCTATGAAGCCACACTAAACTGTACAGGCCTGTCACTGCAAGGTAGTAGTATTGTATCTTTATTCAAGGCCCACTTGCTACATTCTCCGAGATCTTCAATACACCTTTTACAATCAACCACAAGAAATCATTCTATGTTAAAAACCCCTTTCCACCATTTAAGTAAGTCACCCAGGACAAATCCTTAGAGCTTAGCGCAGACAGTGGGGACTGTGTGAAAGGGTGATGCTAGACTCAAGACATGCCACAGGCAATACCTGCTTAGACAGCCAGGCCTTTCACTAGCTGCTTTGTGCTTCTGGATGTCTGGGTTGTACTGAACCCATGCAGTCGGTGTGCTCCAATTTCCTGGAGTTTTATATAATTTTTTAAACTCCCTCTCTCTCTGTATGGATTATAATTCCTCAGGAGACTATTATGTGACTTGCCATGAAATACAGCAGCACACAGAGGCAGCTTTAAATGTGTGAACAGATGTTTGATAATATCTTCTGGCTAATTCTTTTCTTCAGTCTTTGATTTTTCTGTCTCAGTCATGAGGCACTTTTACAGGAAGGCTGACCCTAGACAACCCACATCACCTCCTACCTTCCCACCCTCCACTGGCTTCTGAGCAGTGGGGTCACAGTGGAAAAGAGCATAGGCTGTGGAATATGGAGATCCGAGATTCCACCTTTGGCTCTGACATTTACTATCTACAGGATCTTAGGCAAGTTACGTCATCTCTCTGAACCTTGGTTTCCTCATCTGTAAGTTGGGACTGAATGTCAGTATCTCAAAGGATTGTTGTGAGATATTAGATAACATACATAAAACATAAAGCACAAAGCACAAAAGGGCAGGTGCTCAGACAATTTCAGTTTCTGTTCAGGGCTTAGGGAGATTTTTAAGATCAAGTAGTGAAAAGGTTGCTGAACATGTCTAAATACAAAACCAAGAAATTAGTCAAATCTGTTGCTTAACCTAAACTGCTTTACCAGAGAAAAGGTTACACTGTGTTTTTGTTTTCACAACTAGCAAGAAAGCAGTTTTAGTCGGTAGTGCCATGGGTTTCTGAAAGGGCCTATATTAGACCATGGATTTGAAAGACTAGAAATGTCATAGAAAATGCCTACCTCATACTTTCCAATGATACCTGAATTGTGAATACTCTAGGAAAAAATATTATTATAGAAGTATTACAAAAGGTACACAAGTACGGTGAACTCTGAAGTACATACTGGCGATGGGGACAAAATGTACCAAAGGAAAGAAAAGACGAAAGCAGCTAGAAAAAACCTATTGAGTACTTTTCTATCTGTAAAGTGGACTTAGTAAAAGTTTTAAAAAGGCAGCATATGGAATAAGCTCCTCCTGCTTTGCAAGAATGGCAAATATTATCTTCTTCCTTTGGAACAGGCAAGACATCAGTGACACCCTTGGATGAGTGATTGTTAGGACATTTCCAACTTTCCGACTCAATGAGATGTACAAAGGAGCTCAACAGAATCCTCATGCAGCTGCAGACTTTTCTGCTCATGGAACAGGCAGGAGGAGGCCCCTGCTGAAGGACCCCAGACCCCTTTAGGAAGAACTTTGTCACTATGTCTACCAGATGAAAGCAACAGCACAATATGTGTTACAGGCTACAGTACGAGAGTGGAGATGGAGAATCAGTAAGTAGTCCTGCTGCTTACTAGTTATGTGACCTTGTCCAAAACATTTAACCACTTTGGGTCTTAGTAGAGTACCTGCCCCATCTACCACTTGGAAATTCTCCAAGGAAAAACCTACAAAGTTTATACAAATATCAGCTACCACTACTGTCAGTGAATCAAATTAAAAGTGCTTCAGTAAAAAATCACTGGGCTAGCTGTGCTTGCTAACATGAGCCTGCAGTCCCAGCTACCTGGGAGACTTAAGGTAGGAGGATCGCTTGAGCCAAGGGGGTCGAGGCTGCAGGGAGCTATGATCATGCCACTGTACTACAGCCTGGGTGACAGAGTGAGACCCCACATCAAAAAACAAACAAACAAACAAACAAACTTGGAGATCAAGAACATGCATTAATGCTTTCTTATAACCTAAAAGGGGTACATTTTCTGGATAAAGTTTAACCTTCAAGTACCAAACATTTTAAAGCAAATATTTAAAGATTCAAATTTTTTTTGATGGAAGTCTTAAAAAATTATATTATCTTGGAACATAATTTATTCTTCCTGATACTTGGGATCATTACCATATGGACTATTACTGAAGTCTGGCTATTATTTTTATTATACTAGACTGAATTAGATTAATAGTTTGAGGGGCAACTCAATTAACTAAGTCTGACTTCCTAAAAACTACAGTGGTGGCCTGTATTGTATTAAATCTTCTTTCTTACTGGCTTCCAAACAGTGGCTGATCTTAGCAGTCCTACTTCTACCTTTAGTAGAGAATTTTACTCACTAGCTGAGAAGCCATATCCCAAGTGCCAAAATGGTACTTTAAGTAAAAATAAATAGGCTCTGAATGAAAGCTTGAGGAATAGTTTTAGGGGTAAGTACATGAATTTTCTAACCACAACTTCTGTTGCTCAAAAGCCTTTATTCCTTAGTTCCTGATATGTTCCTGATGTTTCCAAGGTAGGTGACTATAAATAAGTGGGTGCCTTTTCAATGCATCAAAGAACATACTCCAAGTGCGTTTTGGCAATACACAAAAAAGGATGACAAAGGTCAGTGAAGAGGGTGAAGAAATATTATGGCATCTAATTGTAGAAAAACTGAAGAGATAAACGGTTCTTCCTAATTCAAGAAGCACAATCATTACCTAACTCTTCGCAAAAATTTTCTAGGTACCGCTTCATGCCTATAGCTGGGTTCTGGAAGCAAGCTTTAGTGCTTGGAATTAATGAGATGCCTGGGGTTGAATGACATCAAGGTATGCATGCAGTAAGAAGACAGAGTGCTATGAAGAAAGCTGAAGAAGCACTTTCCTCTAAAGTGATGCTCACACAGAATAAATGAGTAATAATTTAGTTCACAGGTATTATCTAACTTCCTTCATGATTGTGAGACTCTAATCTGCTGCTGTCCCATGTTTCAATAACTTAATAGCACCCCAATATCTTCATTACCCTTAACTAATGTAAGGTCTTCCAAAGGGCCATGCAGCCAGCCCTGAAGCAACAACCATGGCCATATGGCTCAAGCTAGTCCCCATTAGACAGCCACAGGTAGGTAGGAATGTATTTCACAACCTCATGGCAAGAGGCGGTGGTGTCTTCCATGCCACCACTAAGGCATGCTAAAGAAACATGTTCAGGATCCACTGAACTCTAACCTGGAACAATGTAATACAGCATGTGGATACTAAAAAACAGTAGCATCAGAGAGACTGACACAGGCTACACCAACCTTAAGGGACACTTAGAGCAGTAGTTTGTGGAAGCTCAGGAGAATGAAAAGAAAATAAACGTTTCTTTCCACAGAACTGCAAATGGCAACCTCCAGAGAAAATGGCATCAACAAAAAAGATCATTTGTATGTTTTCCTCATAAAAAGGATCAGGGACAACGTGTAAGAGCAGGTACCAGGGTATTCTTGTCAGCCTGTCACTGGCCAGCTCAAAACTACCCCACCTGGTTTGATTGCATTCTTTCCTGAAAATCCTAAGCCACTGTGCTTGGTAAAACTCAATTACACGGGGTCTTGTGTGTTTCGCTGTTGTTGCCTAGGCTGGAGTGCAATGGCGTGATCTTGGCTCACTGCAACCTCCACCTCCCGGGTTCAAGCAACCCTCCTGGCTCAGCCTCCCAAGTAGCTGGGATTACAGGCGCCCACCACCACGTCCGGCTAGCTTTTGTATTTTTAGTAGAGACAGGGTTTTGCCATGTTGGTCAGGCTGGTCTCGAACTCCTGACCTCAGGTGATCCACCTGCCTCAGCCTCCCAAAGTGCTGGGATTACAGGTGTGGGCCACCACTCCTGGCCAGAGTCTTGTATATTTATCCTATAATTTTTATCTTGTATTGACTTTGCCTTGTTTTTGTCTTAGCTTCCCAAGCAGATGTAAGCTACTTGAGTGCAGGGACCATGTTTCATGTTTTCCTGTTTTCTCTTAGCAAAAAAGAGGAGAGGGAAAAGGGACATCTAGGATGCTTCCTGAGTTTTCTTCCTGGGCAGCACCATTTACTGAGATAGGAATAAAGGTAACAAAGATAGTGGCTGGTGGTTGTTAGGCTGTGTATGTTTCTGAAGAGCTCTGTACTATACATATTAAGATATTTACATGATTCTGAACCTGAGATGTCTGGTAGGCAACTAGACACATAGGCATGATGAGCCCACCAACAGCTTCCCTTCGATCTGAGAGGCCTTCACATGAATACTAACCTTTGTCCAGGTGTCATTAAAAGGCCCTGTTATAACAGCTAACTTTACAATATAGCAATAAAATCAGTTTTGGCTGTGCCTCAAAGTTATCCAGCTTCCTACTTTTTTTTCTGGAATTTTTCTTAATAGCACATAAGTATTTATTTTATTATTTTATTTTGAGATAGAGTCTCCCTCTGTCGCCCAGGCTGGAGTGCAGTGACACAATCTTGGCTCACGGCAACCGCCACCTCCCGGGTTCAAGCAATTCTTGGGCCTCAGCCCCCCAAGTACCTGGGATTACAGGCATGTGCCACCACACCCAGCTAATTTTTGTATTTTTACTAGCGATGGGGTTTTACACCCTGTTGGCCAGGCTGGTCTTAAGCGCCTGACCTCAGGTGATCCACCAGCCTCGGCTTCCCAAAGTGCTGGGATTACAGGTGTGAGCCACAGCACCCGGCCAATAGCACCTAAATTTAGATGAATTTCACTTTATCATTTGAATATTTTAAAAATGAATCTCAACTTCCTGATATTTAATTCTATTACTATTTTTTTATGTTAAAAAATAGGTGTTAGCCAGTTTTTCCTGTTTTAAACAGCTTGTCTTTACTTTTGCTTCTAGTTATTCAATTTTTCCGAGACCTTAGATTTGTAACAAACCCTAAATATAGCACTTGCATTAACTTAGAATATTGTTGGGCAGCTAGTAGGGAAACCAGAGAGAGGCAATTTTCTGTTCTGCAAACCATTTCCTCAACTTGGCCTAAGGTCCAGGAAGCACTGTTTTAGTTCGGTGCAGATTATAGTCTGTATCATACGATGTCCTTCACATCTGACTAAATAAGGTCTTTATAAGAACAGTAATTCATAACAGATGTTGAAATGACTTGAGCTCATGCTAGTTCATGCTGCTTCTGCTCATCAAGAGGACTCTGTAATAGTCAAGTGAATTATTCGTTAATCAGAAATACCTGAAAACCACCACTAAAGCACAGTAAGATCCTAGGGATTGGTTAATGGGAGGAAGTACTCCCACTTCTCATAAAGGAAAAGAAAAAACTGGATTTCCAATACTTAAATTAGTTTTCAGTTTATCTCCTTGGTGAGAAACGGTGTGCATGACCTTGACCACTGTCTTCCTATCTTCAGTTCCATGCCCAATTGTTAAGGGTGTGGTAAAAGGATAAGATAATATTCATAAACCCTTTAAAAGCTACAGTTTAAGAATGATTGTTGTTTCATAACCCCATCTTTAATGATTTACTCAATATTTATCTACATCATAGGTTAGACACAGCTTAACTTGCCTACCAAGTCAATAACACAACATTTAATTTCTGATGGAAAGCATTCCTGTGGTTAATACTGGTGGGTGGGCAATGCTTATGTTATCTTAGAGTTAAAGATCAAGTGGAGAAGAGATTTGGCATGGAGGTGAAGTGACAAGTCTGAGAGTCTAGAATTTAGGAGTGATGAATTTAGGTATTTACTCTCTAACTACCAATAACTGCTTGATGAGCAAAGGCAATATCACTGATGACCAAAATACATTCTTCTTGACTGAAAAAAGATCAATAGCCACAGAGAATGATGTTTGGATAGGAGCTAATCTTAATAGCAGAAACAGGGAGTCCCAGGAAAACAGAAGGGGAAAGCAAGCTTTAGAGAGCTGACTATAGTCAAGGGTTGTAAATTACTATGGCTTGACTCTTTAAATAAAACAAAAATGCTTCCTCACCCCCTCTTCAAGGCATAACAAGTTATATTTTTTGCCAGACAATAATCTGAAATTGTGTCCCCTAGTTTACTCACTTCTTCTCCTTTAAGCACAGAAAGTATAAGTATAGTCAGGAGGGCCTGAAAAAATCTGCTGACAAGTCCTTGCTCTACACGGAGAAATTTATCTACTCTTGGCTATTTCACATCTGTTGTATCCTCCACACCTGAATATAAGGATATTCCAAGGTTATGACAAAGTTGTGTAGACATAATGGAGAAGGTTGGCATGGGGTGTGGAAATTTTATTTTTCCACTCTTTAGAAAGCCATAGGTGTACTTTAAAACCCCTGAACAAACTTTTCTTTCCACAGAACTGGCTTAGGAGAAGCAGTGAAAGGGTAGGCAAAAGTGAATACAGGAAAGTGAGAAATGAAGTTCATAAAAATCACAGGCTGTTAAATATGTGATTTCCAGGTGGTTGAAATCCAAATTATCTAAATTTGGATGTAGATAGAACCTAGATACAGAAAAAGCAATTTTCAAAATTGGGGTTAAATTATCCCCTTTCCCAGAGATCAGAATCATGGAGAATGGTGAGGGGTTGAAACCAGGATGTATCTCTTCACCCCTATAGAAGTCCCAGCCTCAGTGACACCATTGCTAATGGCAACATGGTATTTGTTCAAGTGTGTGGAGGTACTGATCTAAAGCAAAGGGCATGCAATCCCTTTGTAATTGCTAAGTTTACCATGTTCTTAACCACATTCACTAAAAGAGCAGAATAAAGGTTCAAAAATAATGAACTAATAATCGAAACTGGGGGAAAAATAGGTGTTTCAGAGGGAGCTTACTGGGCATGAAGCCATAGTTTGCTACCTTTCTGCATCTTAAGGCTTAATATCCCTAGATAAGGGACAGAGTAGATCTCCTAAATATCACAGAAGCACTTTAAGGCTTATATATTGTATCTCCTATTTTTCTTCATTTTAACTAGATTGTCAAATTTATTAAATTACAATAAAAAATATAACTATCAAGAAGATTCTCATGTTCATTCTTTAACATATTTTTACCCTACAGACAAATGTACCCAGGATGCCAAAATACAATCAGAAAGTTACTTGGAGAGCAGGAAGTCAGAGCAAGGGTCATTAAGCACAGCAGGTCAATGCCTCCATTTGCTCTCTGGAAATGTGATGGCCTCAGAAAACAGACATCTCTGACAAACTACTTCTGTGGTTTTTTTCCCCTACCAAATTGATTTTTGTTTCTAACTTCATCATCCTTGGTAAGACTATGCAAAATCTAACGTATATATGGTGTTAATTTTTTAAAAAAAGGGAGGGTTCAGAGGCAGTGAGAGATGTGAGATTTTGGACTGGATGACATACATTTAAAAATATTTTTAAAATATTTTTAATATTTTACCCCTTTACCTCATTGATACTCATAAGGTGAGCAGTAACACTAAATTTTTATTTTTTTAAGTATTTTTAAAGTGTGAGGATAAGCAAGGTATTTTATATTTATCATCCTCTCTGGGGTGCTATAAGAATTAATAGTCCTTTATAACTATTCCCCACCCCACCCCTCTCTAGAAACACTCAAGGCTACAGCTGGAGATGTTCTGGGGGTAGAACTGAACTAAGTATTAATAAAATCATCTGTACGTTCAAGTTTTTACTCAGGAATCTTGGAAGACAAAATGTAACTGAATGTGTAGGCACACATGCAGACGTAAGAGTTATAAGGCCTGTTATTTAGATACTCTATGCTAGATATTCTACCTCAATTTTTATTATTAGTTTCATCACTTCCCTTGCCTCCAATACACCATCCAGTTTTAACTACAAGGGTTGACTTTCTTTGGAAAATGCTATATTGTATATCTCTGCCCCTCGTTTCTCATTTTAGAGTCAGCGTCACATTATCCAGAATTGCCAACTTCCTAAAGCCCAAATCTCATCTGGTTACTTTCCTGCATGAAACCCCTATAAGCTCCCCACTGCTTACACAACCCTCCTCAGCACCCTGTCCCTGGTGCTGCATTAGGTAGTTTCTCCTCTACTCTCACAGTCTGCTTGTATCTTTTGTTAAACAGTACTTATGCTGCTTTGTAACTATTGACCTAACCGTCTTCTCCATGGACTGTGAACCTCCTCTAGGTCAAGGACTTTGTCCTTTCCAATTTGGTAGCCTCAGTGCCTAAAGCTTGGGGCTCAACTCATGGCAGGCATTAAGTCAGTCACAAATGGACTATTCAAATAAATTATTATGTAGTGAAAATAATTCTCCCAAATGCATTTTTCAAGGGAATTGAAAGGGGTAGAGGAAACATTTTTACATATAATCAGAAGGGAAAAGAATAACCTTTCAAAAAAAATGAGTTCAACGAGGCAGGGAAAGAAGGGAATTTTGAAGGGCAGACAGTAAGTATGTAGGTTTTGACTAAGCACACAGGCAGTCCAAGTGTGCTCTCTAAGGTACCAGGAAAACTGGGATGAAATGGTTTACATAATGGCTTTAAAACACCACTAGGTTTTCAACAGCAATCCAGAACAAGAAATACTTTTTACAAAGTGACCCAGTACACACATTCCAATTTGTATGTATATATGTATGATGATGTAAGTTTTGATGAAACATTATTTATCCTTACTATAATCCTATGTACTCTGATTCTGTTTCTTTTTTAAAATGCTGGCTAGAGCTGTGCGTGGTGGCTCACGCCTGTAATTCTAATACTTTGGGAGGCCGAGGCAGGAGGATTGCCTGAGCTCAGGAGTTCGAGACCAGCCTGGGCAACATGGCAAAACCCCGTCTCTACTAGTCCCAGCTATTTGGGAAGCTGAGGCACAAGAATCACTTGAACTCGGGAGGCAGAGGCTGTGGTGAGCCGAGATCATGCCACTTCACTCCAGCCTGGGCGACAGAGTGAGACTCTGTCTCTAAAATAAAATAAAATAAAATAAATAAAATAAAATAAAATAAAATAAAATAAATAAAATAAAATAAAATAAAATAAAATGCTGGTTAGGATCTTACAATCCATTAATAGGCTGTAGCTGGTCAACCCAATTTGAAAAACTACCTGGTAGGTAGAGAAGAAATCCAAGAAGATGGATTTTTTTTCTTAATCCATCTCTATCTAGTCAAAATTACACTGCCAGGTCTTCTTGGCAAAAATACCTCAAGTCAATTTATTTTTTACTCTTATTTATTTATTTTTTGAGACGGCGTCTCAGTCTGTAGCCCAAGCTGAAGTGAAGTGGTGTGATCTCGCTCACTGCAACCTCCGCCTCCCGGGCTCAAGCGATTCTTGTGCCTCAGCCTCCAGAGTAGCTAGGACTACAGGCAAGCGCCACCACACCCGGTTATTTTTTTGTATTTTAGTAGAGACAGGATTTCACCATGTTGCCCAGGGTGGTCTCAAACTCCTGAGCTCAGGTGATCTGCCTGCCTCAGCCTCCCAAAGTGCTGGGATTACAGGCGTGACCCACCGCACCCAGCCTCAAGTCAATTTAATAGTTGTTAAAGGTTGGGCATGGTGGCTCACACCTGTAATCCCAGCATTTTGGGAGGCTGAGGCGGGCGGATCATGAGGTCAGGAGATCGAGACCATCCTGGCCAACATGGTGAAACCCCATCTCTACTAAAAAAAAAAAAAAAAAAAAAAAAAATTATCCAGGTGTGATGGCGGGTGCCTGTAGTCCCAGCTTCTCGGGAGGCTAAGGCAGGAGAATGGTGTGAACCCAAGACTCGGAGCTTGCAGTGAGCTGAGATCACACCACTGCACTCCAGCCTGGGCAACAGAGCGAGACTCTTGTCTCAAAAAAGAAAAAAAAAAAAAAAGAAAAAAAAAAGAAAGAAAATTGTTGAAATGAACACCTCTAAACTATGTTAGCTGTGATCTGATTTGTTGGTTTGAAATCCACACAACCCCTAATTGATAAAACCACATTAAATAGGCATAATTGTCCCCAACTTCTTCCACTGGAAAAGTTTTGATGATTAAACATACACATTCCCACCCTCAGCTCTTAGATCATTGTTCAAACTCTACTACCCATGCAAAAAGAAGTCTACAAAGCATGTAAAACTTCAACCTTAAAGTATACAAAAAATTTTGTATACAATGGAAATGCACATAGTTAACTTTATGACTTTTAAATTTCTAATCTTAAGCATCTTCTACTTCCAAACAACTTTTATTCCATTTTAGTCTTTGAAAAGAAACAATAATTAATGGTTTGATTACATTCCCCTAAAACAGTACCATGAAATGCAGGAAAGCAGCATTCCAGGTTTCAATCACAATTCCAGTATTTTTAGGTTCTTGAACAAGATTGGCTGCCCTTTGCTTCAGTCTAATATGAACACAACGACCTCACTCTCCAGTGTTCTAATCAATACAGTTTCTTGCATAATGTCAATCTGACTTTCTCACTCTTCTATCCCTCACACTAAATTCATGCCCATCAGGTGCTGTCAATGCCTTTCATTTATACAACACTTGCAAAGAGCCTGCCACAGTGCTAAGTATTTTACACAACAGAATCTCATTTAAACCTTATAGCAAATCTATGACCCTCTTTTACAGATAAGAAAACTGAAACTCGGGAAGGTTCAATAACTTGTTCAAGATCATGTAGTAATAAGCAAGTGAAAACGCTGAATTTTTTTTTTTTTGGAGACAGGATCTCTTACTTAGTCACCCAGGCTGGAGTGCAGTGGTGCGATCAGGGCTGACTGCAGCCTCTATCTCTTGGGCCCAAGTGACCCTCCCACCTCACCACCAAGTAGAGCTGGGACTACAGGCATTGAGCCACCAAGCCAGCTAATTTTTGGATTTTTTGTAGAGATGGGGTCTCACCATGTTGTCCAGGCTGGTCTCAAACTCCTGGGCTCAAGTGATCATCTCATTTCGGCCTCCCAAAACACTGGGATTACAGAAGTGAGCCATGGCATTTAAACTCAGGCCCATCAAATCCTATCTCTCAAACTTGGGGTATTCTCTCCTCTCCTATCCATGCCCTACCTATTCTTCAACTCACCTCCTTTATGAGGGCTTTCTGAAAGTCACCTATTAATGCTGATTTTTAACACTGAGGTTTTATATGCTTTCAATATTTTTATGGCTAACTTCACAAAAGAGATTTCATTCTCTTCCTAAAAAGCAGCGTAAGTTTGCTGAAGGGCCAAACTCAATTAATAGTTAAAATTTAGTTAAAACTGAATCTAACGGAAAATTATTAGTATGTACAATCCCTAATTCTAATTCTAGCTTGAGTCAAGAATGCCAAAGTGGTACGGAGATAAGTAAGATGGTATGAAATCATGAGTATTATGGGCACCTCATTGTGTGAGGAGGGACAAGTCCCTCAAGGTTCCAAGTTCCATGTTTTTCACCTAAAAAAATGAAAAAGTAGAATGGGATCAACAGTACTTAATCAGTGGGTTAATAAAAACTTCCTGTGGTCACAACATGAATGTACTTAACAATGCTGAGCTGTATACTTGAAAATGACTAAGATGGTAAATTTTAATGTTTTTTTTAACCATAATAAAAAACCCAAAAAACTTCCTGTGGAACATTCTGAAAATACTAAACATGTCTAAGCCTCATTCCTATAAACTGATTCAGTGGATCTAGTCTAGTGTAGGACCCAGGCATCTATATTTTTAAAAGGTTGATTCTGCTTAAGACTGATTGTATCTGATGATTCCCAAGACCCTTAGTGCTCTAATATTCAAGGAACACCTACCCTGCACATAATAGAAATAAAAATTATGAATAACTTAAAGTGACTTTTCAAGTTAATATTTGCAAAAGTATCACATTCATACACACTTCATAACAAAAACTTAAAATAAACAAAAGGCATCTAAACATGATATCCAGATCTTTTTTTTCCTTTAGAAAATGTTTCAATGCAAAGGTGAGACCTGGGTTTACGAGACCTTATTCAATAAAGAGTTTCTACTGTATTTGCCAATGTTCGTACAGATACGATTTGTGTATTTGTCTCACATTTAATAGAAAATGACATTTTCTATCATTTTAAATATTTCAACTCACGAGTTGAAATAAGGTCTAAAAACCATTCAGTCTGTAACACCCTCACTTTACAGAAGGAAAAATAAGTGATCTTTCTAGTGCACCAAGTTGAAAGATAACATTAAAATAACAATTCAGGCAAAGTGCGGTGGCTCATACTTGTAATCCCAGCACTTTGGGAGGCCAAGGTAGGCGGATCACTTGAAGCCAGGAGTTCCAAAACAGGCAGGCCAACCATGGTGAAACCCCAACGCTAATGAAAATACAAAATTAGCTGGGCATGGTGGCACACACCTATAATCCCAGCTACTCGAGTGGCTGAGGCACGAGAATCACTTGTGAACCTGGGAAGTGGAGGTTACAGTGAGCCGAGATCGCACCACTGCATTCCAGTCTAGGAGACAGGGACAGATTCTATTTCAAAAAAATATCAAACCATTATCACTCCATACTGCTGATGAACAACGAACATTAAAAAATGACTAGTCAAGAAACAGTAGTATTCTTACATGCCTACAAAACCTCTACAGTCGGCCAGGC
This sequence comes from Homo sapiens, assembly GCF_000001405.40. Taxonomy (NCBI): domain Eukaryota; kingdom Metazoa; phylum Chordata; class Mammalia; order Primates; family Hominidae; genus Homo; species Homo sapiens. The sequence goes on along the minus strand of NC_000010.11, from coordinate 96,967,028 downwards.
ATGATGGCTCATGCCTATAATCCTAGCACTTAGGGAAGCCAAAGTGGGAGAAATCACTTGTGCTCAGGAGTTCGAGACCAGCCAGGGCAACGTACTGAAACCTTGTCTCCACAAAAAATTGTAAAATTAGCCAGGCATGGCAGCATGTGCCTGCAGTTCCAGCTACTCAGGAGGCTGAGGTGGGAGGATCACGTAAGCCCAGCAGGTCGAGGCTGCAGTGAACCGTGATCATGCCACTGCACTCCAACCTGGGAGATAAGAATGAGATCCTGTCAAACAACGGAAGTTCAACATTCTGTTAAGAATCTGATAAATAAAATTCTGTGTTAAAATGCTTACCTTTTAGAAGCAAATAAAGTGAAATATAACAAGAACTCTTATCTACTATATTACTTAACACTTTCTATTAAAAAAATTATTCACTCATTTCAGCTACAAAACCTAATACCACATGTCCCGAGCATATGCTGTTATATTTGAATAGTGTTTGTTAAGAGTCCTGGCCGGGCGCGGTGGCTCACGCCTGTAATCCTAGCACTTTGGGAGGCCGAGACGGGCGGATCACGAGGTCAGGAGATCGATACCATCTTGGCTAACACGGTGAAACCCCGTTTCTACTAAAAATACAAAAAATTAGCCGGGCGTGTTGGCGGGCGCCTGTAGTCCCAGCTACTTGGGAGGCTGAGGCAGGAGAATGGCATGAACCTGGGAGGCGGAGTTTGCAGTGAGCCGAGATCGCGCCACTGCACTCCAACCTGGGAGACACAGCGAGACTCCGTCTCAAAAAAAAAAAAAAAAAAAAAAAAAAGAGTCCTTTGGGGGGAAAAATCCCCAACTCAGGATATGGCAAAAAAAAAAAAAAAAAGTTTCCATTTTCTCCATTTTACTTCTCTTATGCAATCTCCCTAATTTCCACACCTGTTAAGACATAGGGCCCCCTGAATTAGTTTCCAAAATATCAGCAGAATCAGAGAAAATTCCAGTTTAAAAGAAAAAGTCCTTTCTTTAAATAGGGCCTTTATAACAACTGAAGAGCTGAATATCAATTTGAAGATAGGATCACTAAAATAAAGCAAATTCATTTATGAGATGCTAAACTGTAATCTTATTACTGACCTGGCTCCCAGTTTATAATGAGTAACGGCAGGAAATGACCATAAACAAGTTAGTTATGGCTTTGGAACTTACAGCAAAATAATAATTAGCTTTCTTAAAAAATCTTGATTAAGTATGTGGCATAATTAAGGGGAACAAATAAAGCCAACAGAACAAGTCTGTAGTACTAATATAAATTCCTATTTTATAAACATCAGACCAAAGGCAGAAACAGCTAGATAGCCCGTCTTTTTTTTTTTTTTTTTTTTTTTGAGACAGAGTCTCGCTCTGTCGCCCAGGCTGGAGTGCAGTGGCGCGATCTCAGCTCACTGCAAGCTCTGCCTCCTGGGTTCACGCCATTCTCCTGCCTCAGCCTCCCGAGTAGCTGGGACTACAGGCGCCCGCCACCACGCCCGGCTAATTTTTTGTATTTTTAGTAGAGACGGGGTTTCACTGTGTTAGCCAGGATGGTCTTGATCTCCTGACCTCGTGATCCGCTCGCCTCGGCCTCCCAAAGTGCTGGGATTACAGGCGTGAGCCATCGTGCCCGGCCGACAAAAACTATTAAAAGATAAACTAGACCAATTAACAATAGCATCATCTTTAAATATAAAACACCACTAGCAGTCTGGCGCAGTGGCTCACACCTGTAATCCCAGCACTTTGGGAGGCTGAGGCAGGTGTATCACGAGGTCAGGCGATCAAGACCATCCTGGCTAACATTGTGAAACTCCCTCTCTACTAAAAATGCAAAAAAATTAGCCAGGCGTGGTGGCGGGCGACTGTAGTCCCAGCTACTCGGGAGGTTGAGGCAGGAGAATGGTGTGAACCCAGGAAGCAGAGCTTGCAGTGAGCCGAGATCGTGCCACTGCATTCCAGCCTGGGAGACAGAGCGAGACTCCATCTCAAAAAAAAAAAATTTTTTTTAAATGTTGAGCAACATATACTCTGTTCTTTATGTGTTCTGGTAAAAGGAATTATCAGCGAACTGCCAAGAATGAGAACTACCATCATAACCTTAACTGACTGACAATGTTGCTTTTATACTTATGCCTCAAGACAAAAGCAAACAAAAAATAGTCACTATTATTTTCTGACAAGGAATCCCGGCATTAAGTTTTATACTCTTAAGAAAATTATAAAAAACTAAGTCAAGACAGAAGACGGTATTATGAAAACATTACTGTATCTTGTTTAGCTGAATACATTTTTTAAAATGAATAATCCAATGAAGAAAACTGAGGTAATCTGAGCGCCGAGGTATCAAATTAGTAAAGACACTGAGTTTACAACGCAATATTGCACCTGAATATGAAAGCAGAATCTCACAGCAGCAACTTTATCTAAAAGATTGCATCTAGAAAGAATTTATCATTAAAAAAATCACTTTGTACCATGTGTATTTACAGTTGGAGTACAATCCAACTTTTACCCATTTTTTGAATTTTTCAAAAAGCATTAAAATCTTAGGAAGTAGAAACCAAGCTTTAAAAACAGTTTTTCACAACAAAATTTATTAGAAGAATAGTGGTTTTGAAAACTCTAGCATCCAGTGAGAACTACCATACACAACATTACAGCTGGGAATGTTTCTCCAAAATGTCATGGTCAAATAATACAATGGAACCATTAAATCTTACACATGCACGAAAGAACAAGCGCTTTTGACATACAATGCAAAAAAAAAAAAAAGGGGGGGGACCACATGGATTAAAATTTTAAGTACTCATCACATACATTAAGACACAGTTTTAGTCCAGTCAAAAATCAGAACTGCATTAAAAAATTTAATGTAGTGCAATCAAACCAAAAAACTTAATTTGTGATCATAAGTGCTCTACTACATAAACATTGATCATAGCAAGGAACAAAAAGTTCAAATCACACAGTACAAAAAAATCTGTAAATAAATATAAACTACAGTACAAGAGAAATATTAAATTATACAATTCCATCAAACTGTAAACAGTATATTGAAATGAGGTCCATAAGAGTAAAGGGGGTTCCTGTTTTGTTGTATGACACTTGAACTTCTAGAAATCTGAAAGATACCATTTTCCATATCTCCAAAGGCTATGGGTTTTATATGTGGAGAGAATTTATTTTAGATGTAAGATATCAAATATTAAAGCAGAGAAATAATCTATTTTGTTAACCACAGATAGTACTGCAGAAAACAAAAGCAATTTTAAAGAGGCAAGTCTTAACATTAAAGATGCAAAGGACTAAAACACTGGAATTAGAACTTCGCATCAGAAAAAACTTGTCACTGAGAACTTCAAGGCTACAAAATACACGGACAAAACTGTCTGCTGATATGCAGACCTAGACCTCTGCTAATTTTTTTGACATTTTACATACTCATGTTACAACACCAACTTTGGCAGAATCACTACTGATAAACTCAAAGCACTCCTGGCCCAATGGTTCCATCACAGTGGCCAGTGCACAAAATTCTCTAAAGACATTGCATAAACTAGAATGTAGAGGTCAGACACCCAAGGACCAGTGCTTGAATTTAGTAGTAGTTATCGTGAAGAAGCAAGAGCCACATCAAGAAGGAACTGCATCTGTTAACAGCTTACAGAGCAGTTAGGAATGTCTTTTGTTTTAGTTGTGCTGGCTATTAGTGGCATTTAAAAATATATAGTTTAACTGTGCATGTTTGTGTGTGTGTGTGTAGTGTGCTGGCTATACATTTATGCGCTTTTTTTAAAAAATACACTGTTAACAGGAACCCCCATATTATCTGCTCAGTAGTAATAACTGAATATATAGAATGCCACTATAAGAGTGTGAGGCACCATGTGCTGGAGAGTTATATGCAGCTTTAAAATCTGTTTGGCTGAGTTATACCTGGATACCTGAACTGAGTTTTTTAAGTTGACATTCATCAGATGTGCTACCAGCACGTTGAAATAAAAGCAAAACAGAAAAATACAAGTCACTGTTAGGTTTAAGAATAGCATCAAAGTACCTGAATTGAGTGAGAAGAGTGTGTAAACTGTCCCTGAGGGTTTTTAAACAGTGTGTACAAGCTGGATTCCTAAGAACATTAGTTTTATTCAACAATGTGGACTGATAAAATACCAATGTCTGACAGCTTTAAGTGGAGGTTATAAAGAATTATATGCAAACACTCCAAATGTATAGTTTATACATTTTTTTTCAAAGCAGCAATAAGCTGCTGTAAAGTATACATCCCATCACAACAAGCAACATGTGGGAGTCAGATAAAGGTTTCTATCTTAGTCTGGTTTTCTGACAGCACAGCATATCAATATCCAATGACTATTATCTTTCCTAGATCAGAATGTAACTAATTTTGACTAGTAATATAGGATTAGACTTTTAATCAAACACTTTGCTATTACATACTAAAATTCCTTAAACTTACTAATGCTGGTAATACTAACCTAGTTAATCATCCCCCCTCATTTTAGAAATATACCCTTCCACAACTTAAAAACATTAAGATCCATTTTCAGTCCTCTGGTGTAAAAAGCATGTCAGTGAATTAATATTAAAAATTTACAAAGTAAAAAGGCTTGAATTTCAGCCAAAGATTCTAAATACTGCTCATTCCCTGAAGACTTAAAGGGGGAGAGAATCCCTACCTATTTTCCTAGTGATTTATTTTTCTAAAATGGTTTGAAACAAATTTTTATTTTAGGGAATTTTCCCCCTCACCTTCTCTCAAATTCCAAATTCTTAAGCTTGAAATGCTTAACAAGAGAAAATGAGGCAATCACTTGGAATTGCTAGAAAGGTACAAAATGTTATTGTCTTTTTTAAAATAAGAATTATTTATATAAATGTGATCTGACCCCATATTATGTAGTATGTTTTATATTTTTAAATAATCATCCAAAAACTTACAGTACCTAAGACTCTGAAGATAAATTAAGACTTTAGTGTTGTAACAGAAAAAGTGCTGAATTATCCCTTTTCTAGTACTTTAAACATTTTGGACAAGCGCTTTCTTAATGACAGTGAAGTTTACTATATAACCTTCCACCACCAAGCAGGAAAAATAAAAAACGTCACCTGGATGAAAAAAAAAAAAGACTTTTAGGAGTGTAGCACCGGGTACACCAAATAATAGAAGTTGTTTCACTCATTCTGAGGGGGTAAAAATATTCTAGATTGAAATTCTATTTGGCTATTGACTGTTAAAAATCCCTGCTCTACTGTGTCAGTGTCCTGTGTCCAACTACCCCCAACCCCCCACCCCTAGTCCCCTTACACACTATCCACTGAGAATCTAATCTCTAATGAGATTATTTTAAAATTTATGTTGTCAGGACATACCTGAGAAAGGGTGCAATTATGCAGAACAAGGAACCCAAGACTGCACTAATACTGGTTACAGGTTCATAAATTCTTTCCCAAGACAAATCTAAAAAGTTTAAGAGGTATGGATCTTCAAATATGTCTTACTGCTTTAGATTTTTTTGGTATGTGTGTAGGGTCATTTCCAGTGTTGATCATCTTGAGCATGTTCAATGACAGTTCAAGATGGGGTAAAAGAGTTCATTTCCACATTCAAATAATAGAGATTAAATATTATAATAATATTTGCTATATCCAATAAATCTATGATTAACTAAAAGTGCTTGCTTTTTAGCTTTTCTTGATACAGCTCTAAATGAACTG